>NT_167246.2:780907-1082049 GCF_000001405.40 Homo sapiens
ATGTAACAAATTGCATTAGTTACAATATTAACTCAAAATGGATCGTAGATCTAAGCATAAAATATAAAAATATATAATGCTTAGACTAAAACATAGGAGAAAAAATTTTTCCAATCTAGTTAGGCAAAGAGTTCATAGATGTGACACTGAAAGCAAAGTATAGCAAAAGGCAAAAATAAATTCAATAAGTTGTACTTCATCAAAATTATAACTTTTGTTCTGTAAAATACATTGTTAAGTGAATGAAAAGATGAGCTGTAGATTTGGAGAAAATATTTTAAAAAAGCACACGTCTGACAAGGACTCATATTCAGAACACTTAAGAATGCTCAAGCCAACCCAATTAAAACAATCAATTCAATTCAAAAACAAGAAAACAAAACCAGTTTCAGAAATGAGACAAAGACTCAGACATAAACTTCAGCAACGAGGGCACGCAGCAGGCAGAGCAGCCCAGACAAGGTACTCAATACTATGACTCACTAGGGGACTACAAATCAAAACCACAGTGAGATCCTGTTACACACCCATTAGAATGTCTAAAATAAAAACCACAGACACTAGTAGTGCCGGCGAGGATGTGGAGCAACAGGACTAACACATCGCTGCCAGGAAAGCAAAATGGCACAGCTGCACTGGAAAGCAATTTGTTTCTTGTAAGGTTACACATATACTTACCACGGGAACCAGCAATCTCAGCCCTGGTATTTCTCCTAAAGACATAAAAGCTTATGTCCACACAGACACCCGTACACAAACTGTTATAAAAGCTCCAGTCATAATAGGCAAAACCCAGAAGCAAACTAAATGTCCTTTAACAGGTGAACATGTAAACAAACTATGGTGCATCCATACAATGGAGTACTGTTCAGCAAAAAAAAAAAAAATACTACACTGTATACACACACAGGTACACACACATATATCTCCTAATGTTAGCAGAATTTTTTTAATGTGTAATACAGCATTGTTTACTATAGGTAGGATGTTATGCATCGAATCTCTAGAATTTAATCATCTTCCATACCCGAAATTTTACACAAGCTGAAAAGCAACTCCTCATGTCCCTCTTCTCACCTCCCAGTAACCCCCATTCTACATTCTGCTTCTATGAGTTTAACTATTTTAGGTACTTTATCTCAGTGGAATTATACAGTATATGTCTTTTTGTGACTGGCTTGTCTCACTTAGCACAGCGTCTTCCAGGTTCATCCATGTTGCAAATGGCAGGATTTCCTTCTTTTGCATGGCTGGATAATATTCCATTGTGAGGATAGCCTCCATTTCCTTTCATCTCTCAATGGACATGAGGTTGTTTCCACATGGCTGTGTGGGAGCAAGGGGGTTTCTTAGCCACTGGAGCGTCCCATTGGGATGGGGCACTGGTGGTGACCCCTAAGCAGGGATGTGCCCTAATGGACTTGCATCTGATAGGGTCTCCAGGCCACTATGGCCCCATGCCTGGGTGAGGTTAAGAGTTAAAGAGTAGAAAACAGGAGGCCAGTGAGGGGGCATTTTTGGGCCCATGGGAAGGTTTCTGAGGAGATGGAAGGGCTGCAGGTATAGGTTCCCAATATGTCCCCACCCCAGTTCAATTTCAATGACCAAGGGAGATAGCAGAGGTAAAGAAAACAGATAAGAGGGGGTCACCTGACACCTGGTGGACAGAAGCTGACATCCAAGAGGTGATTCCACCCACCTCCCTCCTGAGCTTCCTCCTTCCTCAGGTCCAGTTAGGCAGGGGACCTGGTCAGTGGTGCCTAGTCACCTGCCACTGTGTGACCTCAGACAGGAGATTTGTCCTGGGAGCCTCCTTCCCTTCATCTATAAAAGGGGAATGGACACAGCAGCCCAGAAGGCTTCGAGGAGGAGGAGGACGTGAGAAGGTGTGCTGAATCCTGCCCTGCTGAGCATGTAGGCCTAAAATTTTACACACAAACTGAGTCCCTATGAGGAAAGGGCAAGCCCTCTGCCCTCTGCCCTTCCTATGTCTGCATATCCAGAACTGCCTCAGGTGGAGAGGGCAGAGACTAGGGAGCACCCATAGATGCTCTGATGCTGGCCACAGCCCTTGGGGGTGACAGTGATGAGGACCTGGGTGCACATGTGGTGGAGCAGCCAAGACCAGCCAGAGAAGAGACACACTCATGCACACACGTGTTCACAACATACACATTCACACTCACACACAAACACATTGAATGCATGCGTGTTGACAGTTCAAGGAGTAGAGGACACTGGACCTGGGCCCTGCTGACCCAGGCAGGGCCCCACTCTGATGGGTGCTGTAACCCCAGACGTCACTGTTGCTGAACATCTGCCTGCCTCTGAGTTGTGGAGCAGCTGGAGACACACAGTGGTGTCTGTGAGTGTCTCTGTGTGCAGGACCCTTTTCTAAGTGAGAGGCACATCTCAGCACAGCTGACTGATCATTCTCGGGTAAGTGTGACCTGCTGTCTCCCCTTCCTGCTGACATGGGGGCAGATGCTACCAGATGGCATCACTGGCCTCCGGGGCGCTGTGGAGGGTAATGTCGCTGAGCTCCCACCAGGTGCTTTCTCTTCACTGACCATGTATTGCAGCCGTCTCATTCACCCTCACACTGACTTCGTGGAATGGGTGCTAATGTACCCATTTGAAGATGAGATGCCTGAGGTCAGAGCGGAGGCAACTGACCCAGGGACCCAGATGTGACTCTGGACTGTGATCTCAGCCCTGCCTTGTGCTGTCCTGCACTCAACTCCTGACCTCTGCAGCCTTCCTGCCTTAGATACAAAATCTGCTGAGGATTCTGGACCCCAGTGGGGGTAGAACCTGGCTCTGGAAGAGCCACAGGAATGGGGGGCCCTGTGGGTGGGGTTAGAGGCATCCCTCAGTCCAAGTCTGTGCAAGAAAAAGTTCCCCAGAGGCAGGGATCTTATCCATTCAGACTTTAAGTGTGGGCTCTGATGGTTACTGTGGGACCCACCAGGCACTGGAGTTTTCCAGTTTGGGAGCAGAGCTGGGAGCCCTCTGCCCTCGAATAGTTGTGGAAAATGAAGAAACCCTGGAGGTCTGGCCGAAAGGTGACAGTCATTCCTCCTGTTCTCTGAGGCCTGGGGACAGGGGTTTAACCTGCAAGGCCCTCTCTCTGACCTGTCCTCCAGACGTATCACCTTCCCTTTGTCTCAGGTATTCCCAGGAGAGATGGCCCCTCTGGGTGTTCTCCAGAACCTGTCCCCAAGAGTTCACTTGTTCTTTGGTGACCTGGGAAAACAAAGCCTCTTCCTGTATCAACTGCTCAGGACTGTGGAATCTGCCCTCCCTCCACCAAAGGGAGGCTGCTTTGGAGACAATAGATCAAGCCTTCTCCGAACCAAACATCCTCCTTCTTGACTGGTGTTATTCTTCAAATGGATTCACTGGCCACAGTGAGTAAAGATTTGAGTGGAACAGAACACTCATGAGATTTCTTCTTTCCTATAGAAAACTGGGCATCTTCATGGTGTCTGAACAATAGCAGGAGGCTGATCATATAGAGATTTCTGGTTCCTGGCCCTAGTCTGCCTCCAGGTGTCCATTATAGTCATCATGGCCCTTCACCCTGAGCAGGTAGATGCCGTTCATCCTGCTGTGGAGTGTGTGCCCATTTCAGGACATTTAGGGACAACAAGTCTTGTTGTCTAGGTCTCCTTGTTTTAAAGTCCTCAGGAAAGGGCCCACCTCTGGTCAGGCCCAGGGACTCCAGAAATCCTGGCAGAGGTGGGGCCATTTGGCTTGGTCCCATTGTCCTGGGGGTGTTGGTGAAATGAAGTTCACCCGGCTGGCATCTGGGAGCAGATGTATGGGGTGTTCTCTAAAGCTCTCAGGTGCCATGTAATTTTGGGAGTATTTTGTCTTATAGGGTGGATATGGACAAAGACATGGATATCCTGCTCGCCCAGGAGTAAAGGGACATCATTGCCAAGTATAAGCAGACACAGGTCAGGCTGCTCCCTCCAGGGAGGCGGGTCTCACCTCTCCCTCTGTTCCCTGGTCTGATGGTCCTGGACTCCTTCGGGATGCAGGGCAAGGATGAGCTGCCCACACGCCCATACCCAACAACTTTTATTTTGGCCTCCCTCACCCTCTCTCCCTCTGCCTTGCAGGTTGCTGATCCAGGGCACCAGTGGACACAGGAGATGAAGATGTTTACATCTACAAGGTCATCAGTCAGCTTGAGATTCCACAGTGAGTCAGTCTTCTGTCCTCCCAACCAATTGCCAAGACCAGCTCGGTCGTGGAGACCCTAACCCAGTGGCGCTAGAGGAATTAAAGACACAGACACAGAAATAGAGTGTAGAGTGGGAATCAGGGGCTGATAGCCTTCAGAGCTGAGAGCCATGAATGGAGTTAGACCCACATATTAATTGACAGTAAGCCAGTGATAAGCATTGCTTCTATAGATTATATATTAGCTAAAAGCATTCCTTATGGGAAACAAAGCATTCTTAGCGAGGAGCAGAGAAACAGGCCCTGGCTGATATCTGCAGCAAAAGCATGTTGTTAAGGCAAAAAAGCATGTTGTTAAGGAATCCCCCTGCAGATGTGGAGTCAGGCATGGTCACTCCTGCTGGACGTTAAGAAGGTGAAGGCTGAAAACCCAAGTAAGTACCAGGTATGGTCCTTCCACACTCAGCCACAGCGGAAGAAACAGGCCAGGCCATGTCAGGAGCCCAGGTCTCTAGCTAGAGGAAAAGTCAAGCCTGAGTGATGGTCAGTCCCATATCCTAGGCACAGACGATGGCATGGGAACCACAAGTGAACTGGGCTCTGGTGACCCTCAGTGGCTTTGGAAATAAGATAGAGAAGGATATTTCTGCAAAAAAAAAAAAAAAAAATCGTCTTTCCTTCCAGAAGTGCTGAATGATTGCTGTTTGTGGTAGTGAGCCTTTTGTCTGTTATAAGGCTGGTTCCTTCCTGAGGAACCAGCCCTTTAGCCCTGCCCTAAAGAAAATAAAGGAGCAGGGCTCCTATACAGGGCTCTCACTGTAAAGCAACTGCGGGAGAGTGAGCCCCAGGGAAGGACCAGCCCCATCCTCATCCACCACAGGTTATCAGTCCAGGTGGCCACTTAGGGAAGGGAAGAGGGTCTTTCTATGGGCTCACACTCAGGAGGGCCTAGGATTTGGGAGCAGAGGGAGCAGAAAATAAAGCAGCAGGGCAAGATGTCCTCAGCGAAAATAAACCAGATTGACCTGGACATGAAGTGCACCTTCAGACACCATGTCATGTTTTGGGAGCACTACAGAGTCAGGTAAGGCCTATGGGGGATGGAGGGTCCCAGGGGAGACGGAGGAATTCAGAGGAATAGGGGCATCCCATGCAGGAGTCCAAGATAGGACGTGACAGAGCCCCCCAAGGGCTCTCTTGGCCAGGGAGCAGCCAGCATCACAGAGCATCTACTGAGCTCCAAACCATGGGCCGAGCTGGGGCATGTGGGTCCAGAACCCAAGTGGCTACTGAGGAAACAAGCAGTAGCAAACACAATCATGCTGCATGGTGAAAAGTTCTCTCTATGACCCACAAGTACCTGAGGTAGAGACCCACAAGAGGGGCTCAGACTTCACAGGCAACACTGACAACACCAAACACCATAGAGGATGTGGAGCCACAAGAACTCTGTGCATTGCTGCTGCAAAATGCTGCTGCTGCTGAATGCAAAATGGTACAGCCGCCTTGGAAGACAGTTGGGAATTGCTCACAAAGCTAAATGTACTTGTACCACGTGACCACAAGTGTCATAGACGTTGACCTAGCTGACTTGAAAATGTATGTACACCTAAAACCTACATGTCACATTCACTGCCTTATTCATTATCACTAAAACCTAGAAGCTACTGAGATGACCTTCAACACAGGTCCCAGGGGAGATGGAGGAATTCAGGGGAATGGGCGCATCCCATGAAATGAGGTTATACCTGTTTGGTATAATAAAATTACAGGTTAAATCTATAAATATAAATTATAATTATAGATTATTAGGTTACATTTATTTGGTATAATAAAATTATACAGTAGGTATTGTCAAATATGAAATTAATATCTAATGATTGTATTATACCAAATAAGGCAAATATGTGTCTTTTGGACTTAAGGGGACCTAATATCAAAAAAATTAATGAGTCAAAAGGACTGAATTTAGAATTTAATTTTGAAAAAATCAAATATCAAAACTTTAAAACACCTGCTATCACAAAATAGGATCATTGGTCATTGGTCATTGTAAAATAAGTCATTCATTTAACCAAAGTGATAACTCAAAGATTTCAAAAAAAAAAAAGTCAAAAGACAAAACCATTACTCTTTGAGAGAGGAGACTTAATTTTCCAAACAATAAGCCCTAATAAAGATAGCATGAGGCCAATGAAATCTGTTTCTCAAATCTTATAAACAAATCTATTAAATTTTAATGATCTTCACCATACTATATAATTTCCAAAAACCTTTTTGTAACATTTTATAATTTTTTAAATGAAAAAGTGGGTTAATACTCCAAGAAAACCTTGTTAATCTGACACAGGAGCTCAGAGGTTAGTCTTGCATCAGTGAGCCTTTGATACTAATCTTTACAGAGAAACTGTAACCAAGATAAAACCAATTTTATCTTTCAAAATAGGCTCTTACAATCGCATGTACCCACATCTTCCACAATAGCCCCTGGACTTTGAGGGGTAAGATAGTTTCAATTTCTGGCCCTGTGTTTCATGAGTGCAGTTTCTTTTGATTATCATCTTCTCCTGGTTCTGAAGATACGGTTTTAGAAGCTTTCAGTGTTTAAGATTTAGCAGGACTTGGTGTCCTTTTTAGATACAGGAGTCAAAGCCCTGTAACTCAACAGAACAAGGACTTTAAAAGCAATACAGAACATTGTATGGATGTTAATAACTTTAATTTTTTAAATCTCAGTTTTCCTAGGCAAATAAAAAACTTAATGACATAGGAATTGTTTCAATAAAATATAAAATCTGTTTGTTAGGCCAGTTACCAAAAGGCAAAAAATAAATAAAAGACCTGCAGCAATTGCTTTTCCCTAGACTTCAAGTCAAAACTAATGAAAATGGTACTTGAATTAGTTAGATATAGGAAGGGTGTGTCTTGCATCATAAGTGAAAATTTTCAGTTTCATAGAAAAACTTCAAACCAAGAGCACAGAATGTTATATTGGAAGAAAATATTTCCTTTAGACCTTTAAGATAAAACACTTTTAGCATCATGTCACAGTAGCAGTTAGAACCTGAGGAAAAAAAATTATAGAAACTGACAAGAAAGTTGGAGAGAGCGATTATCTCAGGACTTATGAAGGGGAGAGAAAGGTGAAAACAGTGAGATTCAATAAAAGTTGAAATCTGGGGTAAAAAAATTAAAATATCTTGTAATTTGTTAAGAGTAAATTAATATCTTAAGAAAATTTTGTTCTTCTAGCCCATTCTTGAGTGGATTAGCATATTTTTAATATACACTAAGTGCAAAAGCACAGTCTCTAGAAAGACTAATTTCCTTTTAATTATAGCCAACTTGATCAAATAAATTCTTTTCTCATAAAGTCTCTTTTTACAAACCTTACTATGACTTACACAAGCCACTTATGACATGCCTAGACTTCCTGTTTTATCCTAAACAGCTTCTTTCCTAAATAACCAATCATTTTATCTTCTTTTTCTTTTTTTTAAGATTTCTTTGTTGTTGCTGCTGTTGTTGCTGCTGTTGTTTCCTTGAGACAAGGTCTCTCTCTCTGTGTCACCCAGGCTGGGGTGTAGTGGCATGATCACAGCTCACTGCAGCCTTGACCCACCCAGGCTCAAGCAATCCTCCCATTTCAACCTCCCAGGTAGCTGGGACTATAGATGTGCACCAGCATACTCAGTTAATTTTCTGTGTTTTTTGTATAGACAGGGTTTTACCATGTTGCCCAGGCTGGTCTGGAACTCCCAGGCTCAAGCAATCTGCTCACCTCAGCCTTACAAAGTGCTAGGATTACATGCATGAGCTATTTGCATCCAGCCATTTTATTTTAGAACAAACATTTACCATGCAAGATTTTTTTCTCATATAAAATTTTCCTTTTAACCTTTCTTACCAAAAATATCTCTTTATATTTTTAACTGTCTTTATATCGCTCTTATTTAGTGGTTCCTTTTATCTTGTTTCATAACCTTTAAATAACCTTTGAATTCAACAAAAATTATTTTCCTTTAAATAAGAACATATTCTTAGCAAAATGTTTTTCTGTAATTTTTTTAATTGTGAATGACCCAGACATTTAATAAATGCCTGTTATGTAATATAACTTTAGATTCTAAATTATATTATGCTTATTTACAAGCATTCCTTCCATTACATTTACCTAACTTATTTTTAATAGTTTACCTAGATTACTTATGAAAACTGTGATAATCAACATTTAAAGGTATTTTCCTGTTAATCATTTATATAGCCTGTGAATTTCAGGTGTTTACCTAAGTAAGAAGCTTAAGGTTAAACAAATGAGTTTTTCGCCAATAACTCAGGATAAATGACTTATTTATCAAAAAAAATTACACAAGGATAATTATCTTTTGAGTTACATTTATAATTTTATAACCGTCATGCCAAATTTTGACACCTTATGTATATTAGCATTTAATCAAGCTGACTTTTAACCACTGAGCTTTAAAAATCCTTTAAAATCTCATTGCTGTAACCGAGTACACCCATTTTCCTGAGACATCAATTATTATTTTTTTTCTTTCCTTTTCTTGTTCCTTCAGTTCCCCACTCCCTACTTAGGCTTTTAGGAATGCAAATATAGCCTTTTACCTCCCCATTACCGGACTCTCCCTACAGTGCAAGTTCATCTAACTACACGCTCAAACTGGAAAGTCAACTTGAGAATTAACAGTTGATTTATAAACCAATCATGCCCACTGTGGAACTCTCACTCTTTAGGAGGTTGTCTCAAGAGATAACAGCCTGCCCATGAAGGTGCCAGCAGTCACAAGCTGATTGCCCCGTAGATAAGGCACAAGAGCTAGCATGGACCCCCCGCCACCACCCTTGCTCACTTCCTCCCCTGCTTTTTAAAAGTGAAGCCATATGGAGGACACCTGCATTTCTTCCCCTAAGCTAGTTTTGGAAATAAATTACTTTCTTTATACCAGACTTCACTTTTGTTAATTGGACTCTGCAAGCAACAAGCGACTAACCTGCATTTTGGTTACATTACCATGTTTTAGGTGGGACAAACTTCTAATATTTCAAATGTAACACAAATATCAAACCAGTAAAGACTTTATTTAGGAACCAAACCCAGGCTGCCATGGTGGAAAAAGGGCAGAACCTTAGCTACTGAACTACAGCATGGGGCAACCACTATTGCTATTTCAGTTTGGCTTGGCTAGCAAAGGGTTGTTTTGTTATGTAAATAAAGCCCTTCAGGTAATTGAAATCTTTCTTGCTTCGATGGCTGATTTTTCTTTTTTTTCTCTTTGTTTTTCCAGCTTCAGGAATTTAGCCAGTTCAGAGGTCTTGTTCCCCATAATTTAGAACTTTCCTTCAGGTTTGACCAAGTCAACTAGAGTGGTCAAACCCAATGGAAAAAAGACTAAAACAACAAAAACAGAACCAAACAAATAAACAACAACAAAAAAGTAAAGCAAAACAAATGATTGCACAATTTATAAGATTACTGAGCACTCTAATGGTAAGGAGGAATCAAGACCAGCTGGTAGTTAATCTTAACTTTCAGAGAATTTCCAAGACAAACCCCATTTCAGCTACTTATGTAGGAATAAGGCCCAGGTTGAAGATTGCTCTCTATCATCCTAGAAGCAGGAAAAAAACTCAAAACTCATCTTCCCTGTTGGAAGCAAGCTGAAACTCTGGAAAGGAGTTGCCTGCTTTCCATTATCATGGATTCAGAAAAACTCATCTTTTTGGATGCAAGTAAAACTCTAGAAAAGGAGTTGAACAGCAAAATAAACCTTAGATCTCAACAACATTTTGAGAAATCAGGGATTCTCTGGAGATGATACCTCCCAGGCCTCAGCAAATCGTCCTGTTGGTTTTGTTACTGGCAGCAAATCCATATGGGTCTGCAGCAATCTCAATTCTTGCCTTCTCAGAAGAAAGAATTCGACTGAGGGGCATACGGCAGAGTGAAAGATTGAGGCAAGTTTTAGAGCCAAGAGTGAAAATTTATTAAAAAGCTTTAGAGCAGAAACTGAAGAAAGTAAAGTCCACTTGAAAGAGGGCCGAGTGGGTGACTTGAGAGATCAAGTTCATGGTTTGATCTTTGACTTGGGGTTTCATACATTGGCATGCCTCTTGGGGCGGGGGAGTGGTTTGCATCTCTTCTCCCTTGATTTTTCCCTTGGGGTGGGCTGTCCACGTGCACAGTGGCCTGCCAGCACTTGGAAGGGGCAACATACACAATGTGTTTACCAAAATTGTACACATGCTCACTTAAGGCATTCTTCCCTTACCAGCCGAGTGTTCCTGGAGAAAGGTTATATACTGGTTCAACTCTGCCATTTTGCCTGTTAGTGCACATGCTTAAGTCCACTAGCCCACCTCCTGAGATCTTATTGGGAAGCTGCTGATTACCAACTTGAGGTGTTTCTATTGGGAGGCTGCCTTTCCCTGGCACCGGCTGCAGCCAATTATTATTTTCAAGAGGCAGTTTAACAACCTCCTGACCACCATCTGATGGTTGCCTGACATTCCTGGGCGAGGGTCCCTCTCCTGACCTATTCATGTCTGACTAATTACCTATTGTAACAGTTTGAACAATAAAGATAGCTCAAGGCCAGACATGGTGGTTCATGCCTGTAATCCCCGCTCTTTGGGAGGCCTTGCAAGACCAGAGGATTTCTTGAGCCCAGGAGTTCAAGACCAGCCTGGGCAACAAGGCAAAACCCTGTCTCTATGAAAATTACAAAAATTAGCCCGGTGTGGTGGCACAAGCCTGTAGTCCCAGCTACTCAGGAGGCTGAGGTGGAAGGATCACCTGAGCCCGGGAGGTGGAGGCTACAGTGAGCAGGGATCGTGCCACTGCACTTCAACCTGGGTGACAGAGTGAAACACTGTCTCAAAATTAAAACAGATAAAATAAAAATATAGCTCATACTGGTACCATGCACAAGTAGATTTGTCAAAGGTCAGGGCCACCTTCACTCAGAGTCTCTTCCGTTGGTTGCCAACTTGTAAACGAAAAAGTATGTCAGATAGGTCTCAATCAGTTTAGAATTTTCATTTTGCCAAGGTTAAGGACGCACCCAGGAAACAGGTATATGTACCTTTCTCAAAGATGATTGTGAGGGCTTCAATATTTAAAGGTGAGAAGTGTGCTAGATGGGAAAGAGGGTGTGGTTATCCACATGTTGCAAGAGAAAAGGAGTAGGCAGGAAAACAGTCAATTATGGATTCATCTCACACTCAGTAATAGGCCCTTTACATAAGGTGAACATAAGACTAGCTACTTGAGGAGCTATTTAACCTTCTATCTGTAGCTATCTGCTGAGGAACAAAAGGAAAGACAGTTTTTTGCATGACTCAGCTTTCAGCTTAATTTTTTCCATTTGGCATAGTGAATTGGAGTCCTGAGTTTTATTTTCCTTTCCCACCTCAAACCCCACAAGCTTTGCGTTGTTGCAGATTGTCCCTCTCAGAATATTTTACAAGATGGTGAAGTGCCTAATGAACATTTCTTTTGTCATAAAGTGAGTTTGGATCCTGAAGAAGCCATCATCTTAATCAGGCTTTGGGATCAAAGTTCCCCTTCACCCGAACCCTGAACAGCACAGCAGACAGGGAAGGACTTACTGAGATGGCTGCTCCCACTCTCCAGCCCCCACTTTCCTGACCATTCCTGGCAGGAAGAGCTGCTGAGCAGACTCCATGGGCTGCCCACACAGGGTCTGGACCTAGCTGTCTTCCTGTGCCCAGCAGCCTGTGAGCCATCCCAGTCCCCTATGTGCAGTGGTCAGCACCCACAAGCCAGCCTTCATAGGGATTCAGTTCATGGGTGTTGCCCTGAGCCTGGCACAGTGGCCTCCCCAGCTTAGCATCTGCAGTTCGGGTCAGGGTGTTCTTAACGGCCCTCACCTATGCCTTTTCTGGCCACACATGAGTTTGGATGAAGCAGGAGTCTCTTCCATAGCTCCTTTTCATCTGAGATGTCCATGACTGGCTCAAGTGAACCACAGTGTCAGGAGAGGGGCACGGAAGCTGCACCCTAAATTCCCCGGGACCTGTGGCAGGCCTTCCTGGTGACCTCTGCCTTCTCAGGTGACTTCTGCCCTCCTGGGTGACATTAGTTCTCCCCTCTCAAGTGATCTGTGCCCTCCTAGGTTACCTCAGCTCTCCCAGGTGACCTCTGCCTTTCCAGATGACTTCAGTCTTTTCAGGTGACCTCAGCCCTCCTAAGTGACATTAGTCCTCCCTGGTTATCTCTGCCCTCCCTGGTGAACTCAGGTCTTCCAGGGGACCTCTGCTTTCCCAGATGATCTCTGCCTTCTCAGGTGACATTAGTTCTCCTAGGGGATATTAACTCTCCCAAGTGACCTCTTCCCTTCCAAGTGACCTGTTTCCTCAGGTGACCTCAGCTCTGCCAGGGGACTTCTGCCTTTCCAGGTAACCTCTGCCCTCTTGGTGACATAGTGTGCTCAGGTGACATTAGCCCTCTCAGGTGACCTCAACCCTCCAAGGTGACGTCAGCCTTGGTGAAGTCTTTCCATGATGACTTTGGCTTTTGCCAGAGGTAGGCTACTGCGGGGGCATAAGCCATATCATGCCATGAGCCACTATCCTGCTCATGTTCCAGAATGAGGAGACATCTGGGTGCTGGCCCAGCTGCTGGCCAATGAGAGGCTTGCCAAGCATGGTACTCTCCAAGGTGACCTCTGCCCTCTCAGGTGACACAGTCCTCCCATGTGACATTAGCTCACAGTGGACAGCTACCCACGAGGCATCACACAGCCAGGACAGGGGACGGCCACACTGGCTGGGTAATTGTGACTTACAGACAAGGCACCTTCTGTCCCCTGCTCATTTTGAGCCTCCAGGGTATCCCCTGCTGAGAGTCCCACAGGAGCCTGTGACTGGCCAGGGACCCGACACCCCAAGTCAGATGCCTCTTGTCCCCATCAGCAAATGGGATCACAGCTGCCCTGTGACCACCTTCTGCATCCTGGTGTCACAACCTTCTGGCCCTGACCTTATGCAGGGGACTCTTACAACCCTGCTGGTCCTTCCACCTCCCAGCTGGCCACCCTCCCAACCACCCTCCCTGCCCATGGCTAGACCAAGCCCAGATGACAGCTTCTCTCTGTCCTGTGTCCCCTGCCCTGACCCCACATCCAGGAGAAGGCCACACACCCTCCAGCACCCCTGGTCACCCCACCAGCTCCCACCTGTCCTCACTGCTTCAAAGGCAGGCCTGCCCTTCTGGAGCCATGGCCCTGGAAGCCACTAAGCAGTGCCTCCAGCCAGGCCCCAGGGGCATTCCCACCCCTCCTCTCCTGGCCGAGACCACATGATGGGGTCACTGGATGGGACAGTGAAAGGCCTTGGGGTCTGGAAGCAACCACCACTGCCCAACTGCCACTGCCCAACCGCTGCTGCCCAACTGCCACTGCCCAACTGCCACTGCCCAGCCTGATGGCTCCACATCTCAGGAGTAGGCTCTGATTCCTTGGGGCCCCAGGAGCCTCTCAGGAGTCTACATCCCAAGATGTTCTAACTTCCAGAGTCTCCAAGCCCATCAAGAGCAAGTTTTGCTAAAAGTGTTCTGAGAGCTTATGAAGCACATGGTGAGTGGTCAGTCCCTCAGCTCTTCCCCAGAGGCCCTGGGTCCCATGGGGTTAGCAGGGACAGGGGAAGCCTGGGGCTGGTGAGAGGCCAACTTCCAGCCAGGGCTTGATCTGGTTTTCAATGGATTCAAAGTTTGGCCTCCTTTTCCTTACCTGGAGGGGACAGAGGCACTGGGACCAGGCCAAGCTCTGGCTGAGCCAGGGCTAGGGGAAGTACATCCACTGGGGGCCCATGCCATGGGGAGGTGTTGGGGCACAGCCACCACTGTTCTACCTCTTGGGGAAGGGTCTGCAGTGGGGTCTGGAATACAGAGGTTTTCACGGAAGCCCAGGGGACCCTGAACACTTCTATTCCTTCTATCAGGACAAGGAAGGGTTGTGCATCCGGCTTTCCACCTTAAACTGGTTTCTATGGTGCTTCATCGATGAGATAAGGATGCATAGGAGACCCCAGGCCAGGTACCTCCTTTCCCCACAGTGCTCAGCTCCCCCAGCCCAGGGGTCTGGCTTCCCCAGGAGGACCCAGCTCACCCCCACCCCACAGGAGGCACAGGCAGGTCTCTGCAGGGCACACAAGCCAGGACCTGTATGATGGGAGCTTTACACACCAGACACCAGGGAATTCTGGGCAGACTGGGCCAAGACCCATCTTGGAAGAGCCAAAGGAGCCAGGGAAGCCACAAGCCCTCAGGAAGCCCCTTATTCTGGGAACCACATTTCTGCTGAGATGAGTCCATCCCCATGAAGAGCTGCCGGACCTTGTCTGACCCAGCCTTATGGAAGATTGGGTGGGTCTCTTCCCAAGCAGAGGGAGCCTCAGGAAGTCCAGACTGAGGCTACAGTGGGCCCTGCTCAAGCCACCAGCCCCGAGGTTGGAAAGGCCAGGTCCTCCCACACCTGCTGTTCCCACAGACTTCCTTCATGCTCATCCTGTGGCTCTGGGATGTCTACCTACTGGGAGGTGAGTGTGTGGTGACAACTATGGTATACATGGCCTTCACAGCCACAGAATTAAGTCCCTGGGTGGCCAATGGTGCCCAGAAGGAGCATGCAGGACAGACCCTGGGACCTATAGCCAGGACAGATTCCTGGCTTCTGGTGTGTGATGACCTGAGAGCAGCATCCACACTGTCCAGATGGCTCTCTGCTCCAGCCTGGAGGTAGGGCCAGACCAGGCCTGGTGGGCTGGGCAGGGAGTGGACCCAGGTACCAAACCCACTCCTGACACAACCCAGATGAAAGGCAAGAGTGTGTTGAGCACTTCCCTGCCCAGGCCTTCCTCCAGCTGTGGTTTTCTGTGAACATCTGGACCCCTGGGGCAGCCACAGTAGGATCCAGCACCGCCCAGTGGTGGGTGCCTGGGGCAGGAACAAGGTGCAGACACTGACTCTCCCACAGACCCCTCCCAGCCTCATAGTCACCCTGTCCCTAGAACACCCCCTGAAGCTGTTCCTGTTTGGCTTGCAGGAGTTCCTTCAGGACACACTGTCCTAGGCCTGGGCCCTGGAGGAGGACATGGTGATGAGGCACCCTGAGGCCTCCATGGGGGAACTGAGAAGCATGCACTGTGACCTGCACACCCAGGTGGGCTTCAGCACCAAGTCTCCTCCTGTGTCACCCTGCGGGGCAGTAAATAGTGGGAAGTGCCCAGACCTCACCAGCCCTGCTCCCTGGGCCTTCCTCCAGCCCCTCCTCTCCCTCCTCCTCTAAGAAGCTTCTGAAACCAGGCTGCCTGAGCCTAGGGCAAAAGCTGACCTTGGGTTTACTGGACATGCCTCAGAGACAATGAGACGTGAGCAAGACTCTTCCAAGCCCCTCCCCTGTACCCTCCTGCTCTCACTCCTGAAAGCCCCAGAAGGACACTGGAGGGGTCAGATCCATCTGTGCAAGCCCACAACCACACCTGTGAGTACCAGCAGCCCTGGAGAGCAGCAGGGGGCCTTCACTCCTGAGCACCCCTCCAAGGGCCTAAAATCAGTGTCAGAGACCCTAAGAGAATCTAGGGAGAGGGCATAGGTGAAACCCTGGCCCAGAGCCAGAATTGATTGCTCAGCTGAGTGTGGGAACAGTCCAGCCCTGGCATGGAGATCCCCCAGAGGAGTGGAGGGTGTCTCATCCACTGTGGAGATAAGCCCCCATATTGCGTGGCAAAGGGGCTAGGTAACAGTTAAGGCCTCATCCATCTGAGCTCTGAATCAAGGCTAAAGCCCAGGCTAAGCAGCCCTGGGGCAAGAGTGTGAGGCAGGAAGACTGAGTCAGCCTGAACCCTGGGGGCTGTCCCTGGAGTGACTTGAGCTTCCCTGACAGCTTCCCCACTCTAGGCTGCACACACACCTCGCTCTGGGAGTAGCAGCCTGCAGGAGTGTCCTCAGCATTAGACCAGGGGGACCACACGGGGACCCTGAGGACTGCAGGGACCCAGGTCTGTGGGGTCCAGCCTGGCAAAAGCAAGATGTTCTCAATGGAAAAGCTGACCAAATCTGCTTTCCTTTCAGCCAAACCTGAGCAAGCACCCCCACCACCCAGGCCTCTGCAGATATCCCCCAGCATTGAGACCCTCCCCAAGGGGATGGGCTGCTTCTCCCTGGCCCACAGCCCAGCTCCAGCAGCCCATGGGTATAGCCCTCCTGAAACAGGAGCCTCATCCTCCCTCACCCTCACCTGGCTATGCTGTACCCAAGGCCAAAGCCCAGAGGCATAAGGGAGCTTCTGCAGAGCCCAGGACAGCAGGCTGCTCTCTGGGGGCCCTGGGGACTCAGAGTGTGGCCAGCCCATCCCCAGCTCAGGATAGACCACAGAGTGCTTGGTGATTCCTGCATTGGAACTCCCTCTCTAAGCTCCCCATGGACCTGGACCTCAGAGGTCTGTGGTTTTCACAGTAGAGCTTGGAGCAGAGATGCTAGGCCCCTATCACTTCCATATGTGTCCTGGACACCTCTAAGATCATAGGACTGGCCTAGCCCCCAATACCAGACACTGCCCAGCCCCCTGATAGCCCAGAGGTAGGGCCAGAGACAACTCTCCTGCATGTGATGCCTACAGCTGATCACTCTTGGCAGACAGTGAACATCACGGCCCAGAAGGAGCCAGGGCAGCACTTGGCAAGCTGCCCCAAAGCCCCAGAGAGCTCCTTAGACATGGAAAGTCAATACTGATGGGGAAGCTGGACACTTGGAGGCCACTGGAGGGAGGGGTGAGCATGGTGTCCCCACAGCCCAGGCCACCCAGCAGCATGCCCTGCATCCATGGTCCCAACCTGTAGGGCAGAACCCCCCTCTCAATGCACAATTCCTAGACCCAGAGGGCCCTAGCCCAGACTCAACCTGAGCCCTGAAAGGGAAGGGGCACCAGGGGTGCCTTGGGGCCTCCAGCAGCAGCCAAGATACACAGGAGATGGAGCCCCCTGTGGCCCTGGCCAGAACTAGTATTTGGCTTAAGGCGGAGCAAGCCCCCTTGGAGCACTGCGTACATACCCGGGGCCTATGTGTGCCTGGCAAGGCCAAGCTGATGATGTTACCAAGCTCAAACTACCACTGGCCACCTTGGTGAGGGTGGGGCAGAAACACGTGGACCAGCCACCAACCTCATCCATTCAAGGAAGCAGAAATGGTCAGGCTCCTGCAGGATAAGTGGCCACCACCAGACCACCAATGGGGCAGAGTTCTGAGGCCCAAGCAGATGGCACTGGGGCCCTGCTTCCAGGGTCCACAATCTGCTCCAGGACACAAGACTGAAGAAAACTAAGCAAATGAGAGTCCAGGAGGCTGGATCCCTCATCTGCCATTCTTGGCAGTTGCATTTTGTGGTCAGAAAAAGTCAGGAAACTTGGCTCTACTCACTGCAGGAGGCTCCAAGGTGGGACCAGAGCTTCCAGCATAGATTCAACAATGCCTAAGAATGCCTCTTCTTGGGGAAAAGGACCCCTTCCTTGGCCTCAAAGCCCCCACTTATTTTGATTAAAGCACAATAAAGTCTTTGTTGTTATGTCCTGCCTGTTTTTGAGTTGCCCAGAGCTCTCTGCAGGAAGCCCTGGACATACTGGGGTGGATGGGAAATGAAGATGGCACAGCCCAGACCCTGACCAGCCTCTCACAGCCTCCCCATCCCAAAGGCCGCAGCAGGGCCAAGCACCAGAAAGGCCAAGGTTCCCACCCAACTGTGAGCCACACTGCACTGCAGCCTCCCACTCTCAGGCAGATGCCAGGGTTAAGACCCTCCAGTAATTTCCTGTAATTCAAACTGCACCTGATAGGGACCCCCAGAGGGCTGGGAAGGGAGCAAAAGTTGGAGTTCCAGTGACATTGCTCATTCATGACAGTCTGTACAAAGCATCCCTGAGAGGGTCTGCTGTCACCTGTGTCTACTGTCCCTGGGTGGCTGGTCTCCGGCAGCCCTCCCTTCCTTTCTTCCCTCCTTCCCTCCCCACATCCCTCCCTCCCTCTCTTCCTTCTTCTCTTGCTTCCCTCATCCTTTCCATCTCATCTCCTCTCAGCATCTGGCAATCCCAGGTCCTGAGCCTGTGCCAAGGCGGGACACAAAGGACACCACTGACAACAAGCCAGGTGACTAGCGGGGTCGGGGAGCCTTGTGGAATCAGAGTGGATGGGGAGGGGCTCATCTGTGCAGCCCAGGACTGCTGCCCCGGGAACAGTCTAGAACAGTGCAGAAGTGTGTGTCCCTGTGTGTGCACATGTGCACGTGTATGTGTATGTGTGTGCGTGCCTGTGCACACCTGTTTACTCAGTTCTGCTCTAAGTCCATGTCCACGACCCCAGAAGATCCCAGGTATGTCCTCACTGACGTCTGCTGAAATCAAGCATGGCCCCTGCTGGTAGTTATTGCACTGTGTAATGCCATCGTCGGGACCTCAGAGCAATAGAAACCAGTGGACCCCTTTAGGCTTTTCTTTCCAATGGGACATAAAGAAGTTATATGGACAGAAGTTATATCCTGTTTTCTTTCCATTGATTCTTTTACCACCTTTCTCCTCTTACTGATTTTGAATGAAGGGGGTTTTTCATGAGGGTAAGGTAACTGGCAAGAAATGAAATAACAGCCAGATGCAGTGGCTCACGCCTGTAATCCCAAGATTTTCGGAGGCCAAGGAGGGTGGGTTGCCTGAGTCCAGAAGTTCAAGACCAGCCTAGACAACATGGTGAAAGCCCATTTCTACCAAAACAAAAAAATTAGCCAGGTGTGGTGGCACGCGCCTGTAGTTCCAGCTACTGGTGGGGCTGAGGTGGGAGAATGGCTTAAGCCTGGAAGTCAGAGAGTGGAGATTGCAGTGAGCTGAGATCACGCCATTGCACTGCAGCCTGGGCAGCAGAGCAAGAACCTGTCTCAAAAAAAGAAAAAAAGAAAAGGAAAGAAATGAGATACCGAGAAACTAGCAAAGCTTCACCTGGCTGTCTGGAGACAGCCCTTGTGTGGTCCCCAGCCCACCTCACAGGTTCTAGGCTGGCCACCCTGTGGCCTCTGTACTGTGTATCTGGACCCAGGCTCTGTGGGAAGGGTACCTGGTCTGACAAACATTCCTCCATTTTTCTGGCTGCAGCTTGGAATAGGCCCAGACAGCATGTCCAGGAGATGCCAGACAACCTCACTATATCCTGTGAGACAGGCCCAGTGGGCCTTGAAGGAAGGGGTGAGCATGAAGCTGGGCACCCAGAGCCTGAGACCAACTGTCCCTCCCTGTGCCCTGGAGGAGGGGCCTGGCCTGTCAGTGTAGATGTGGGGAGAGAAGGGTCTGTGGACCCAGGAAGGGACATTGGTAGGGGACTTTGAGCACCACTGCTCAGGGGACATGAATGACAGGGTGGGAGGCATCTCCCATTTCTGCCCTGAGCACAGCACCCCTTTGACTCCTGAGGGCCACGAGGAGTCCACTCCCCAGAGCTTTTTGTAGAACCTGCATATGAGTCCATCAGAGGTGAGATTTGCAAATACTTCCTCCAGCCTGGGACTTGTCTTTTCATTCTCCTCACAGGGTCTTTCAGAGTGCACACATCATTTTGATGAAGTCCAATTGATCATTTTTTTTTCCTTTTATGCATCATGCTTTTGGTGCTTATCTAACAAATATTTCTCTAATCCAAAGTCACACTAATATCTACCTTTTTCCTTATGCAAATTTTAAAGTTTTAGGCCTTACATTTTGGTTTATGATACATTTTGAATAATGGTGCCATGTATGGACTGAAGTTTTTAATATGCATATCTAATTGTTCTAATAGTATTTGTTGCTAAGATTGTCTTTTCTCCACTGAATTTGCTGTACAACTTTTGAAAAACAATTGAACACATATGTGATGGTCTATTCTGGACTCTGTATTCTGTTCTATTGATCCATTTGTCTAGCCTCTTACCAATACCATACCGTCTGAATTTCTGAACCTTTACGATAGGTCTTGAAGTTAGGTATTGTTAGCCATCTTACTTAATTCTTCTTTTTTAGAGGGTTTTTTATTTCTAATCTAGGTCCACTGCATTGCCACACACAGAAACCCGTGCCCTTGAGCATACATACATATGCAACACAAGTATAAATATATGCACAGAACGACAAAGTGAAATTTATCCCAAGAATGCAAGGCTGCTTCAACGTTAAAAATGGGCCAGTATAACTCACCATATTAACAGATGAAAAGACAACAGCACATCATTATTTCAGTATATTTGGAAAAAGCATTAGACAAAATCCATCAACCTTATAAAAACTTCCAGTCTATTTCTATTCCTAAAAACTAGGAATAGAAGTGAATTTTCTTAAACTGATAAAAGGCACCTACAAAAACCCTGTAGTTGATGTTTACTGGACGTTATTCTTAATGATGAAAGACTGGATGGTTTCACCCCAGAGGAAGAACTAGGTGAGGATGTCAGCTCTCACTACTTGTATTCAGCATCCTATGGAGAGTCTAGCAGTGCAAAGGGCTCCTTCCTTTAGTAGACTCAGATTTCCATCTGGAGTCATTATTCTCCTGCTAGATGGATGTCCTTTACCATTTCTCAATCTGTACATCTCCTGGTGATGATTTCTTTCATCTTTTGTCAATCTGAAAACCTCTTTATTCTGCCTTTTTATTGGAAAACAAAATTTTGACTGTGTAAAGAATTCTAGGTTGGCATTTTTTTCTTTAAAAAAAATACTTCCATACAACTTGCAATTTTCCAACAAGAAATCTGCTTTGTATCTTTGATTCTCTGTACATATATGTCTTTTTCTTCTCTATCTAGCTGCTTGTAGGAGGACTCAGCTTCTCGCAGATAGACATGTATGATAAAGATGCAGTAACTACATCAAGTGTGGTATTGTCCATGGATGGATAAATAGACTGATGGAATAGAGCAGAGGGCCCACAGACAGACCCACAAGAGTCCAACTGTGATTGATCACCAAGGAGGAGCGTGATGGTGAAGGACTGTGCTTGTTATAATGTGCTGGGGCCTTTGGATAACCACTGACTAAGTGGGCCAAGTGGCCTTTTGGCTTAGGCTGAAGCAGGATAATAATAACGTTATCTATTCATAGAATTGTTAAAATTACCTGGTTTTATATTTGCAAAGTAATTAGAGCAGTATTGAGACAAAGGGAATCTTCAGTGAACATTTCCTCTAGTCATAGTTTTTTCCACCACTTGACTTCCTGCCCTATTCAGAGTCTTATGTTTGCCAGGACTCAAGCACCTCCTTATGGGGCAGACTCCACAGGGCATGATATGGTTTGGATCTATGTTCCCCACCCAAATCTCATGTCCATTTGTAATTTCCAGTATTGGAGGTTGGGCCTGGTGGGAGGTGATTGAATCATGGAGGCAGATTTTCCCCTCTGTGCTGCTCTCATTATAGTGAGTGAGTGCTCACCAGATCTGATTGTTTCAAAGTGTATAGCACCTCTCCCATTGCTCTATTCCTGCTGTTCCTGCCATGTGAAGACGTACCTGCTTCCCCTTCACCTTCTGCCATGATTGTAAGTTTCCTGAGGCCTCCCCAGCCATGCTTCCTGTACAGCCTGTCAAACTGTCAGCCAATTAATCCTCTTTTCTTTATAAATTACCCAGTCTCAGATATTTCTTTATAGCAGTGTGAGAATGGACCAATACAGGGCATCATGGTCAGTCCTGGGGAACAGCTTCCTGGAGTGGGAGGAGCTCAGTCCTGGTAACCTGCTGTTCCCTTGCCTGAAACCCCTTGTTTCCTCCACCTTCCATCTCATTCAACAAAGCTCTTGGGAGAACAACTTTAAGGACTCCCTATGCCTCTTCCTTCAAAGGTAGCCAGCCAAGAAGTAGATGGCTGGTTGAGCCATACTGACTACCATGGACAGCAGCAACAGAAGGTCAAAGGCAAAGGTCAGGTATTCTTTTCCTGGCAGGTACACAAGGACAACTAAGGGCAGGCCCCAAACGAGGAAGCTGATGGCCACAAAGCGGACAATGTGGTAGATCCGGATGGGTGAACAGTTCTTCAGGCAGTACAGGCTCCTGATGATCAAAGTCAGGCTGGAAATGCCCACCACAAGACAAATAAGCATGTGAAATATTATAAAGCCTGCCTGAAATTGGTCACATGCCAGGCCCTTCTCCCATTACTCACAAACCTGGCTAACCACATGCAAAGAAAGGGCCAGGGCCCAGCTCAGGATGCTCATCACAGCAGAGGTGTGCTTTGGGCGGTGGCAGCACCAGGTGGGACAGAGGACACACAGAAAGCTCTCAATATTCATGGCCACCAGGAGACAGAGACTCACTGTGTCAGAGAAATAGGACACAGGCTCCAGAAACATGGCCACCTGCAATGTCACCTGGTGATACAGCATGAGGATTTTCTCCAACAGGATCACAGTTACACAGGAGAGGTTGACCATATCAGCAGCGGCCAGGTTAAGGACATAGGTCATGTAGGGGCTGCTCCTGACCTGGAAGCAGAAAAGCCAGCACACCACACCATTGCCCACCAGCCCACAGAAGGCCACCAGCACTGTCAGGATGAAAACCACCTGTTTGCCCACCAACCACTCGCCTCCCGTATGACTCATGTTCACTTGTCCTGGGGTCTCTGTCCTGTTGTCCCAATCCAGCTTCCCAGAGAACACTGAGAGAAACTGGGCCATGGTGGGCTGCCTTGGCTGCCTGGGCACACCCTGCAAAGACAAAGGTTGGTAACTTACCAGGCCTAGGAAGGAGAGTCAGGGTTGCCTTCTGACCTGCTGGGCTTCCCAAGAGGGTCCTGCTGGGCCTCCCAAGATTGGTGGGAATCTCACAGAGCAAAGTCAAGGAGAGGAATGAGTCTCCTGCAAGTGATCCATCCATCCCATATCCTCCACTGCAGGGTACCCTCTCCTGCTTGCCCCCATCCCTCTCTCCACCTCGTTCAGGTATTCTTGATGCTGTGCCCAACACCAGGTGTGTATCCATGCACCTAGGTGCCCATAAAGGAAAGAGGTGCATTTCTTTACCTTTGTTCTCCAACTCTCTCATTGACACAGACAGTTTTCATGGCATGGTTTTGGTGGAGGCACCAGGCAATTCCTCTGCCCTAAGGTTCTGAGATATTCTGAGTCCCACATGGGGCAGTTGCTTTTCAGTGCTCTAGGGAAGGTCTACCCAACCTCTCTCCTGCTCACCTCCCCTCAACTCCTCACTTTCAGCACGAGGGCCTCCTGGTAGGACCTTTATGTTGTTCTGCTGCCTGGAAGGGCCTCTGCACATCTGTAAGCTTTGTATCCTCTTTCCAATCTTTGCCCCAGTATCAACTTCCAGAGAAGCTTCTGCTTCCTATTAACATTGCATTCATCACATGCTGAGTGTCTATGCAACTTACTTACTTCTGCAGAAATCCCTCTGTGGGAATGGAAGATTTATCAGGTTTTTTATTCTCTTCACAATGTTGTTCAATAACTTCTCCAGCTCCTGGAACAGGGTTTGACATAGAGGACTCACTTGGGTACGGCACCTATGGAGAGCTTTATGCAGCTCAGTTACACTTGGGGAAGTGCTGGTGACCTCTTCATAAAAGCAAACTTTGCTTCTGAATCACAGAAGCTTCTGGAACAAAGCTTGTTCCGCAAACTGATTTAAAAAAAAAGGCTTCTTGGACTCCTGAGGGAGACTCACACCTGAACCCTGGGCTACGTCCACAACAGGAGCAGGCACTCTCCTCCACATTGCCAATCACAGGTCTTTCTTTGTAGAATCATGAGGGGAGGGTGACCAACTTATCCTGCTTTGCCTAGGACTTTCCCAGTTTAAGCTCTGAACATCTCTTGTCCTGAAAATCCTCATAGCCCTAGGAAAACCAAGGTGGTTTGTTGCCCAACTTGAAAGTTAAACAGGAGAAGGTCAGTACCCCTTCTGGAATCCCACAGCTTGGTTAAACCCAGTGATCTGAGGAGTTCATGCTGAGACTGTGAGAGCTGACCTCTTGGGGGCAAATCCCAGCTCTTTTTCATAGTAGCTGACTCTTTCTTTGCCTCAGCATCCCCATCTAAGTAAGGGCTGCTGCTATGGGATGAATTGTATTCTTCTAAATTCATATGTTGAACTATCCCAGTACCTCAGAATGTGACTGAATTTGGAGACAGGGACATTAAAGGGGTAATTATGTTTAGATGGGTCATTAGGGTAGGCCCTAATCCAATAGGGGTAGTGTCTTCATAAGTAAAGGAGATTAGGACACAGACACCCACAGGGGGATGACCATGAGAAGACACAGGGAGAAGGCAGCCATCTACAAGCTAAGGAGAGAGGCTTTGGAAAGAAATGATCCCGGCAATCTTTGGATCTCAGACTTTCAGCCTCCTAAAACTGAGAGAATGAACTTCTGCTGTTTAAGCCACTCAGTCTGTGATCTCTGTCATGGGAGCCTGAACTGATGATCACATTTATGATGAAAAGTTTACAGACGGAATTATGGAAAGTCTCAGAACAGTGAGATCTACCTGGTTCTACAACCCTGAGCTGCTGAAGCTTTGCTTCTGAATCACAGAAGCTTCTAGAACAGAGCTTGTTCCACAAACTAACTGATAAATGCCTGCGATATGCCTGGAAATATTCCACAGGTGACCTTGTGGCCTGCAGTCACATATTGGTGCATCAGCAGGGTTTAGGAGAATGCTAGGGACCAGCTCCAAGTGAGCCCAGTGTTTGAATCTTCCCTCCTTGCTGGGATGATGGAGTCCCCTTCAGTTGGCAGCTCTCTTGAAATGGAAGGGTCCAGCCCCAGCCCCTCCCCTCCCTGCACTTGTTACCTAGACACTCTTACCTGAGGCCAGGGAGGACCGCAGATCTGGCTCAGATCTAATCTGGTCATAGGATGAGTCTTGGGGCTTGGTAACATTGGTGCCCATGGAAACATCAGGGTGACCTGCAGTTCTGTGCCTGGGCCAGGGTGTCAGAACTCGTGATGATGACAGAAGAGAAGCTGCAAACAGACCTCCGTGGCCCACCCCAGGCCACCAAGGCACCAAGCAGGAGCAGTTGGGCTCTGGTCCCCAACAAAGAAAGGAGATTTATAGATAAAAGAGTTTCAAGGGGAGAGGTGACTTACCCTTCAACAAAGAGAAAATGCCCATTTTGGAGGCAGCATGTGGCTTCAGGGACAGAGCCAGGCTTCCCATCCCTGGGCTCACTGAGACCTAGCTCATGCCCAGAGACCACTACTGAGGCCAGTGACTAAGCAGCACATTCTTCCTCATCACACAAGAGGAGGACACAGCCCTCCTGGGGTGGGAAGGCTTCAGTGCCTGGTGCAGCCCCAGCACTGGGCACAGAGAGATCCTAGCACCTGGAAATGTCATTTCCAAGTCGGGTCATGAGCCAAGCTCCCCAAGGAGCATAAACAACAAACAGGTTGGATCCTGGGATTCAGGGAGCCAGCTCTGATGGAAGTGCTCAGGTTGATGCAGCCAAAATAGCCAAGTAACCTTTGCATTGGGATTGAAGTACTTGCTCTGGTTCTGAGTTGAGAGCCCACCCTCCCCACTTAATCTTTATTTGAGGTGAAATTTACATAACACAAATTAACTAATTTAAAGGGCACAGTTCTGCCTCACTTAGCACCTTCACAATGTTGTGCAACCACCACCTCTATCTGGTTCCAAAATATTTACATACCCCCATAAGAAAGCCTTTTACCTGTTAGCAGTTACTCCCCTTGTCTTCCTCCTCCCAGCTCTTGGCAACCCCATCTACCTTCCATTTCTGCACATTCACCTATTCTGGACATGTCCTATTAGTGGAATCAGACCCTCTGTGATTTTTTTGTCTGTTTCTTTCACTCAGCCTCTTGTTTTCATGGCTTCTTCACAGGGTAGCATGCATAAGAACTTCATTCCTTGTGTTAGATACAAACTAAATATGAATATAGAAGCTGTGAAATCAGAAGACCCAAAAGGATTTTCCTAGAAGTCATAGACTACACCTCAGTAATACAGTGGCTCAAATCCTACCTTTAACAGAATAACACACCCTCTGCCCATCTACACAGCTGGGGCATTTGTGAACCAGGGGCCAGGGCACAGTTGTGGCTCACCTGCTGGGACTACCCTGGAACCCCGAATCCTGCTTTCTCCAGGAACCTGGTTTCTGTCCTGTCCCCATTTTCCTGAGAAATGCACCTTCCCCAGTAAAAAATCATGAGGTTTCAAATTCCAGGAAAATATGTCTCTGAGTTAAAATGGTTTGAAAATGAAAGAAGGAAGAGAGATCTTTTCTCATACCTGGGAAGTCTTGGATAGAATTGGTACCACAGAGGCCAATGTCCTGAGAGATGAAAGTTCTGCCCACAGGTCAGGAAGCAATCTAACGATGTCTGATTTGAACTGGGTCCTGACAAGAGGTTGTCAATTTCTCTGTGTCTGTTGGGTCT
The DNA here is from genome assembly GCF_000001405.40 of Homo sapiens. Taxonomy (NCBI): domain Eukaryota; kingdom Metazoa; phylum Chordata; class Mammalia; order Primates; family Hominidae; genus Homo; species Homo sapiens. The sequence continues at coordinate 807,583 of NT_167246.2, forward strand.
TCCTGTACTGGGGCAAATTGCATATCAGGGCCCAGGCCTTTATCTGAAACATTGTATCTCAGCATCTCCTGATATCCCCCATCCCACTGACACTTTTGATTACTCCATCCTGAACAATAACTTCCCTCAAAAAAGAAGGATCTTTAAGACAAGTTGTCACCTGCCTCCCTGTGTGAATCTCCTAGAATGACATCCAGCCCAGCCCAGCCCATCTGAGACAGGCAGGAGAGGGAACTCTGGTGGGCATTTTGTCAATAAACTTGAGCATGCCAGGAACTCAAATGTGCTCCTTTCATTTTGCTGTCAATTGAATTGCATTTTTTTTTTTTTGCAAAAGATGTGGAAGTTCTTGTAAATCTGTGTCAGAAACTTACATTGGATTCACCAAGCCTAGGGAGATTTGGCTGTGCTTTGTTGGAGCCAATATTTTTCACCCTGGTTTACCCCACCACTGACTTGCTTTCTTTTTTTTTTTTTTGAGACGGAGTTTCACTCTTGTTGCCTAGGCTGCAGTGCAATGGTGCAATCTCGGCTCGCTGCAACCTCAGCCTCCTGGGTTCAAACGATTCTCCTGCCTCAGCCTCCTGAGTAGCTGGGATTACAGGCATGCACCACAACACCTGGCTAATTTTGTGTTTTTAATAGAGACAGGGTTTCTCCATGTTGGTCAGACCGGTCTCAAACTCCCAACCTCAGGTGATCCGCCCACCTTGGCCTCCCAAAGTGCTGGGATTACAGGGGTGAGCCACTGTACCCGGCCTTGACTTGCTTTTATGAGGCAAGAAAAGACATGTCTCCTTGTTGCACTAATTTCGATCAATCAATAAGTCAATTAGTTCATTTTCATTACATCTCTCTGAATCAATTGAGAGATAAATTGAGAAGTCAAAACAATGCCCAACAACATAGCATCTTTATTCCTCCCTCCCCTAATGACCTGGGAAGCAGTTTGTGACCCCAAAGCACTTGCTTATATGTTATTCTCTCCAGGAATTGAATTTACTCCTCAAAGTAATAGGCACAGGCACCCATGGTCAACACCTGTCTCCTGAAGCTTATCACTTAATGGAGGGAACCCAGGAGTATGATTCCTCCATGCAGACAGTCAGATTCTAAGGAGAAAGGAGGAAAAGTCCTTCAAATGCCACATTCAGCCCCTTCTTCTGGATGCCCCACTCAGCAAAGTCACTTGTGGCTGATGCTGGTCAGAGAAGCCCTTCCAAATGGGAACATGGGTGTAGGAAATATGTGCTTCTCACACTCCCAAAGGATCACAAATGGGGCCCTGTGTCTCTTAACTTCCTTATGTACAAAAGTACATACTCACTAGAATATGATTTTACAACATTTCCATCATTCCTATACAATGTGTTGGGAAGTGATCCTTTCTGATCTATATTTTGGAAGAGTTTGTATAGAATTGTATTATTTTTTTCTTTAAATGTTTGGTAGAATTCACCAGTAGAGACATCTGGGCCTGGGCCTTTTTTGTGGGAAGATATGCAATGACAGTTTTAATGTCTTTACTTCTTGTAGGCTTATACAGATTTTCTATTTCCTCTTGAGTCAATTTTGGTAATTAGTTTTTCTAGAAATTTATCCATTTCATCGAAGGTGTCTAGTATGTTAGGATAAAGTTGTTCATAGGATTTCTTTATAATCCTTTAAATTTCTATAAAGTTGGTAATGATGTGCCCAATTTCATTTCTGATTTTAGGAATTTGAGGCCATTTTTTTTTCTTGGTAAGTCTAGCTAAAGGTTTGTCAATTGTGTTGTTATTTTCCATGATTCAACTTTTGGTTTCATTACTTTTCTCTATAGTGTTTTATTTTCTATTCCATCTACTCTTGCTCTCTTCTTTATTATTTCCTTTCTTCTGCTTGCTTTGGGGTTAGTTTTCTCTTCTTTTCCTTGCTTCTTACCATAGAAAGTTGAATTACTGATTAGAGGTATTTTTCTTTTCCAATGTAGGCATTTACAGCTACAGATTTTCCTCTAAGCACTGGTTTATCTCCATCTCATAAATGTTGACATGTTATGGTTTCATTTCATTTCATGCATATTCTTTTTAATTTCCCCTGTGTTTTTTTTTCTTTCACCTGTTATTTGTGGATTCCTGAAGTTTCCAACTGTTGGTGATTACTCATTCAATTCCATTGTGGTTGGAATACATATATTGTATTAGTTCAATTTTTTTTTAATTTATAGATAATTTGTGCCCTCCCATCTAGTCTATCCTGGAGAATGTTCCATGTGTGTTTCAAAAGCGTGTATAATTCATTTGTTGTTGTCAAGTAGGTCAAGTTGGTTGATAATGTTTCAGGCTCTGTATCCTTGCTGATTTTCTATCTAGTTGTTCCATCAATGATTGATAATGGAGTGTTGAAATCTTCAACTATTTTTAATGATTTGTTTATTTATCCCCTCAATTCTGTCATTTTCATGTTTTATGTATTTGGGGGATGTGTTGCTAATTGTGTGTATGTTTATAATCCTCATATCCTCCTGATAAATTGAAATTTTATCATTATAGAATATGCCTCTTTATTTCTAGTAACGCTATTTTTCTCAAGGTCTACTTTGTCCAATATTAGTAGAGCTGTCTCAGCTCTTTCATCATAGTTTTCTACATGGTATACTTTTTTCCACCCTCTTTTTTTAACCTATTCATTTTAAAATCAAAACTGCCTCTGGTAGACTGCATATACCAGACATTGGACATACTAGGTGAACATATTAGACGAACAATTTTAAACACGTTCAAAGAACTAAAGGAAACCATGTCAAAAGAACTAAAGGAATGCATGAGAATGATATCTCACCAAATACAAAACATCAATAATGAGATGGAATGTTAAAAAAGAAACAAGGCCGGGCGCGGTGGCTCACGCCTGTAATCCCAGCACTTTGGGAGGCCGAGGCGGGCGGATCACGAGCTCAGGAGATCGAGACCATCCCAGCTAAAACGGTGAAACCCCGTGTCTACTAAAAATACAAAAAATTAGCCGGGCGTAGTGGCGGGCGCCTGTAGTCCCAGCTACTTGGGAGGCTGAGGCAGGAGAATGGCGTGAACCCGGGAGGCGGAGCTTGCAGTGAGCCGAGATCCCGCCACTGCACTCCAGCCTGGGCGACAGAGCGAGACTCTGTCTCAAAAAAAAAAAAAAAAAAAAAAGAAAAGAAACAAATAAAATTCAGTAATTGATAAATAAAATCGTAGAAATAAAAACTTCACTAGATAGCCTCAATAACAGATTTGAGAAGGCAGAAGAAAGAATCAGTAAATTTAAAGATAGGTGGGGAAATTATCCAGTATGAGGAACATGAATTAAAAAGAAGAAGAATGAACAGAGTTTCAGAGACCTGTGGGACACAATCCAGTGTACCAAAACACATAAACGAGAATTTTCAGGAGAGGATAGAATAAAAGGAACAGAAGGAATATTTAAAGAAATACTAGCTGAAAAACTCCAAATTCAATGAAAAAATGTTAATCTACACTTTCACAAAGCTCAACAAACTTAGATAAAATAAATTCAAAGAGATTCACACATAGAAACATTATAATCAAACTGCCAAGAAACAAAGAAAGAATCTTGAGGGCAAAAAGAGGGAAGCAACTTATCATGTACAAGAGATTCTCAGTAAGAATAAGAACTAATTTCTCATGAAAAATTACAGAGTCAGGAGGCAATGGGATGACATATTCAAAGTAGCAAAAGTAAAATACTGTCAATGAACAATTCTAAAGCCAGCAAAACTATTCTTCATAAATGAACTAGAAATTAAACATTCTCAGATTTTGAAAACTGAGAGAAGCTGTAATTACCAGACCTGTCTTATGGGAAATTATAAAAGCAGTCTTGCAGGTTGACATGAAAGGACACTACATAGCAACTCGAATCCACATGAAGAAATGAAGAACTCCAGTAAAGATAACTACATGGGTAAATATAAAAGACAGTATAAATGCAATTTGTTTGCGATTTCCTCTCTCATATGATTCAAAAGACAAATACATAATGAAATAATTATAAATCTGTATTGATAAGCCTACAATGTATAAAGATGTAATTTGTACGGCAATAAAAACACAAAGAAGCAGAAGAGAATGGAGCTGTATGGAAGCAAAGGTTTTGTGTGCTATTGAAATTAAATTGCTATTAATCTGACTAAATTGTTATAAATTATTAATTGCAAGATCCAGGGCAATATTTAAAAAATACCTCAAAAAGTATAGTAAAAGAAACAACAAGGAGAATTAAGTAAAACACTAACAAAATTTATTTAACATACAAAGGCAGTAATAATGGAATAGAGCAATAAAAAACACGATATAAAGAAAATAAGTAGCAAAATGACAGGTCAAAATCCTATACTATCAGTAATTACATTAAATGTAAATATATTAAACACCCCCTTTAAATGGCAGAGACATGAAAAAAAAAAAAGAAATCCTGTCATTCATGGCAACATGGATGAACCTGGAAGACACCATGTTAACTGAAATAAGCAGGCACAGAAAGATAAAGACTGTGTGTTCTCACTCACATATGGAAGCTAAAAAATGTTGAGCTCATTAGAAATAGAGAGTGGAATTTTGATTATTAGAGCACAGGAAGGATCGAAGGGAGGAGAGAGGGAAGGATAGGAAGAGATTGGTTCATGGATACAAAATTACAGCTAGATACCAGGGGAGGAGGCTGGCAAGATGGTGGAATAGGAATAGCTCTGGTCTGCACCTCCCAGCAAGATTGACCCAGAAGGTGGATGATTTCTGCATTTCCAACTGAGGTACCCAGTTCATCTTATTGGGACTGGTTGGACAGCGGGTGCAGCCCATGGAGGGTGTGCCAAAGCAGGGTGGGGCATCGCCTCACCCGGGGAGCACAAGAGGTCAAGGAACTCCCTCTCCTAGCCAAGGGAAGCCGAAGCCTTGAGGGACTGTGTGGGGAGGAACGGTGCACTCTGGCACAGATACTGCGCTTTCCTCACGTCTTCGAAACCTATAGACCAGGAGATTCCCTCTGGTGCCTATGCCACCAGGGCCCTGGGTTTCAAGCACAAAACTAGGAGGCTGTTTAGGCAGACACCAAGCTAGCTGCAGGAGGTTTATTTTTTCTGATTAAGTCAAGCAGCAGTTCTCACCGTGGCTAATTAGGCCTCCCACTGGGACATTTGGCAATGTCTGGAGCTGGTTTTGATTGTCACAATTAGAGAGGATGCACTACTATCACCTAGTGGGTAGAGCCCCGAGATGGTGCTAAACATCCTACAATGCACAGGACAGCACCCCCAACAAAGGATGATCCAGTCAAAATCGTCAGTAGTACTGAGGTGGAGGGCACTGATCTTTAGATCTTGTGACTAGGCTTTTTCTTTCTGAGTAACATGGAAACTGCTGAAAGATTTTGAGATAAGAAGTGGTATGATCTGAGTTGTTATAAATGGGTTACTCTGGCTTCCATGTTGAGAATATACTAAAGGTTAAGGGAAGAACCAGAGGATTATTTCAATCATCCAAGCAAGAGATGTTGACAAGGACAGACCAGAGTGGTGGTCCTAACAGTGATAACGACTTGTCAGTTTCACAACATATTTTTGCAGGTAGAGCCAATAGAATTTGTGGGTAGATTATATGTGAGTGAGATGAAGAAGAGTCAGTATCACAAGATTTTTGTCTGAGAAACTAGAAGAATGGATTTTCATTACGGGAGATGAGAAAGGCTACAGAAGAAGCACATTGTGGGGGAGAGGGTGGGTAGTAAGGAGCTCAGTTTATGGCATGTTAAATCTGAGATGTGTATTAGATACCAAAAGCTGCTGGTGGGTAGACAATTGGACATAGGAATCTGGAGGTTAGGAGAAAAATCCAGCCTGGAAATATAAATTTAGGAGTCATCAGCATATAGATGGTGTACAATGTCATAAGACTGGATGACGGAAGTGCACGTAAAAAAGGAAAGAGGACTGAACCCTAGGCACAGCAGGGAGAGGAGGAGAAACCAATAAAGGAGATTCAGAAGGAGCAGCTGGGAGACTTTGGTGATTTGAAGCTGTCAGTCAGCTCAGACTGCCATAACAAAATACCATAAACTGGGTGGCTTCAACAACAGAAGTTGATTTCTCACAGTTCTGGAGGCTGGGAAGTTCAAGATCAAGATGCTGGCTGATTTTGTTCCTGGTGATGGCTCTCCTCCTGGCTTGCAGACAACTCCCTACTTGCTGCCTCCTCACGTGGCCTTTCCTCTTTTATAAGGAAACTAATCCTATTTGGCCCTCACCTTTGTGACCTCATTTAACTATAATTACCTCCTAAAATGCCCATTTCAAATACCATCACATTGAGGATTAGATTTTCAACATATGAATTTTGGGGGGGGACACAATTCAGTCCATAGCAGAAGTGAAAGGCATGTTCCAAAAAGGAAAGCTAAGTCCACTCTATTGAAAAGCTTCTAACAGGTCAAGTAACATGAGGACTGAAAACTACTATATCAATGTGGAGGTCAGTTTGTGACCTTCGATGAAAGGTTTCCAGTGCAGAAACCTTGTTGGAGCCAACCCGAAAGAGAATTCAAGGACTTGGATGGTAGCTAGGGGGAAGTGAAGTCAAGAGAAGATTATTTTCTGATGAGTGAAATCAAAGTATGTTTATGTATTGATGGGGATGGTCCACTGGAAGGACAAATTATATTACAGGAAAGAGGGGAAAGATTAGAGTAATGTCCCTGAATAAGTGGAAAGGGATGGAATATAGTGGGCAAGTGGGGGTACTGGCATCAGACAGATGCAAAATAGTATATTCCTAGCAGTATCAGAAGAAAAGGTGGAGTCCCATATGTGAGCACAGATGCAAGTAGGTGAACAGATGGGTTAGTAAGAACTTCTCTTTTTATTGCTTTACATTTTTTCAGTAAAAAATGAAGTAAAATTTTTATCTGAGAAAGATGATATTATTTGAGAGAGAGGAGTACTGGGGATTTGAGGGGAGACCAGAAAGTATGCATGAGTTACGTAGGAGAGGGGAAAGTGAGTGGACTAGGAAAATATGATTATCAATGACATTAGCCCCTTCCTCTTAAAGTAGTGGTCATGAATGTAAAGTGAAACCTCTCAGTGTGGCTATTGGCTTTCCTTCGGCCACAGTCAGCTGAACAAATATAGGGAGAGAGTAGGACTATAGTTGGATTTAAATAGGAAAGCAATTTAGCTGAAAGAGTGTAACAAGTGAAAAGGGCAGGAACATTGATGTATGCAAAGGAGTAATAGTGATTGACGAGACAGTCTAAGCTTGATAGAGAACTGAAGATACAAGGGGCGTGAGGGGCCACGATGAATTTGCGGACCTCTCACTGAGGAAGAAACTGAGAGGAAAGTATAGAAAGATAATCTATGAGGATACTGAATTCACCAAGAATCATCACAGTACTGGAGAGAGTGAGAGGGGATCAGGGACAAAAATCTTCAAGGACGAAGGAGGAGCAAAGGGAAAGAGAATGATGAGAGCCACAAGTGGGGAGGTGGACTTTGGAGCAAAGCTGATGACATAACAGTCAAAGCTACATTCAAAACTAATAATGACTTCAACAAATCTACAAAATTCCTGACAGAAAGGGTTATTTTCCTTGTTTTACAGATGATGACATTGAGAGTCACTGAAGTTAAACAATTAGCTTAAGGTCACTCCATCAGAGAATGAAATTCTAAACCAGTTCCAATTGAATAGTAGAAATATTAATGAGAGGGAATTACACTGCCTTTGGCCTTCATACACTGCCAGAGGCACACTACCCTAAAGGGACTTTCCCTCCAGAATTTCCTCTTCCCCACTCTTGGGGACTCCTCTCCGGACACCTTCATGCAAAGTACTAATGATAGGAGTGGGACATCTATTCCCCAGAGCTCCATCCTCTCTTCTAAATAACAGGGAACGTTGAGTCCCCTGTTTTTTCTCTAGTGAGAGCACTCATCAGCATGCTTCCTCCTCTCTAACTGTGTCCTTTAGATCCAGGAGGGATATTTGCTACCACCACCAGCTAATGCTGATTTGCTACCAGCACAAGGCCCAGGTCCTTGTCTGGTCTGTACCCCATTACAAGGTTCTCCAGGAACAGACATCACCACCTCTGCCTAGATCCTGAAATTTCACAAATGTAGGTTCTTTCTTACCCGTTCTTTTTATTCCTCTATTTACAAGCACAATGACACCCACCCCTCGTCTTCTTCCTGAAATACCTGGCTCTGATCCCAGGCATCCATTCCAGAAATCAACACAGCTATGCAATTGCATCTTTTATTAAATACTCCCAACTCCATTTCAAATCCAGAGAATCCAGAGCAGGAGCAAGAGACCAACCTATCATCTGGAAACTCAAGGTGTAAACATTAGTGCCAAAGATTAGTCATGAAGGTAAGTTGGGTATTACAGTGCCCTACAACAAAATGGTCTTGTGCCGAGAGCCACATTCTGAAATACCAAGTGAAGTTTGATGACACATTATATTATATATTTCACAACAGATTTGTCTTCTAGATGTGTGAGGGAGATGATGGGTTTATGTGTACAGGTGCACACATGCCTATGTTTTGGGGAATTTGTGCATACATGTAACAAGAATGTTATCTGTGCAGTTTTATTATTGTGTGCCTGTTTTCATGGTGTGGCATATTTGAAGAGGAATGGTTTAGAGCTTGCCAGGCTGAACAGTTATGTGTCCGTGTAATCACCGCATTAAAGAATTTGACCTTTTGTAACTCAACATCTCTAGCCACCATTGGTCTGTAAGCCTGAATGTCACCTCTCCTACTTTATTCATCTCTGATATGACCCCAAATTATAAAATGATCTATAAATATAGGTAAGACTTTGCATGTCCTTTCATACTCCACAGTCTCTAGCACAGTGGATCCTGGTTGATCAAACAGGAAGGACCTCGAAGTTAGTCAAATATAAGTGGAAAACCTATTAAGCATTTACAAATAATGTGGCCTTGGGCAAGTAATTTAACTTCAGTTACTCTCCTAACATACTCTATAAAATAAGGCTATTGCCTAATATTCAAGTGAGTTAAGATTAGAGTTAATAAATGAAAAGAGATGTAAATGTTCATAGCAGTTGTATCACTGCCTAGCATAAGAACCCCTTAAAAACCTGTTTCTTAATTTGGGAAACAGATATGACGATAGTTAGCATTTATTAAAGGATGACAGTTAACAACTGCTATGTGCCAGGCCTTGTTCTAACAGCTTTTCATATTTAGCCCACTTAACATATTTCTATTTTCATATGAGGAAACTGAGGCAGAGAGAGGCTAAGTAACATACCCAAGGTTTTCCAGCTAGAAAATGGCAGAGCCAGGACTCAAACCCAGGCAGTCTGGCTGCTGAGCCCTGGTTCTTAATTATGACATTAATGCTTATTCTGCCCAGTGAGGATAAAATGAGTGAAACATAAAATCAAACAGGATGTTTTGGTAGGGAGCAGTGTTTTTTCCCTCTGAAAAATGAAAAATTAGGTTATTGTGATTTTGTAATTTACAGCAGTGAATATGATGTGAAAAATAAGTTATCCATATAATAATTTATGTCAGGAGTCATGCAGCAGAAAGATTTCTGTCCATCACATAAACTTTCATCCATTACATAACCCATATGTTTCTGTACCATTAAGACACTTGGTTCAACAAGACCCTTGGAGAATGAGGTTCCTTTTGTTCCCTGGGGTTCTCTTTTTATTTTATTTTTGGATTAATATTTGATAGTAAAGCCAAGGATTTGGGACAGGAAACTTAGATGACATCTAGTTCAAACTCCTTGATTTACATATGAAAAAATTGAGACAGAGGGAAATGAAGATTTCCCCATATCATATAACTGGCTAAAGGGAGCTATGTAGGTAAAACCAAGATGTCCTGATATTCTAGTCTACCAGAAAGTGTTCTTTTTTTCTACCCAACTTATTCCTGATTTAAAGGCTAGTATACGTGTGCTGATCTCCCCTCAGTGGGAGGGGCATGGACGTTGGGAGTAGTCTCTATTCACAACAAATTAAAAATCAGTAATCAGCCGTATAATGGGTTGTGTTAGAAAGTAAACTAAGGCCCAATAAAATATTTAAGAGTTTATTTGAGCAGTGATCCATGAATTGGGCAGCTCCAAGCCAGAAGTGGCTAGGGAGCTCCCCAGAGAGAACATGAGGAGGAGGCTTTTTAGGACAAATAGATAAAAGCAAAGATAATATTTCATTGGTTACAGTTATACAGTTACACAGTTATACAGTTGCCTTATTTGGTCTATCCCATGAGGAAGTCCTAGTTACTAATTACGTTTTTGTTGGCTGCTTCTGATTGGTTGAGCTTAAGTTCTGTGTTTCTTTAACATAGGCATTTACAAGAAATACCACAAATAAAGTTTCAGACATGCTTGCAAATCAAGCAAGGTTAAGGTCACTTAGGAGGCCCAACTGGCTCTGTCTGCTCAAGGATTCTTCTGGCCTCGTCTCCATTTTACATGAACTGTTGCATAAATAAACACAGAGTACCTGAAACAACGGAGGTGATCATTCTGCCTACCGAGTGTTGGCCACGCCAAGCTTGGAGTGTTGCTCTTATTCTTAGGGAGTTTATTTTTAAGTAATCTCATCTGTAAATGGGATTACAATCCACAAACTGACCTTGTATATGATTCCATTCCTTCTCCCAGCCCAGCCCCACACTCCAAGGTTTTCCCTTTGCTTATAAGGGGTAGTCACCCTTTTTTATTTCGACCTTCCAAACATTCTGGGAGTTTTCCTCCTTTAGGCCAACTACAGCGCAGAGGAGCGCTTTCTCCTGCTGGGTTTCTCCGACTGGCCTTCCCTGCAGCCGGTCCTCTTCGCCCTTGTCCTCCTGTGCTACCTCCTGACCTTGACGGGCAACTCGGCGCTGGTGCTGCTGGCGGTGCGCGACCCGCGCCTGCACACGCCCATGTACTACTTCCTCTGCCACCTGGCCTTGGTAGACGCGGGCTTCACTACTAGCGTGGTGCCGCCGCTGCTGGCCAACCTGCGCGGACCAGCGCTCTGGCTGCCGCGCAGCCACTGCACGGCCCAGCTGTGCGCATCGCTGGCTCTGGGTTCGGCCGAATGCGTCCTCCTGGCGGTGATGGCTCTGGACCGCGCGGCCGCAGTGTGCCGCCCGCTGCGCTATGCGGGGCTCGTCTCCCCGCGCCTATGTCGCACGCTGGCCAGCGCCTCCTGGCTAAGCGGCCTCACCAACTCGGTTGCGCAAACCGCGCTCCTGGCTGAGCGGCCGCTGTGCGCGCCCCGCCTGCTGGACCACTTCATCTGTGAGCTGCCGGCGTTGCTCAAGCTGGCCTGCGGAGGCGACGGAGACACTACCGAGAACCAGATGTTCGCCGCCCGCGTGGTCATCCTGCTGCTGCCGTTTGCCGTCATCCTGGCCTCCTACGGTGCCGTGGCCCGAGCTGTCTGTTGCATGCGGTTCAGCGGAGGCCGGAGGAGGGCGGTGGGCACGTGTGGGTCCCACCTGACAGCCGTCTGCCTGTTCTACGGCTCGGCCATCTACACCTACCTGCAGCCCGCGCAGCGCTACAACCAGGCACGGGGCAAGTTCGTATCGCTCTTCTACACCGTGGTCACACCTGCTCTCAACCCGCTCATCTACACCCTCAGGAATAAGAAAGTGAAGGGGGCAGCGAGGAGGCTGCTGCGGAGTCTGGGGAGAGGCCAGGCTGGGCAGTGAGTAGTTGGGGAGGGGAGAAAGTATTAAGCCAGAACCCAAGGATGGAAATACCCCTTAGTGAGTCAGTTTAGACTTCAGGCTGTTCATTTTTGTATGATAATCTGCAAGATTTGTCCTAAGGAGTCCAATGGGGGATATGTTTTCCTCCCGTGAGGAAATGTTTAGTTCTTGAGGGAAAAATCCCTAAATCCTCTATATACTCAGGTTTAGGGAAGGAAAACCTACCCCTCACAACTCCACGCGCAGGGAAAATGATGGACGTGACGCTCGCCTTTAGCTTCCTCCCTATCTGATGGAAGACCATGGAAGACCTCTTGGTCTCTGCAATCAGAAGTCTCAAGTTGACAAGAAAATCATAGTCCCTACCCTGCAGGAGAGGGTACATCCAGAAAAAGCGACCATGGACTCTATTCTCAGAAATCAGTCCAACTTAGTGCAGACCTGGCCAGATGACCAGTGCCCTCCCCGGGGCATTTCACCCATAAATGTGATGAGGAAAGCCCATAAATGGTGGTGAATTTTGCTGAGTGGGGTTAAGACTGGAAACCCCCCTGCAGGAGTTGGTTCTTGAGCAAGTTTTAAAGAAACAAGGAACTAGGATGAGTGTGGAAGAAGGCGGGCACGTCTCAGCCCGTGAAAAAAACTCACAGGTGATCAGTAGTGAGTCATGAGAGAGAGAGCAAGAGAGAGAGTCAGAGAGAGGAGTAAATGGAGGGAGGAAGATGGAGGAAGGGACTCAAGTTCTCAAGACAGGAACAGGGATCTCCTCGTGAAAAAAAGAAGAGAGGAAAATGCTCAATCAGCAGAACCTGAGCAGAATATTGAGGTCAACCCAGAAGCCAGCTCCTCACCCACCCTCACCCAGACTGGCGCCCTCATCCTGGAGAAGACCTGCTAGACCCTAAGGCAGGTAGGAGAGAGGGTGGTCCACAGTCCCCCAGCTTTAGAAAGTTTGTTCGCTCCCAATGTCCATCTACCCCTAGGAATCCCCACTAGTTAAACAGAATTGCTAGATCCCTGTGGAAAATACCTTTCCTTGCCCACCATCATCCCCAGAAATAATAACTATTTTAGTTGGGTGTGAGACATAGAGAATAAAAGGGGGCATGGTGCCAGACTTCATTTCATACAAATAGCTTTAAAGGAGAAGAGGGGGGAAGGAGTTTAATTTAGTTTCTAAAATGTTTAGTAATTTGATTGTGATCATGTCAGAGCAACTAATTCATTTTATAAAATATCATTTCACTATGCTCTATAAGTAGAAATTCAATTTGGTTCAACCATTATTGAGTGATATAAATAAAGCACTGGACTTAACAAAGACAGAAATACAGAAATCAGTAGAACATGGATCCCAACCTAAAACTTACTCTCTTGTCATAAAGGAAAGGAGATAGGAGTTTTTGCATAAATAACAAGGTATCAAGACAGAATTAAATTCCAAGCTGGCTTTGAATGCTCTATTTTGCCTTAAAAATTTATTTACTAGTCTCAGTAATACATTAGTAAAAATCATGTCACTTAATTAATTGTGTTAGAATCAAAGAAACATAGAGTTGGGCAATATACTTCATCCTACCCATCCCACCCAAATCTTACTCTACTCATCTCATTCTCATTAATTTTGGGAAATCATCAGAAGATGTGTTCGTTGAGTAAGAGATTAAAAGAAATAAGCTTTTTGACCCCTGCCAACACCCCATCCCCAGGGTGGTCACCCTCCAATACAATAAGATGCCAGGAAGAGTAAGTTGCCCTTTCTGATGCCGTAATCTGCCATCATCTTCCCATCTTCCAGTCTCTTTCCATTGCAAGTCACAATCTGGGTCTCAGGGATTATACCCGTCTTAGTCTCGATCATTGCTTTCACTTGTGCCACTGAGCTGGACCTTCGCACCTGGAGGAGGTGCCTCTTTGCCTCATCACCTGACTCCACAAGAAACAAGGGCAGCTCCTCATCACTGGGCTTCACCACTTTCAGGGTAAGGTGGATGGTCTTCTCTTTGTCAGTGCCATAAGATGAGAGGCTTCTCCGTGGCTTTAAGATCTTGGAGCCCAGCAAAAGAACCTGGTCCTGCACAGGAACCTTGGTCTTAGACCGGACATGTTCTTTGATTTTTTTCACGCTGTCATATGGGTTGGCATCAAAGGTCATTAAATCCCATTCCTCGGAACGGACATGCACCTGGGAAGTGAAAGCCACAAGACAGTTACCTAGGATGCCTTCCTCCTTTACACTTCTACTCCCCACCACAATGGCTCCCCCTCTTCCACTATCTATCTGGTCCTCTAGCTCCTATTCAGTAGCCAGTGTCCCTCTCTTTCTTGGAACTTCTTTTTTGGAATTACCAAGTTACAACACAAATAAGATAATTTGTCCCATTCCTTTATAATCACACCTTTTTTTCGATCTTGAGAATGGAAAATAAAATCCTGAGCCCCCAACCAACTGAACGGATGCTCTTTTGCTCAGGGGGACCCTAGAGAAACTTTAAAAACTTAGTCATTGGGCCAAGGGTGGTGGCTTACACCTGTAATCCCAGAACTTTGGGAAGCTGAGGCAGGCTGATCAATTGATGCTGGGAGTTCGAGACCAGCCTGGTGAACTTGGTGAAACTCTGTCTCTACTAAAAATACAAAAATTAGCCAGGCGTGGTGGCAAGTCCCTGTAATCCCAGCTACTCAGGAGGCTGAGGCAGGAGAATCATTTGAATCCAGGAGGCAGAGGTTGCAGTGAGTGGAGATGGCACTACTGCACTCCAGCCAGGGCAACAGAGTGAGACTCTGTCTCAAAAATATAAATAAATAAAACATTCAGTCATGATGGAACAGGAGGTTGGATATGCCTCATTGTATCTTCTCCCTTTTGCAGTTTAGACACAACTGACCAGCAAAGTTAGAGATTATAAGACTGAGAGAATGGATTCTTTGTGGCAATAAGATAGCAAATTATAAACAAGACCGAGGGCTATAACAGGCAAAAGTTAAGTCATGCATCCCTTACACTTAAAGAATAAACTATGTTCTGCCACAAAGTTTTTTCTTTTTTCTCTAGCAGCTAAACAAGCACTGGCCTTGACAGGAACAATATTAAAACAATTACAGCTCACCCTGTGTTGGGGAACACAGGCTAACTGACCCCGTGTTCCACAAGCCATAACTACAGTTTTAATTGGACAAAAGACTGATTTCAGTAATTTTCTCCTGATAAGAGACCACTGACCATGGACTGGTTCTGGCTAGTTTACAGAAGCTGTGCATTTGAATGCCTTTGTGTCCCTGCTTCACCTTTTCATGTATAAGGCCTAACTGTAATGCAATTAAATGTTAAGTCTCCACTTCAGAGTGACCATGGGTGGTATGTAACATGCAAGCTTATTCAATATGCATGCATTAGGACCCCCTCCATGAATATTCATTGCCTCTGCTATAACCTATTGGATATGTATACTTAGCAAACCCCTTCAGCATAAATTCCTGTGTCACCTTTCCTCCTGCAAAGTGCTTGCTTTTGGTTTTCAATCAGAAGCAAAACTTCCCAGCCTGTCAGAATGGCTACCTTGCAGACTATAACCTTTCATAAGAAATAAACTCCCCTTCTAAATTTATGAATTGTGTGATTTTTTTTTAGTTGACAATCTTTACATTTCGTTTTTCTGTGCATTTCAATGGATGTAAAAAACATACCTTTATCCATCTCAAAATGTAATTAGTGATTTTCCACCTTATTTACCTGCCTCTCCTATCCAGATAAAGTTTGTCAAATGTCAACAAGTAAATACGAGGCTTCAAAAGATGTACATCAGACTCTAAAAACAACTCTCAAAGAGAATTTCCAAAATATGACAGCCTCATGAAGATACTCATAGCCATAGGATACCCTCTGTCAATACTTCAGAAGGAAATCCTGGGTAGGACACATAATCACTGAACTGTTAGTTTCTTTTCAAATATCCCACTGCTTTATAATAATAACTCACATACTACCGTGACACTATGTTCAGTGTTTCTTGTTAATTTATATTTCTTGTGTTTTTATTTCTATCTAATGAGAGACAGGACTAGCTGGATTTCCTAGGCCGACTAAGAATCCCTAAGCCTAGCTGGGGAGGTGACTGCATCCACCTTTAAACACGGGGCTTGCAACTTAGCTCACACCTGACCAATCAGGTAGTAAAGAGAGCTCACTAAAATGCTAATTAGGCAAAAACAGGAGGTAAAGATATAGCCAATCATCTATTGCCTGAGATCACAGCGGGAGGGACAATGATCGGGATATAAACACAGGCATTCGAGCCAGCAACGCTACCCTCTTTGGGTCCCCTCCCTTTGTATGGGAGCTCTGTCTTCACTCTACTAAATCTTGCAACTGCACTCTTCTGGTCTATGTTTCTTACGGCTCGAGGTGAGCTTTCGCTTGCCATCCACCACTGCCGTTTGCCACCGTCGCAGACCCGCGGCTGACTTCCATCCCTCGGATCTGGCAGGGTGTCCGCTGTGCTTCTGAACCAGTGAGGCGCCCATTGCCGCTCCTGATTGGGCTAAAGGCGTACCATTGTTCTGCACGGCTAAGTGCCCAGGTTCTTCCTAATCGAGCTGAACACTAGTCACTGGGTCCACGGTTCTCTTCCGTGACCCATGGCTTCTAATAGAGCTGTAACAACCACCACATGACCCAAGATTCCATTCCTTGGAATCCATGAGGCCAAGAACCCCAGGTCAGAGAACACGAGGCTTGCCACCATCTTGGAAGCGGCCTGCGGCCATTTTGGAAGCAGCCCACCACCATCTTGAGAGCTCTGGGAGCAAAGACCCCCTGGTAACACTAATATAGAATGTGATCTCCTTTGATAAGACTAGGGCCTCACTCACAGAAGGTAGGGACTATATCTAAGTCTTACTTCAATAGCTGGAAAATCCTAAAAGATGGGAAAACTCACCCCTAATGGCCACTTGAAAGCCTGAGAAGACCTCCCTCATACTCCATTCAGAAATATTCTCCCAATCTAGATATTGCAGACATTTCTTCACTGGAAGATCTGTGTTAAGCATTGCCTTAATTCCAGGTTCTCTCCATAGTGCATATTTTCTTATATAATGTAATGTGTTAGATCATTAACAACTTCAGATGAATGAGTTTTGTGAAGCTCTCCTTTGAGAGGAGAGGGAAGATTAAGTTTAAGAACCTTAAAAAATGTTACCATAATTTCAAATCTCACCAGCCCTGTGGAACACAAAGCTCACCCCCACTTTTTCTTCTACCATTTATCCCTAAGAGTAGCTAGTCCAATGTTTTATTTAAAAAAGAACACAGAAGCCAGATAACCAGCTTCTCTTCAGACAATCCCTCTTCCCATTCTGCAAATGTCAATGCCAGCCTCTTCTCCTGAAGGATGCCTGCCCAGCCCCCCAGAGCCCTGAGTACTGCCCAGCCCCCGTTTCTAAGATCTCTCCCCAACTCTTGAAAGTGCTTTTCCTTTCCCCATCCCCTTTATCAAATCCCAACTTACACAGAGGCAGGAAGCATTGGGAGCCATCTCTGCAGACAAGGGGCCAGAAACCAGAGACAGAAAAAGGACTTTGCATGCAGCTTATATACCAGAGTTGAGTTGGAAATCCCCTGCCTGGATTGCTGTGTTTGTCCAGCTTTGCTGTGCTCTTTGTTCTTGCATGCTCCCATGAATTTTCTTTCACTTTTGCTGGGCAGGAGTTAATAGACAAAGAATGCTTTCTGATCACATACTTCTCTCCTCAAGCAATCTATTTGCAAACCTCATTCCAAACATGGGATGGTCTTTCTGTGTTGAAAACTTTTCCCTTTTCTCAGGAAAGATCTTTGTCTGTTGAAGCCACCTGGATCTATACCCACAGCCCAAACCTAAGCTGCAGATCTCTATGTCTAGCTGTGTCTGTGTCTATGGGAATTCTCGTTCCTTGAATTCCCGGCATATCCTTGAACACCCCAATCTCTCTGCCATCTCCACGCCACTGAGCATGCCTTTTCCTCCAACTCTATCCCCACCACCATGAATTTATAAGAACACACGGTGTAAACAGTATCTTCGTCAAAAAGCCTTCCCTAACTCTTTTCCTCCCCATCCTGGGTTATGTGTCCATCTTCTATCCTCTACACTTCCTTCAAATGCCTCTCAGAGCATGTTTCTTCAACAATAGCATCGTCTGCTTGTCTGTAATCTTTAGAAAAGAGTAGGAATCTTGGGGGTCGTGATTGTGTCTTAATTAACTTGTATCTTTAGCACTGTTCCAGCATGCTGTCAGGCACAGGAAATAATTTATAAATGTTTACTAAATGCACAAATGAATTAATAAATGAATGAAAAGTAAGTAAATAACAAAAAAAGGAAAAGTAATATTTAGTGAGTACTTAAATTTCAAGAACTGCACAACATATTATTAAATGTTACCTTATTTACTGTTTCAGCATTTTAATGAAGTAAGTACAGGTGCTCCTTCACTTATGATGGGGTTACATCCCTGTAAACCCATTGTACACTGAAAATATCCAAAATCAGAAATGCATTTAATACACCTAACCCACCAAACATCATAGCTTAACCTAACCTGCCTTAAACATGCTCAGAACACTTACATTAGCATACAGTTGGACAAAATTATCTAACAAAAAGTGTATTTACTACTGAAGTGTGAAATATCTCATTTAAGTTATTAAATACTGTACTGAAAGTGAAAAGCAGATGATTTTATGGGAACTTGAAGTAGGTTTCTACTGAGTATGTATTGCTTTGGTATCACTATTAAATAAAAAATCATAAATGGAATCATTGTAAGGAACCACCTCTATTAGTATCCCCGTTAATAAGTAAGAAGCTACCTCATCCACAATCATATTAGTAGTAGCTGGTAAGCAAGGGTTCAAACACTAATCTGTATTTCTATAGTCCTTGTATTCTTCCTATATTATTATGTTATTTCAGTGGGAAAAGGCAGGGAGAAAAGTGCTACTGGAGTTGGGTATTTCCAGCATGGGGTTACTGTGAGGGCAAATCTAATATACTCTCAGAAAAAACTAATTCAGGGGATTCCCTACCCAGAGATGACCTGGATTCTGGGAAATAGTGCCCTTTCAAGAAAACATATGAACAACAAACCTGGACTCTGACCTCTCTCTCTCTCTTTACTCTTCCCTTCCTATGGGAAATTCCCTCCCTGCCCAAAGCCAGGGCCAGGACTGTCCCAGACACCTTGGTGCCCCTTTGCTGACCACAGGCAGGACTTCATCTTGGGACCTGACCTCCTTGCTTCTTACCCAGTGTCAATCTGACTTTTTTCTGTCTCTCTCTATGTCACAATAAGTTCTTTCAGAGACAGATCTCTTTTCATTTGCTGTTTTAGTCTCTTTTGCATACTATAAAGGAATACTTGAGGCTGGGTAATTTATAAGGAAAAAAAGTTTAATTGATTCATAGTTCCTCCAACTATACAAGAAGTATGGCACCAGCATCTGCTTCTGGTGAGGCCTCAAGAAGCTTTTACTCATGGTGGAAGGTGAAGGAGAGCAGGCGTGTCACATGGCAAGAGAGGGAGGTAAGAGACAGTGGGAAAAATGCCAGGCTCTTTTAAACAACCAGCTCTCTTGTGAGCTAATGGAGTGAGAACTCATTTATTACAATGATGACAGCCCCAGGCCATTCATGAGGGATCTGCCACCACAACCCAAACATCTCCCAGTGGGCCCATTTCCAACACTGGGGGTCACATTTCAACATGAGATCTGGAGAGTACAAACATCCAAACTACATCATTTACCCCTCTGACAAATTCAGAAAACCAGCTAAAGTGTCAGAGGTGTTTGAACCAGAGCAACTCCATCTTGAATAGGGGCTGGATAAAATAAGGCTGACATCTACTAGGCTGCATTCCCAGGAAGTTAGGCATTCTAAGTCACAGGATGAGAGAGGAGATCAGCACAAAGTACAGGTTATAAAGACCTTGCAAATAAAAGGAAGCAGTAAAGAAGCCAGCCAAAACCCACCAAAACCAAGATGGCAACGAAAGTGACTTCTGGTCATTCTCACTGCTCATTATATGCTAAATAAAACATTAACATGCTAAAAAATATTCCCACCAGGGCCATGGCAGTTTACAGATGCCATGGCAATGTCCAGAAGTTACTCTATATGGTCTAAAAAGAGGAGGAACCCTCAGTTCCAGGAATTTCCCACTTCTTTCCTGGAAAACTTGTGAATAAGCCACCCCTTGTTTAGTATATAATCAAGAAATAACCATAAAAATAGTCAACCAGCAGCCCTCAGGGCTGCTCTGCCTATAAAGTAGCCATTCTTTTTTTCCTTTACTTTCTTAATACGCTTGCTTTCAGTTTACTCTATGGATTCACCCTGAATTCTTTCTTGTGCAAGATCCAATAACGCTCTCTTGGGGGCTGGATCAGGATCCCTTTCCAGTAACAAAAGTAAAAAGATGATGGTATGAAGATCTTGCCAAGTTATAAAACAATTGTGGCGGTTATCTACGAGTGTCCCAATGTGGCCCTGGCTGACGGGATGCTCTTGGGCCTGTCACTGCCCCCATTGAAGCCTACTTGAAGCCTACTTGGAACAGATGTCTCTTTCTAGTCTCTTTAATAACGTCCATGAAAGAGTTTCTAAACTGCTTTGAGATCTAGAATATTGCTTCAAAAATGCCAGCCAAACTCAGTCAGAAAGCTAGTGTGAATTCTCATTTATTGGTGATTGGGAAAAAAGTCTACACTCAAAGAAGAACAGTTTGAAAATACCTACCAAAATTTAACATGGACATACCAAACCAAGACAACCAAATGCCTATCAGTATTAGGGAAATAGGTAACCAAATTGTAGAATATCATAAGCAGCATAAATAGAAGGATCATACCTGCAAACAACGATACAGATGAATGTGCTAGAACCTATTGAGTGAAAAAAGTGTTAGAAACAAATGCTTATTCCACGGTGCCGCAAAGAAATAGCACTCAGACATAAATTTAATTTTCTCAGCAAGGAATTTTTACTTCTATAGAAGGGTGTGACTCGCGGATGGAGTAATGGCAAGAGCATACCTGGACAAGGGAGGGGAAGGAGTTCTTATTCCTGAGGCAGGTAGCCCCTACTGCTGTGTCGTTCCCCTATTGGCTAGGTTTGGACCACACAATCTAAGCTAATTCCGATTGGCTATTTTAAAGAGAGCAGGGGTATGAGCCAGAGCGGCAGGGTGGGTAGTTTGGTGGGAAGGGTGGTTACAGAACAGGTGACTCAGGATGATTCAAATCAAAGCAGGTGGCCGAGGGTGACTCCGGATGGAGCAGGTGACCAGGGGAACAGATATGAACCACTGATTAGAACTGACAGGAAAGTTGTTTACTGAAACTAGAGGCAAGAGGGTGAAGAGAACCCGGAAGCTCAACTTTCAAATGGAGAATCAAAGAATAAGAGAGATGAATATGCTGACATACTGATTCTTTGAAGAGAATCTTGGAGTTCACTATATCTAACAAAAGCAAGATGAGTAAGACTACATAAAGTATGATACTCTCCATAAATCTCAAAAGCAAGCAAAACTACATAGTGAGACAGAGAAAAAGAGGAACTACTTGAAATTCAGGATATGTCTGCTTTTTAACAAAAATGAAGCCCAATCTAAATTTTGATATAAGCTACTTGAAGGAGATTTTCAACAGGAAGTAAGAGGGCATTAGAAGCCCTGATATTATTTCATCTTGCCATATTCAGAATCTGAAGTTTAACCAAGAGAACTTAATGTTTGTTAAAGCAATTTATTACTTGAGAGACATACCGTATATTCACTTTATTAAAGGTAAAGTAATAATATCTAAAACAAATGTTCCAAAGAAAACTAAACGTAAGCAAAACTGAATATAGTATCTAGAACTACATATGTAAGCAATAAGGCTCTTATAAAAATGTAAAAACCATGAGTGTTCATTATGCTACTATTATGTTTTATAGTGTTACATTATATTATTCTATATGGGTTACATTTATTTATCTGTAGTATCAAAGATTATAATAAAAATATAATTTAAAATTTTTCATGTTCATATCCTCTAGCTCAGCAATTCTGCTTCTAGGAACTTATCCTATTAGTACTCTTTTGGTTTTTTTTTAAGGAGTATCACTCTTGCCTCCCAGCCTGGAATGCAATGGCGCGATCTCGGCTCACTGCAACCTCCGCCTCCTGGGTTCAAGCGATTCTCCTCCCTCAGCCTTCTGAGCAGCTGGGATTGCAGTCATGTGCCACCATGCCTGGCTATTATTTATTTATTTATTTATTTATTATTTTTATTTTTAGTAGAGATGGGGTTTCAGCATGCTGGCCAGGCTGGTCTCGAACTCCTGACCTCAGGTGATCCACCTGCCTCCGCCTCCCAAAGTGCTGGCATTACAGGTATGAGCCACCATGCCTGGCCCTATTAGTACACTTATATATGTGTGAAATAAGCCATGTACAAGAATATTCATGTGAAATAATTATTTGCAACTGAAATAAATGGGAACAACACTTATCAATAGACAACTAAATAAGTGCTGGTGTATACAGTTGAATTAAATTTAAAAGCCAAGTTGCAAAATATATGTATAATATTTTGTTATTTAGAAAGGAAGAAAATATACACATATGCTAAAATGTGCATACAACATCTCTGTGAGGAGACACTGACTCTGCAAGTTGCCTGAGGAGCAGGAATGAGAGGTGGACTATTCATTATATGTCTTATCTTATTATTGTTGCTATTTTTTAGTTTTGCAACTGTGCATATTTTACACATTCAGATAGGCAGATAGTATGGGAAGGGATAGTATATTTTTTATGTAGTCATCAGCTCAGAATGGAGCTGGCTATAAGCTATGCACCAATGGGAACCAGTTTCAGTGCTCATCACTAGTTGACAGGCAAAGGGCCATGAAAAGTTGGTGGCTATAGTAGGTTAACTATTGTGATTCTGTGCCTTCCCTACTCCCCAAAATTTATTTTCCACTAATCTTTTACATACTGCAAAATTTAGAAACATTGATAATATAGCCCATAATATATCTGAAAGCAAAGAAATTTATAATTAGCTAAAATCAGAGACCAAACCTAATGAAAAAAAAAAAGTAATTCTGAGACAATTGCTGAGCCTGGTACATGGGACTGATGTCAATGTGCAAAAATTGTCCAACCTGACAAAGCAACTGGAATAACTAATGCAGTCATAAGTGCAGGATGATGTGTTGACCAATGGCGCATTTCCACTTTGTAGCAGTCAGGCCATCTTGGAGTGAATCCAGGCTCTGCCTCCTACTTCTCATGCAAGTTATTTGGTACTTTCTTCTGTCAGCTGGGGATTTCGGATTTCACTTAGGATTAGGCTCTGCTACCATTAACAGACATCTGAAAATAATGTGCCTTTAACTAAAACCCCAAAAGGACCAGATCTTAGAAGTC
The DNA here is from genome assembly GCF_000001405.40 of Homo sapiens. Classification (NCBI taxonomy): domain Eukaryota; kingdom Metazoa; phylum Chordata; class Mammalia; order Primates; family Hominidae; genus Homo; species Homo sapiens. The sequence goes on from NT_167246.2 coordinate 830,788, forward strand.
AAAATGACAACCAAGGCTTAAGGAGTTCACCCTAGAACCAAGAAAAAACTGCAATGATCCATTCCAGCAAAATGTAAAGCCAGTTTTTCAGAAGTTCAAAGTGATAAGTGGGTAATATATCTGCTTATTAAACAAGATTCAATACGCTTCAGAGAAAGATAATAGAATACAAAATAGATAAAGGTAATAGAATACGGAATCTCTGTAACATATTACTCACATCATCAAGTGTAAAACAGGAAATCACCAATCATGTGAAGAAACAGAAATATTAGACAAACAGTTTTAAATCCTCAATAAAAACAAACCCAAACGCCACCGAAATGTTAGAATTATCAGATGGAGACTTTAAAATCACTATAGTATTTTAAAGAATCCACAGGGAAAGATTTATACAATGGGTAAAGAAATGATGAATTTTAGGAGACAGATGTAGAAACTGCCATTTTAAAAAGCCAAACGGAAATGCTGGAACTGAAAAATACAATATCGTTGACCCTTGAACAACAAGGGTTTGAACTGCATGGGTCCATTGAATGTAGATTTTTTTCAGTAAATATACTGGAAAATTTTGTACCTTTGTGACAATTTGAAAAAACTCGCAAACTTCATAGCTTAGAAACATCAAAATAATTAAGAAACAATTAGGCATATCATAAATGCATAAAACATACGTAGATACTAGCATACTTTATCATTTACTATAAAATATACACAAATCTATTATAAAAAGTTAAAATTTATTAAAACTCACACACAAATACTTATAAACAATCATAAAATACAGTATTAAATCATAACTGCGTAAAATTAGTCATAGTACATTCTGTCCTACTATAATAATTATGTAGCCACCTCCTGTTACTATTGGGTGAGCTCAAGTGTTGGGAGTATGGGATTAAAATGTCATGTAATACTAATCATTCCCACGTAAGCAGTTCGTCTTCTCTTTAGGAAAAAGTGATGTCTCACGGTTCTTGCGGTTGTCCTGTTTTTGTTTTGTTTGTTTGTTTATTACAGAGTTTTGCTCTGTCGTCCAGGCTGGAGTGCAGTGGCACGATCTCAGCTCACTGCAACCTCTGCCTCCCGGGTTCAAGTGATTATCCTGCCTCAGCCTCCCAAGTAGCTGGGATTAGAGGCATGCACCACCACGCCTGGCTAATTTTTGTATTTTTAGTAGAATCGTTCTTTGGTTCAAGACGGCCAAGCTGGTCTTGAACTCCTGACCTCAAGTGATCCACCCCCCTCGGCCTCCCAAAGTGCTGGGATTACAGGTGTGCCACCGCGCCCAGGATCTTGTGTATTTTTAATTGTGTTTAGTGCAATTCCATAAAGCCTGAATAACACCACGAGACCCATATAGTGATGCTGGAAGTTTTCCCTGGAGACAGAGAAAAGCCATAACATTACAGGAAAAAGTTGAATTGCTTGATATGTGCTATAGATTGAGGTCTGCTGCTGCAGTTTCCTGCCATTTCTGACTGATGTTTCATCTCTTAACAGATGACACAAACTTACATAATTGATAAATACGGTATTGTACTGTCAGTGTATTTTCTCTTCCTTATAATTTTCTTAATAACATTTTCTTTTCTCTGGCTCATGTTATTGTAAGAATACAGTATATAATACATACAACATACAAAATATGTGTCAGTCAACTGTATATATGATCAGTAAGGCTTCTGGTTAACAGTAGTTTATTAGTAGTTAAGGTTTAGGGGAGTCAAAAGTTATTCATGGATTTCCAAATGTATGAGGGGGTCAGCACCTCTAACCCATGCATTGTTCAAGGGTCAGCTGTATACGACTTTCTGGTAAAAAGAACCAGGAGTCCTTGGAGAGATGGTTGATCCCAGACAGAGGAAAGAGAACATACAAGATAACCCTGGAATACTGTATGATGCCAGAAACTAAAGAAGTCATTAAAAAAAAAAATGAGGACACATCAAAAAACTCACAGTAATCACGTTAAAGGATTTCCCCATAGCCAAGTCTGGGAAAATGTAAACAGCAAAGTAAATAATGAGAATAATGAAGAAAGAATAAAATAAACATCCAGGAGTCATTACTGGATATGAATAAAGAAAATAAACAGTAAACGAATAGGAGGAGAGGGACAGCTCTTACAAAATTCAAAATAACAAACATAGGAGAAATGATGAAAGTTATCATTAGGCAAACAGCCCAATAGTAATTGTTACAGTCAAAACTCATTTGTGGATGCTAAAATTAGTAGGCAAAACTATAATGAGAAAAAGATACTTGCATAATCTCAAAGTATTACCATAAATACTTATTATGTTACTTATATTATTATAAGATATGACTACAGTTTTAATAAGACAACACAGTTAAAAAAATGAAAAATAATTTGAATAAAAGACACGTAAGGACCAATAAAGCACATGATAAGATGTTTAACACCATTAACCATCACAGAGCAAATTGAAACGACTTGAGGGAGCACTTCACAGCCGATAGAATGCCTAAAACCAAGAGACTGACAATTCCAAGTATTACCAAGGATGTGGAACATCTGGAACTCTCATCGCTGTAGGGAGTGTAAATGGCACAATCACTCTGGAAAGCAGTTTAGCAGTTTCTTATAAAGATAAACAGACAGCAAATGACTCAGAAATTCCAATTCTAGGTATTTACCCAAAATAAAGAACACATGTGTTCACACAAAGAACGAAGAACCATATACAACACAACTAACTGTTCTCTCCTTCTTCTTCTTCTTCTTCTTCTTCCTCTCCCTCTTCCTCTTCCTCTTCCTCTTCCTCTTCCTCTTCTTCTTCCTCTTCCTCTTCTTCTTCTTCTTCTTCTTCTTCTTCTTCTTCTTCTTCTTCTTCTTCTTCTTTTTTTCGGACCCAGGCTGTTGTGCAGTGGCATGATCATGGCTCACTGCAGCCTCAACTTCCTGGGCTCAAGTGATCCTCCCACCTCAGCCCCCCAAGTAGCTGAGACTACAGGATGCACCACGATGCCCGGCCAATATTTTGTATTATTTTGTAGAGACAGGGTTATATCATGTTTCCCAGGCTGGTCTCAAACTCCTGGGCTCAAGTATCCTCCCACCTTGGCCTCCCAAAGTTCTGGGATTACAGGTGTGAGCCACCATACCCAACAATTGTGGCTTCTTTCATAGCAGCCCAAAACTAGAAACAACCCAAATGCCCATCAATGCATGAATGGATAAACTGTGGTATATTTATACAGTGAAATACTATTAGCAATAAAAAGGAGCAAATTACTAATATATGAAACACTATGAATGAATTTCCATAACAAGCCGGATAACAGAAGCCAGAAATAAGGCATGAAGCCAGGCATGGTGGCTCATGCCTGTAATTCTAGCATTTTGGGAGTCCAAGGTGGGTGAATCACTTGAGCCCAAGAATTCGAGACCAGTCTGGGCAACACAGCGAGACCCTGTCTCTACAAAAAGTACAAAACTTAGCCGCGTGTGGTGGCCTGCACCTGTAATCCCAGCTACTTGGGGGGTTGAGTCCAGGAGGTTGAGGCTGCAGTGAACTGTGATCACACCACTGCACTCTAGCCTGGGTGACAAAGTAACACCTTGTCTCAAAAAACATAAAAAAAGTAAATTTCATTGAAGTACAAATTACGGGTAATAAAATGCACACATTTTAAGTATATTGTTCAATAAGTTTTGACAAGTGCATACACTTGGATAACCAATACCCCATTCAAGATATAGAGCATGCATTTTCATTATTCTAGAAAGTTATCCTATGCCCTGTCCCAGACAACCAATCATCTGATTTCTATCTTGCTAGATTTGCTTTTCCTGTTGTAGGAAAGTTATGTCAATGAAATCAGGTGGTATGAATGTATGAATGCTTGCTTGCTTGCTTTTTTTTTTTTTTTTTTTTTTTTGAGACAGGGTCTCACTCTGTCACCCAGGCTGGAGTGCAGTAGTGCAGTGGTGCAATCACGGCTCCCTACAGCCTTGACCTCCTAAGTATATTGAACAATATACTTAAAATGTGTGCATTTTATTACATGTAAATTCTATCTTAAAGAAGTTTATTTTATTTTATGTTTTTTTGAGACAAGGTCTGACTCTGTCACCCAGGCTAGAGTGCAGTGGCATGATCACAGCTCACTGCAGCCTCAATCTCCTAGGCGCAGGTTATCTTCCCAGCTCAGCCCCCCAAGGAGCTGGGACTACAGATGAAGGCCACCACACCCGGCTAAGTTTTTGTACTTTTCGTAGAGACAAGGTCTTGCTATGTTGCCCAGACTGGTCTCGAACTCCTGGGCTCAGGTGATCCATTCCTCTTGGCCTCTTAAAGTGCTGGGATTACAGATGTGAGCCACCATGCCCAGACTGAAGTTGATTTTAAAAGCAGAAATGAGCTACTGATACTTGAAACAACATGAATAAATTGCAAAATAATTACTCCTAGTGAAATAATTCTTACTCAAAGGAGTATATATTATTCCATTTGTATGAAGTCCTAGAAGAGGCAAAACTAAGTATCAAGGAAAGAGGCAAGTGGAAGGTTTGTAGGATGATGGAAATCTTCTGTTTCTTCATTGAAGTCATCAAAATTCATCAAAGCGTATATTTCAAATCTGTGCATTTTATTGCATGTAAATTATATCCAAATGTCTACCAGTAGAGAAGAAACAAGAAATAACGAAGTCTTACATGGGTTCAAATGAGACTTGAGAGAAAAGAATGGGACACACTCAGGAGAGGTGGCAATGAGAAAACATGACCTTGTGCTCCTCAATGACACAGAGGAGCAGAAGTGACCTTTTTACTTACCACAGGGAGCACCAATGCTGGCACGTTTCCTCTGAATCATCTCCTTCTTTCTTAATCATCATTAGCACCAGTGGCTAATTAATTGTCTGTGAACTGTGACGCTCTGGAGTCTTGGGAGAATTAACAAGCCATTTCTCTCCATGGGATGGGAGTCCCGGGATCCCTCCCTCCATCACTTCACCACGTTTTCTTCTCTATCTCCACTACCATTAAAAGAGAGGTTAACTTACTAGGTTGAAGAGGAGAGGTTGTGGGCAAAGAGCAACCTTCAGCCTTACAGGTCCAGAAGAAGGATGGTGGTGGGGTATAGTTTGTGCCTGACTCTAGAGCCAACCCACCTGGGTTCAAGTCTCAGCTCTGGCTATATAATTCTGAGCTAATTATTTAACCTATGTTTTAGTTTCTTCATCTGAAAATAAATATAGAATATAGAAATATTATCCAGGTCATACAGAGGTTGTGAAGTGCTTTGAAAGGTGTGGCAGCAGCATTAGAAGTCAACATTACTACCTGAGCCCTAATCCACCACCCTTTCAAAGGTGCCCAACACTCCTGACTTTGCTTGTAGATTTCATTGTGAGGATTAACTAGAGGCTCACTCAGTCTAGAAGCTCGTTGTCAGGGAGAAGCTCCGGCAGCAGGCAATGGGGAGATTGTGACATGATTGAGGAAAAGTTATAAGTTTATTCTTCTCCTACTGTCCATTAATGTCCACATATCGTCAATGGTAGAGCTACCCCAGGAGCACCAGATTTGGAATCAAACAGGACTCAGACTCCAGGCCTGGTCTTCATCGGCTATGTAACCTTGGGCAAGCTACTTAACCTCTCTGCGACCATTTCTTCTTCTGTAAAAGGAAGATGATATTAACTACCTCAAAGAGTTATGAGAACCAGGTATTCAGGAAATGTTTAGCATGGTGCCTGGTGTATAGGAAGCACACAACAGATGGTAGCTGCCAAAGTATTAACGTGGTTTTCACTAATGAATTGGAGAAAAGAATTGATATTTCATTCCCTTGTAGCACCTAGTACACAACTAGGTCTTTGGTGATTAATAAAGAAATAAATACATCCGTGAATATGAAATTAATAGGAAGAGAGTAAAGTTGTACTGGACTTTTGTGGGTGTCCAAGAAAAATTAAAAAGACCAGAAGAAAGAGAGTGAGAACAAATACACGTTGTGAAACACAGAACAAGAGAGAACAGAAAGAGAGTCAAAGAACTATGTAAATTGAAGAGACTGAAAAATGACATAGAGTGAAGCAATGAATTACCAAGAGTATAAGAGTGTAAAAGAGGGATGCAGAAAGTGTATTAGAATGATGGTTGACAGATAAATAAGGAGGAGTTGGCTATTTTTTACCAACACAAAGGGTGTAATGTTATAAGACAATATAGGAATGATTTTGTAAAAGTAATAATTGAAATAGTCATTGCGTCTTCAGGAGTAGGTAGTAGGTATGATTAGGGAAGGGCACGCAGAAGGCTTTTAAGATTTAAACAATCTTTTGTTAAAATATTCAACAATATTTTAAAGGAAAAATTTTTCTCAGAGTAAAAAGAATATAGGAGGAAGGAAACGAAAAAAGAGACAAATATAAACAGGTTGAACAAATAAAAAGATGAGATGGGGCTTTTAAACACACAAAAAAGAGACACTGCAATGGGTAGATGCTGCCAACCTATAGCCTCTCCAGCCACCTCCCCATCAACTTGCCCAGTTCCTGCCTCTCAACTGCCAGAGTGGCTGCCACCGTCCACCCATATCTGAGTTGGCCCTGTGTGCTGAAACTCTCTTCACCTTCTCAAAAACACAGTCCCCTCCTCCAGGAAGCATTCCCTGATTCACTCAACCACCCTACTCATTTTCTTTACAGATCTATCTCTCACCTCTAGCCCCCTACCCCAATATTTTTGCCTTATTTGCCTGCAATGTTTCAAGTTTTCTGCTGATGTTGAATGTACTACCCAGGGTTTTTCAAAGCCATGAGACTACTCTTTCTTCCAGCCCATAAGCTCCTCCGCCTTGAATGACCACATTGTTCAATAATTTGAAGTAGACTCCTTACTTCAGTGACTTAGGATAGGCTACTAAAGAGGATAAAGTCAGACCTGACATCTAAGTACAATATGTGACTCTCAACTGGATCCTACGTGGAAAAAAAAAAATCCTACAAAGAACATTATTGGGACATAGAGAAAATAAGAATATGGACTGTGTGTTACATAACAATACTGTATCAATTTTAAGTTTATTGAATTTAATTGCTGTACAGTGTTAATTAAGATCATCTTGTTGTAGAATATGAATACTAAGACAATAAGGAGAAAGAGGCATGATGTCCACAAGTTATTCCCAAGTGACTCAGAGTAAAAATGAAAATACATAAACATATTGAGTATAATGATAGTGAAAATGAGTAAAAATACTAAAAATTGATGAATTTGATAAAGGTTATATAGAAGTTCTTGGAACTACACTTGCAACTTTTCTGTAAGTTTCAACTTATTTCAAAATCAAAGGTTTTTAATTGCATGTGAATAAAATTAACCGAGTATTTTCAAAAGCAAAATTCTACTTACATGTCCCAAACTCAACATGGTATGTTTTTACTACTATATTTTATCTTACATGAAAAGGAGAGGATATTGAAATCTATTTCAGCTTTCTATCACCAAACATCAATTCTTCAGGATTTTTTTGCAGTTACAGAACCAGAAAATAATCTTTCTGACTGACATTATATTTTTTCTTATTTTTACATATTACACATAATGGAAAATTTAGGCAGGACATTTCATTTGCAGGAGAAATGTTTGTTCTTAGTTTAATAAGTCATAATTTTTTTTGAAAGACCTAAATCACCTGACTGATCTTTCTAGCAGTTGAGTCATTTCACATACAGAAGAAATCTCCACAGTCCACATTTCTATCACTGGTCAAATCTCTTGCAAAAGTGTAAAGTAGATAGAATGTGAATGATTTGAGAAAATTTATGCCCACCACTAGAAAACATGATGAATTCTCTAGTAATGTTTACAATTAGGAAACTCACTGAACACACATTTCTTTGTATTTCCTTCCACACATAACAAAGGGAAAATTCAGTAGTAGCATAGCGATCAGAACATAATAGGTACTTAATAAATTTTTGCAAAATTAATAAAAACTAACTAGTTAGCTGATCTATGCTTCACATCAGACGTTTTGCATTCAACCAGGAAGTCAGAGGCACCAGTGTGAGGCTCAATCCGTTGTTGAGCACATTAATGGTTTCCTCACTCCCACTAGACAATGTTTGATCAGAAGGAACAGGGGATGAGAAGGAGCTGCTTGATGGTGATGAGACTGGGAAAGGAACGCTGGGCGAGCAGAGACAAAAGAGAAACACTCACCTACTGGGACCTCACAAACACCCAGGCTGAGTTTTAATAAGACAGGTTGAATCACACTGGGGTGACAGCCTCATCCTTCCAGATACAGAGAGGAACAGGCCATGGTTAACCAAAGCTCCGCACCAGGCTTTCTCCTTCTGGGCTTCTCTGAACACCCAGCACTGGAAAGGACTCTCTTTGTAGTTGTCTTCACTTCCTACCTCCTAACCCCGGTGGACTCATCATCCTGCTGTCTGTGCTGGACCCCAGGCTCCACTCTCCAATGTACTTTTTCCTCTCCAACCTCTCCTTCTTGGACCTCTGTTTCACCATAAGTTGTGTCCCCGGGATGCTGGTCAACCTCTGGGAGCCAAAGAAGACCATCATCTTACTGGGCTGCTCTGTCCAGTTCTTCATCTTCCTGTCCCTGGGGACCACTGAGTGCATCCTCCTGACGGTGATGGCCTTTGACCGCTACATGGCTATCTTCAAGCCCCTGCGCCATGCCACCATCGTCCACCTCTGCCTGTGCTGGCAGCTGGCATCTGTGGCCTGGGTCATTGGGCTGGTAGAGTCAGTGGTCCAGACACCATCCACCCTGCGCCTGCCTTTCTGCCCCCATCAGCAGGTGGATGATTTTGTCTGTGAGGTCCCAGATCTAATTCGACTCTCCTGTGAAGACACCTCCTACAATGAGATCCAGATGGCTGTTGCCAGTGTCTTCATCTTGGCTGTGCCTCAGCCTCATCCTTGTCTCTTATGGAGCCATTGCCTGGGCAGTGCTAAGGACTAACTGCAAAAGGGCAGAGGAAAGCTTTTGGGACCTGCTCCTCCCATCTCACTGTGGTCACCCTCTTCTACAGCTCAGTCATTGCTGTCTATCTCCAGCCCAAAAATCCCTATGCCCAAGAGAGGGGCAAGTTCTTTGGTCTCTTCTATGCAGTGGGCACTCCTTCACTTAACCCTCTCATATACACCCTGAGGAACAAGGAGGTAACCAGGGCATTCAGGAGATTGCTGGCGAAGGAAATGGGGCTCATACAAAGTTGAGGGAGAGCTGTTTAATGTGCTTTCTAAATTAAGAAGAAATTATTTATCCTTTTGTGAACAAGTTTGAGCTCCCAAGTATACTACCTTTCATACACCCATCACAGTGTTTACAATGGGTCACAGTATATGAGTGTGTGTGAGAGAGAGAAAGAGACAGAGAAAGACTAAGAGTCAGGTAAGAGGAGGTAGGTATCTTTAATTAACATCTAAAGCTCAAAAAGATTATCATACCTGCCCATTTTTAATATTTAATTTCTATATTTTTATTTTCTTTTCAATTTGGTTTTTAACTCTCTTCTCCCCTACAGGTTCTCCAAATGCACCATGCCTATTTCTGGTTATGTAACCCCTCTCCGATTGTTACATTATCATCATCATTTTACCATCACTTGTGATTCTTTTTTTTTTTTTTTTTTTTTTTTTGAGATGGAGTCTCACTCTGTCGCCCAGGCTGGAGTGCAGTGGTGCGATCTTGGCTCCCTGCAACCTCCGCCTCCTGGGTTCAAGTGATTCTTCTGCCCCAGCTTCCTGAGTAGCTGGGACTACAGGCACATGCCACCATGCCCAGCTAATTTTTTATTTTTAGTAGAGACGGGGTTTCACCATGTTGGCCAGGCTGGTCTCGAACTCCTGACCTCAGGTGATCCACCCGCCTCGGCCTCCCAAAGTGCTGGGATTATAGGAGTGAGCCACATCACCCAGCCACTTCTGATTCTGACAATGTCTTCTTTCCTTTGTCATCAGGATGGTTCATCTCCACTTGCTTGAGGTGGACTGACAGGAAGCTGACACTCAGAGAATTTAGTAATTTCACCCAAGAACACACAGCAATTTGTTAGACCTAAATTGAGATGCATATCTGTTAACTTACCAAGTGCATGCTGTTGGTTTTACACCATTATAAATATACCAACATCATTAGGATTTATACCCAAATGGGTTATCAGGCAGAAAACTCTATTTTTCCAGTCCTAGTAAGTTTTCTGATCATCCAGCTTTCCAGGGATCACAACACTAATCTCCTGCCAAATCCTGAAAATGTGCTCCCATTCCTGGAGATGATTTTCCTTTACCTCTTCTCAACCTCTGCATGACAGTGACCATGAGGAGTTGTGAGTCTGCTCTTCAGTGGCTACACAGTGCTAACAGCTGTCCTGCATCCATTTTCTAGTGCAGTTCTGAAATTCTGACCAACCTCTACTAGCCAGGCACAAACATGAAATCCAATTGTAAGTAATAAAGTGCTGCAATGGAGCCTGGATGGAGCAAGGGCCTCAGAAAAAAGGGAGCAGCAGTGTAAGCCCCAACTTCTATGAAATCTTATTTCCTTTTTCAAGTTGATCTACATTCATTACATTCTCAAAGCCTCACATGAATGGAATGGAGAGTGTGATGGAAAAATCTGTTTAGAACTGAACCATTCTCTCCTCTTTCCTGTCAGGAAAGAGGTTATGCTGTGATAACAATACCAATCCTCAGTGACTTGAAACAGCATAGGTTTATTTCTTGCTGCTGCTGCATGCCCATTGTCATCCAACCAGAGGTTCTGCCTTGTCATCTTCACCCAAAGATGTGGACTGACAGAACACCCACCATCTCAAACACTCCTAGGTGCTGGGAAAGGAGGAAATAATAAGCATGACAAATGGCAAACTAGCACTTAGTTTCCAATCGGAAGTGGCATAACACTTTGACTCATTGGTCATTTGCCAAAGCAAATCTCATGGCTACATATAACTTCAAGGTGAGGGGAAATAAACCAATCATGTGGCAGGAAAGGGAACCAGAAATATTTGGTGGATGATATGAATGACTACTAACTGGCTCTTTGCCTCCAGTCTTGACCGATTGAAATTGATTATCCATGTTGAACCAGAGTAATCATTCCAAAATACAAATTTGAATATGTTACTCCCTTAGCCAAAAATAATATATAGAATCCCCCTGCAATAAAATGTGGAGCCCAAACTCCTAGATCGGGTTCCTGTTTTCCAGACTTTACCATCCCCACCTCCTAAGGCTCAACCACCTAGAATCCTGCAAGTTCACACAACTACCTGCAAGTGCAAGTGTATGAACCACACCAGGCTCTCTGCCACCTTTAGCCTTTGAACGTGCTCCTCCCTCTCTTTGGAAGACTCTCCCCTCCAGCTCCTCTCTACCACCAACAAAAAGCACTTCCCATGAAGTAACAGGATCTTTTTAATTGTCTACCTCTCAAAGTACACAGTAAGGAAAGTGAGGGTCAGGGTTTTGGCTCACTTATCCTTATACTCTTAGTGCCTGGCATAGTATCTGGCACAGTAGGTATGTAATGAATATTTATTACAGTCACCCCTCAGTATCCCCAGGGAATTAGTTCCAGGACACCCCTCAGATACCAAAATCTGCAGATGCTGAAGTCCCAAAGTTGACCTTGCAGAACTCACAAATACAAAAAGTCGGTTCTCACATCCATGAGTTTAGCATCCTGAGAATATTGTATTTTCAATTCATGTTTGCTTGTGGATGCAGAACCTGTGGGAATGGAGGATAGACTATATTTACAGAAAGAAATCCTAGGGCCTGCGTCCTCACGAAAGCATTGGCCTCCAGCGTGGGCTAACAGCAGAGCAGGGCGGAGCTGGCCCATGGTTGCAGACCTCTGTGCCAGCCTCCCCTAGACAAGAGCGCCGTGTCGAGGAGAAGAAATCGGCTCAAGCTCTGGGCCCATGATGCCTGCTCCTTCCAAAGACTGTGGCAGATTACGCCAACTGGGATCCGGCGGTCGCAAGGTCTAGAGGAGTCAAGAAAGCCATCACCAACGTCGTTCAGCAGGAAGTAAAATCCCTTTGTGTCTTGGAAGCCTCCCAGGTTCCTGCAGAAGAAGCTGTTTCTGGAGCTAGTGAGCCCTATGACATCATCGACAGCAGTAACTTGAAGAAGAGCAGACATGGAAGAGAAATCTGCTTTTCACTTTATATTTTTGCCTGTCTTTTAAATGTTACAGCTGTGTGTGCTTTACATATTCAAAATAAATTGTGTGTATGTGTGTGTGTGTGTGTAAATTTTAAGCAGTTAATAGGTTCAAGGCAGAAGTGGCTACAAGTTTATGCCCCAGTAAGAATCAGTTCCAGTGCTCTTCATTAATTGCCAGGCAAAATAGCCATAGTAATGTAGTAACTAGAATAAAATTTAAATTAGGTTAGTTATAAACACCCTATCCATTATCGACTCCCAAAGCTGCTTCATCCATGAATATTTAATATGCCACAAAACTATCAGAGATTGCTAATATATCCCATAATATAATATGAAACCAAAAGATTTTTCAAAAAGCTAAACTTGGGAGAGACTCATAGCAAAATGACATGTAATTCTGAGGTCATCACTGAGTATGGTACTTGAGTCTATCGCCACATGTGAAAAGCATCTGAATATAATCCAAAAAGCTATTGCAGTCATGGGCTGCAGAATAATGCGGTGGCCAAGAGGCTGTAATATTGTGATATAATAAGATATACATATTTGGCCTTTGATCCCAGTTCCTGGCACAGAGTTCCTAAGGCCCTTGTAATTCCCTGAGCAATAGGGGTGCTAGGAGAGTCTTTTGTTCTAATATTTGGTCTTTGACCAAATATGTCAGTTCCTAACATTGAGCTCTAATCCCTTGGAATTTCCTGGGTAACAGGAGCATCTTTTGTTCTAATGAGGTGACCCCTTGGGGGACCCCTGAATGGGGACTCTGACTAGAAGGACCAAGCCATGATTAGAAGTTTGAAACTTTCAGCTCTACCCTCATCTTCCAGAAAATCGAGAGTGGCTAGACATTGAGTTAATAATCAACTATATCTATTTGATGAAGCCTCCACAAAAATCCCTGAACTACAGAGCTCCGAGAACTTCCAGGCTGGTGCACACACAGAAATGCTGAGAGGGCAGCATGCCCCAGAAGCTCTGTAACCCTTCCCACACACCTTTTCCTGTACATCTCTTCTATTTTGTTGTTCATTTGTATCCTTTGGAATATCCTCTATAATAAACTGGTAAATTGAACTAAAGAGCTTTCATGTATTCTGTGAACTGCTCTAATAAATCATCAAACCCAAGGAGGGGATTGTGGGAACCCCCAGTAGGGTTCCCAGTAGGTCAGAAGTTCCAGAAGCTTGGACTTGTGATTGGCATCTGAAGTGGGGAGCAGCCTTATGGGATCCTTTAACCTGTGGGATCTCACTGTATCTCCAGGTGAATAATGTCAGAAGTGAATTGAATTGAATTATAGGACACCAAGTTGGTGTCCACTGAAGAATGTATTGGTCAGTCTGGAAGAAAAACCAACATGTTGGCCGGGCGTGGTGGCTCAGCCCTGTAATCCCAGCACTTTGGGAGGCTGAGGCGGGCGGATCACAAGGTCAGGAGATCAAGACCATCCTGGCTAACAAGGTGAAACCCCGTCTCTACTAAAAATACAAAAAATCAGCCAGGCATGGTGGCAGATGCCTGTAGTCCCAGCTACTCGGGAGGCTGAGGCAGGAGAATGGCATGAACCCAGGAGGCAGAGCTTGCAGTGAGCCGAGATCGCGCTACTGCACTCCAACCTGGGCAACAGAGCAAGACTTCCATCTCAAAAAATAATAAAATAAAACAAAACAAAATAAAATAAAATAAAAACGAACATGTTTTGGTGACTAGAAGTGTTGAATGTTGAGAATATAGTAGGAGAAAATGGTCAGTTTGGGGGTTTTCTACAAATACACAGAGCCCTTTCGCATTGCGCAGCATCCAATTTGAATCCTGGACCTGCAAACTCATGCCCAGGATATAGTGCCATATCAAGGGCAGCATTTGCATGTTTCTGGCAGGCCGGACGTTCAGTAGCTGCAGGAGTTAGATCAGTGTTGGTGAGTGAAAGCCATGCTGTTGAACACATACAGACCTGCATCCTGCCACCATAGTTACTGCCTTCATAAGTCCATTTTTACCAGCACTAGGGTGGCCTGTGGAGAAGACTGCTTAGTGTGAACTGGCCTATAGTCACTGTTTACTTGGTTTAGAAGAGGTTTAGAGCCTCTTCTATTGTGGATGCTTTCTAGTGGGCATTAGCATGTAACACAAAGATATTCACAATTTTCCCAATTTCATAAATAAAAAGATTTCCCATTTTCATAAACCTATCCAAGTGCCTCTTCCTCAAATTTCATTGTTCTTCATCTTCTAAACCTCCTCCTTCCAAGCACTTGACCAACCAACCAAGCCATTTGCCACTGCCCATGTATTCACAAATATTCTTCCATTAGGCCATTATTCTTTCTACACAAAATAGATAATCAGGTGCACTACTCAAAGCTTTGCCCATTGGGAAGATTTACAATTTCTACTGTCTTCCAGAACTACTCTTGAGTGTGGCTATAATGCAGCAGCAGTCCATTTTCAGCTCACACCAATGTGTTGAGCAGATACATCCATGAACCAAGGTCATCTTATTTTTCCTCCATTAGCCAATCATAAAGTACCCCTCCCCCCCCATGACAGATTAAAGATGGCTGCAAACTATCGGACAATCATCCCATCAGGAGGGCTATCTATTTCCCCTCCCCTTGAATCTGTGCTAGTCTATGACTGTTTTGACAAAAACAGCGTGGCAGAAGTGACACCATGCCAGCTCTGGGGCCAGCCTGTAAGAGAACTGGCTGTTCCTCCTTGCTATCCTGGAGTCCTGAATTTCCAAGTAAAAAGTCTATCATGCTGGGCAGACCATGTAGAAAGGCCCTGAGATAGCATGAAGACAGAGAAAATGAGCCCAAACTTACAGTGAACCCACCAAGGTGCCAGGCATGTGAGTGAAGCTGTCTCGGACCCTCTAGAGCAGTCCATCTGCCAGCTGAATACTTCCAAGGGATCCCAGCTGATGCAACATGGAATATAAGGAAACCCAGCCAATTTCGTTCCAAATTCTTGGCCCACAACATGTGAGATACAATAAGGTTTGTGTTCATTTAAGCCATTAAATTTGGGGAGACTTTGTTATGCAGCAATAAATAACTAGAACACTCCCATGAGCCACTGGTATGAGCAAGTTGGGAAGTACCAAGGCCACAGCGTGGAGGACATGGGAATCTGGGCCCCCCACTTCAGCACCTTGCATTTACCCTCCAGTTCTGCCCATGACTGATGCAGGATATACGACTTCTCTCTTACAACTGATGATGTTGCAACCACTAGACCTCATCACTTGATTGATTTGACAGGACCCAGCTCATGATGGACAGTTGTAGCCTAATAGCCATTTGATGTCTCATGATCAGGAGCTCTGTCTCTAGTAAGGCCCAAGAGCAAGCTAGGACTTGTTTCCTAATGGGGTTTACTTTCCTGCAGCAGACAGCATAGATTTGATGAAGAACCCCAGGGATCTATGTTGTGATTTTCCTTTCAAGGCTTGCCCAAAATGCCACACTGTATCTTTTCCCACCACTGATACCTTTAGTGCCCCAGAGTCTATTGAGTCACATGACCAAAGCACTACCACACGGCTGATATGACAGCTTAGAACAGCTGCGGACCCCAGGTCTGCTCTGGGCTTCAGTCAGTCGCTAGTAAACTGTTCCATGTGGTATTCCCATGAGTGTGGAATATGTTTCCTCTAGATCCTAAATAGGACAACCAAGCATTCTCTACCCTGGAGAAGAGGAAGGAGAAGACCAAGATTCACTGCTGGAAGAAGAAAACAGCCTATGAGGCTACAGAAACAGGCAGAAAAGAACGTGGAGAAGAAAACTGACAAATACACACAGTTCTCCTCAAGACCTATGGACTCCTGGTCTGAGCCTAATAAAGACTGTTTATTCCAAAAAACACCTCTGTATTATAAATTCTTCTGTGTAATAGTGTGTTACTGTGCATCTCTTTCCAATTCTGCATTACTGGTGTTAAGTGTGAAATGCAATAATGTGTTCTTACTTTAGAGGGATGTCCTGGCACAAAGTCTAAAAACTTCAAAGATGTGGAGGATGCTGAATCTTCACAGGGTGTATTTCCCACTCTCTGGAGTGCATTTGTCTTACCAGTGCCGCCAATATGCTTGCCCTCATGGCTCATTCTGTTTGGTTAATAAGATATTGTTGATACAGTGGAACGATGTCATGTTTTGTGGAATGTCCAGAAGGTCCACGTCCAGTGGTGTGCTGCATGCAGCTAGCTCATACTGCCTCATGGAGCCAACTGTTAAATTTTCAGAAATTGTGCAAACCAGTTGTTAAACATGACTATTATTTTAAAATAAGTTATTTTAAGGCATAGGTAACAAATCTCTAAGCTCTTCATTTTCTAGGTATTTAACTATCTTATCATATTTTCCATACTCTTCTGGTTATTTATATCTGTTATGTCTATATAATAAAGATACTAAATAATGTTGTCTGTATAATAAAAATATTCTGGATTGGTGATGAGCAACAATCACCATCTTTCGTTTGAGTCTCATGGCCATGAGACCAACCCCATGCACTGCTCTGAGACCTGCCAGCCACTCCCATTCCTGGGGTGCGGTCCTCCTGGTTCAGAAGTGATTTTCCATTAGGCTATCTTTTAATTTAAACATGAACTCTGCTGTGCCCATCACTGTCTGTGTGCAGTCACAGGTAGAGGGAGAGCCTTCAGATGGCACCCTCAGCACTTCCCAACCCTTTCCTTCCCTCTAGGCCAGAAGGTGGTGGTCGTACAATGCGAGAGCATCAACATTTCTGGCAAGTTCTACAGAAACAAGTTGAAGTACCTGGGCTTTCTCCGCAAGCGGATGAACACCTTCTGGAGGCCCTGCCATTTCTCGGCCCTAGCCGCATCTTCTGGTGGATGGTGCAAGGCCCACTGCCCCACAAGACTCACCAAGGCCAGGCCGCCCTCAACCACCTCAAGGTGTCTGACGGCATTCCACCGCCCCATGACAAGAAAAAGCTTTGGTGGTTCCTGCTGCCCTCAAGCTTGTGTGTCTGAAGCCTACAAGAAAATTTGTCCGCCTGGACACCGAGCTTATGAAGTTAGCTGGAAGTACCAGGCAGTGACAGCCACCCTGAAGAAGAGGAAGGAGAAGGCCAAGATCCACTACCAGAAGAAGAAACAGCTTATGAGGCTACAGAAATAGGTGGAAAAGAACATGAAAAAGAAAACTGACAAATACACACAGGTCTCCTCAAGATCCATGGACTTCTGGTCTGAGCCTAATAAAGACTGTTTGTTTATTCCTCAAAAACAAACAAACAAAAAAAAACCCTCTGTATTATAAATTATTCTGTGTAATGGTGTGTTACCATACATTTCTCTACAACTCTGCATTTTCAGTAATCTCACATTGACAGTTTAAAATTGGCCATGGTGAGAATATTTACACTGCAGAAATCAGCAAATGATGTAAATCAAGGCTTTTTTGCCTGGACTTGCAGCACATCCATGTCCCATTGGACCCTATTATGACGGGAGAGTTTTAACATGGTACTGAAGCAAAAATGTAAATGTAAATGTACACTTATATCCATACCTGTAAATTCAAACTGCCTTTGGTCTTTCTTCCTGATAGTATTTGAAAAGAACACATTCAGCCAGGCACGGTGGCTCACGTCTGTAATGCCAGCATTTTGGGAGGCTGAGGCAGGCAGATCACGAGGTCAGGAGTTAAAGACCAGTCTGATCAATATGGTGAAACCCTGTCTCTACTAAAAATACAAAAATTAGCCAGGCGTGGTGGCATTCGCCTGTAGTCCCAGCTACTCAGGAGGCTGAGGCAGGAGAATCGCTCGAACCCGGGAGGGGGAGGTTGCAGTGAGCCAAGATCATGCCATTGCACTCCAGCCTGGGCAACAGTGAGATTCCATCTCAAAAAGAAAAGAAAAGAACACATTATTCACCAGATTAATAGCCATATAACATGGACCTGAAACCGTGCTAATCAGGCACAACAGCTGTAATTACAGCTATTTCTTGGTTGAGTTTGTGCTAGTCTGGTCATCTTTCAAGTTGCATCTGATATTTGTAGTGACCAGACTGGTGAATTAAATGTGAAATATGATAGAAACAAACCCCCGCACCCTTTAAAGGTGGCCTCAATCAGCCATTTCCCTTGAATTGTGATATTGTTCTTGATTCACTGTCTTTGCGGTAAGAGGTGTAGATTCAGGGCTTCCACTTCAATCTGTAGCTCGTACTCCACAGACTAAAGAACTATGTGGGGATTCTGCCAATGGCCAAGCATGTGCATTCCAGTTACAGATTTAGAGACTGCAGAAATGA
Source organism: Homo sapiens (assembly GCF_000001405.40). Lineage (NCBI taxonomy): Eukaryota > Metazoa > Chordata > Mammalia > Primates > Hominidae > Homo > Homo sapiens. The sequence goes on from NT_167246.2 coordinate 849,278, forward strand.
CTACTGGGTAGATCCATGGACCTAGTACATGCCATTTATTAGCTGATCTCATAGGCTCCCTTTCTAATGGAAGAGAAGCATAACGATTCAGTTATATGAAGATTGGCTAAATGTTCTAAGTACTCTCCAAACCCAGAGCTTTATAATTCTCTGTTACTACAGTGTGCTCCATCTCAGAATAACTAAATAGAAAAGGAGGAAGCTGAGAACTTTAAAAACTGAGGTCCTGAATAGATGAATCATAAGCCTGAGAGGACTATCAGGATGCCCGGGACTCACTGGAGGTGGGAGTAGAGACACTGTCCTTTTTCTTCCTGTTGACAGAAAGAAGCAATGAGTGACCTCTTTTACCTACCACAGTGATGACTATTGTTGGCATATTTCCTATAGATATTCCCCTGCCCCTTTTACCATAATTTGTGGCTAATGAATTGTCTGTGGGCTATGGACCCTAGAGTCTCAGCAGAATTAATGAGCTCTTTCCCTCCGTGGGATCCCTCTACCACCATACCATGTCAACATTTCTACCTCCAATGCCACTAAAACAGAGGCACACCTCTGCCTAGACTGAGGGGGAAAATTGTTGGCAAAGAACTCAATGGCAAAGAACTCGATGGCAAAGAACTCGATGGCAAAGAACTCAATGGCAAAGTTCTGACCTTGGCTTCATCCTCCCTGCAGAGATTTGGTGGGCTTTGGTTGGTGCAAACCCTCTACAGTTAGCAGATTTGGGTTCAAACATCAGCTCTGGTGCTTACTAACTATACTGCCTTGGGAAAGTTATTTATATTTCTTTGTTTCAACTTCTTCATATTGGAAGGAAGAGAATAATATGTAGAGTTGTGAAGGATAATCAGCAGTGTAGAGTAAATGTTTAATAAACAACTTGGTTGGTGGCAGATGGGGAGAGCCCTAATTTGTAGTGTTTGCCAATTTTCATAGTGTAAATATTCCTGCCATGGCTGTCTCAAGCCACTGATGGTTTAATAACTGTCTCACAAAATTCCTAAAAATTTACTAATCAAGAGATAATCTGAGCCAGCTCCAGCTCATCACACACATGTGTGCTTAGAAAAGTGCCAGATGGTCAGCATTAGCAATCCCTATTGTGACCAGAGATGCAGTTGCCCATTCAAGGATGCCCATTCCTTTTTATTTTTTTGTTTCTTCCTGATGTACAAGTGGAGGCTGGGCACCAGTTAAGAGCTCTGTCATGGGGAATTGCTGGTACCAGAAGAGATTTTTATTTGATTGAAGGTAAGCAGAACCTTTGCTCTTTGGCTGTGAGATATCAGTTTCCGCCTATCCTCAACACTGGAGGACCAGATTTGGAGTTAAACTTACTCTAAAATCCTAGTCCTAGCACTTATTGACTAGGTAACCTTCTACAAGTCTCTTGTCCCGTCTGTGACTGTTCACTTTTTGGTAAAATTGGGATAATTTTATCTCTTTGTAGGGTCACTGTGAGAACCAGATGTTCAGGGAGTTGTTTATCACCATGCTTTGATGGTAGCTACTAACAGCAAGGGTAGCTCATGGTCACTAGACTATCATAAACCCCTTTCAAAGGACCTCCCAACTCCTTCCCCAGCTCCTAACACAATGCTGGCACTTTGGGGCTCAAGAAATGAATAAATGCGTAGACCAATGCATGAATATTTCAGAAGGAAAAGGAGTAGGAGAAAAATAATGAGAGTGGAAAAGACAGAGAACAAAGAGGGAAAGGGAAACAGTCACTAAGAAAGGTGTAATCTAAAGAGATTCAGCGATATAGCAGAGAAAGGAAAGGAATGAAATGCCAAGATAATGACAAAGTTAGAAATGTAGAAAATTAATTAGGATGACACATGATGGATAAATAAGAAACAATTGGCTATTGTTTAAGGTTACATGCAAAGAATTTTATATTACAAAGAAAACAAAGGAGGGGGCGGCAGCCAATGAGCATGAGGTTTCTTTTGGGAGTAATGAAATATTCTGGAAGTAAATGGTGTTGGTTGCACAACTTGTGAATATACTTTAAACCACTAAATTACACACTTCAAAAGGGCGAATTTTATGGTACGTTAAATACATCTCAAAAAATGAAAGCGAAGGCATAATTAAAAATTTAGAGGCCAGGCACAGTGACTCATGCCTGTAATCCCAGCACTTTGGGAGGCCGAGGCAGGCAGATCACCTGAGGTCAGGAGTCTGAGACCAGCCTGGCCAACATGGCGAAACCCCGTCTCTACTAAAAATACAAAAATTAGCTAGGCATGGTCTTGAGTGCCTGTAATCCCCGCTACTTGGGAGGCTGAGGCAGGAGAATAGCTTGAGCCCAGGAGGTGGAAGTTGCAGTGAGCAGAGATCGTGCCATTGCACTCCAGCCTGGGCTATAAAACGTGACTCTAAAAAAAAAAAAAAAAAAAAAAAATTAGAATGGTGGTGACATCTTGAGGGGTGACAAATTGAGAAAATTGAGAGATCAGGGAGGGGCACACAGAAGCTTCTAAGATACTTGAAACATTTGCTCAGTTCCTTAACCTAGTTGTTTAAATATGTAACAATATTTTGAAAATTAAAAATATATTTTAAGTGAGAAAAGAATAATGGGAAAAACAGGAAGAAGACAGAGACAATGGCAGAGAGTCCTGGCAAAAAGGGAGATGTGATAGAGCTTAATACAAGATGGGGACCCTGTAAGAGGAAGACATTCCTGCCATCCTCTGAGCTCCATGGCACGTTTGTGGTGTGGCCCACCATCTCATCTCCTCCCCTCATGGCCTTCCTAAGGTCCTGTAAGACCCTGAGTCCTTGTCTCTGACCTGCCAGAGTGGCTTCAGTCTCCCACCCCCAGCCCTCAACTGACCTTCTATGCCCCAATACATCTCTATTTTAAGGAAAAAGTCCAGTCACCTCCTCTAGGAAGCTTTCCCTGATATACCCAACCAAATTGGTCAGTCATCCTACAGAACCTTTACTCTCATTCACCCAGTACATTGGTGTTACTGGCCTTTAAATTTTGGACTCTCTTTTTGGTGGTGTCTGAAAGACTACAAGATTTAGGGAGAGTGATTCTTGGAGTCTTTCGATAATGTTCCTGTGAACCCTGGTGATTTTAACATGCTTGTGGCCACTCTTGCCTCCTACTTGTAAGCTACTCATGGCAAGGACGAAGCATGTGGACCAATTTCCACCCCTCCCTGAAAGTCAGTTGGTTCAGAAACTTAGGTTGCTAAAAAGGCCAGGGCAACCAACCTGATCTCTCTATAAGTAGGGATATCTTAAAACAAAACAAAATCTCTCTCATAGATAAAACACTGTCTCTGATAAGCTTACTTGCAAATGAAAAAATACAAAATAAATGGAATGTACAGAGTTCTATAAAATTCATTCAACCAATAGAGCAATAATTGAGCCTACAGAGACAACTTATCAGAAAATTCATTCAATATACCTTACGAGATCATCCAATAGATAAGAGACAACTCTAGAACAGCATTCAGAACATAGTGGCACTCAATAAATTTCCCCTGAATGAATGAATTAATGAATTAGTGCATATTTTAATCAGCCTCCTTTGCCCTCACCCAGGAAGTCAGAGGCACCAGTGTGAGTATCCATCTGCTGTCCAGTACATTCATGGATTCCTCACTCTCACTAGACAATGTTTGACCAGGAAGAACAGGGAATGAGAAGGAGCTGCTGGATGGTGATGAGCCTTGGAAAGGGAGGCTGGGCGAGCAGAGACAGAAGAGAAACACCTACCTGCTGTGACCTCACAAACACCCAGGCTGAGTTTTGATAAGACAGGTTGAATCACACTGGGGTGACAGCCTCATCCCTCCAGGTACAAACAAGAACAGGCCATGGTTAACCAAAGCTCCACACCGGGCTTCCTCCTTCTGGGCTTCTCTGAACACCCAGGGCTGGAAAGGACTCTCTTCGTGGTTGTCTTCACTTCCTACCTCCTAACCCTAGTGGGCAACACACTCATCATCCTGCTGTCTGTGCTGGACCCCAAGCTCCACTCTCCAATGTACTTTTTCCTCTCCAACCTCTCCTTCTTGGACCTCTGTTTCACCACGAGTTGTGTTCCCCAAATGCTGGTCAACCTCTGGGGCCCAAAGAAGACCATCAGCTTCCTGGACTGCTCTGTCCAGATCTTCATCTTCCTGTCCCTGGGGACAACTGAGTGCATCCTCTTGACAGTGATGGCTTTTGATCGCTACGTGGCTGTCTGCCAGCCCCTCCACTATGCCACCATCATCCACCCCCGCCTGTGCTGGCAGCTGGCATCTGTGGCCTGGGTCATTGGGCTAGTGGAGTCAGTGGTCCAGACACCATCCACCCTGCACCTGCCCTTCTGCCCCGATCGGCAGGTGGATGATTTTGTCTGTGAGGTCCCAGCTCTAATTCGACTCTCCTGTGAAGACACCTCCTACAATGAGATCCAGGTGGCTGTTGCCAGTGTCTTCATCTTGGTTGTGCCTCTCAGCCTCATCCTTGTCTCTTACGGAGCCATTACCTGGGCAGTGCTGAGGATTAACTCTGCAAAAGGGCGGAGGAAAGCTTTTGGGACCTGCTCCTCCCATCTCACTGTGGTCACCCTCTTCTACAGCTCAGTCATTGCTGTCTACCTCCAGCCCAAAAATCCCTATGCCCAAGAGAGGGGCAAGTTCTTTGGTCTCTTCTATGCAGTGGGCACTCCTTCACTTAACCCTCTCATATACACCCTGAGGAACAAGGAGGTAACCAGGGCATTCAGGAGATTGCTGGGGAAGGAAATGGGGCTCACACAAAGCTGAGGGAGAGCTGCTTAATGTGCTTTAAAAGAGAGGAGATTCTATGTGCTTTTATCAGAAAGTTTGAGTTCCCTGCCCCTCTGCCTTCTTCACACCCATTACATTGTGGGAATGGATGAAAGCCACATGTCTGTGTGTGTGCATGTATGTGTGCAAGAGACAGCGACTGAAATGTAGTAAAGGGAGGTATCTTTATGCGAAAAATTATAGGCATCAAGTATATTTTATATTTTTTTCTACTTTAAGTCTTCGCCTCCATAGTCATGTTCCTACCTTTATCACTTCCATTTTTAATTCCCCTCCCTTGCCATATCCCCACTATTCCTTCACCTCCAATTCTAATTCCTACCATATCTTCTTTGCTTCTCCCTCATGTTTTTCCCACTTCACTATATGTCTGTTTTGTATTCTCATTCTATTTTATTCCTCAAATAACAGCAAAAGAGAAGGGGAAGCTGAAGCCCAGCTAAGTTCGGAAACTCACCCAAGAACACACAGTGTCCACAGCATCAGAACTAAAATCCAGGCCCCATAATTTTCAGTCAGGCAACTCTCAAATACACACTGTTGCTTTCACACCATAATCAAATATCCCAGTATTTCAGGCTTGAGCCTTACAAAGGAAACTTAGCTTCTTCAGTCCTATTTCTTCTCTTACAATGCCCACAAATCGCAGGTAAAGGAGCAGCCAAAAAGACACAAAAATATCTTCATGTTTAGGCTGGCACATTGTGGACCTTGGTGTCATCTACCGGCCAAATATGGTATTGCATGTGACATCCCAGACTTCTGCTCCAGGGTCATCCGAACTGTACTTTGCTCAAAGACATAGATATGGTTATGATACTATAAGCATTTATGTAATTGTTATGTTAACCCAAGTAACACTTAAAGTACAGATGCTCCTTGACTTATAATGATGTTACCTCCCAAAAAACCTATCATATACTGAAAATATTGTAAGTTGAATATGCATTTCATACACCTAACCTACCAAACATCATAGCTTAGCCTAGCCTACCTTAAACATACTCAGAACACTTACATTAGCCTACAGTTCAGCAAAATCCTCAATACAAAGTCTATTTTATAATAAAGTTTTGAATATCTCATGTAATTTACTGAATACTGTACTAAAAGTGAAAAAACAGAATGGTTATATTGGTACTCAAAGTACGGTTTCTACTGAATGTATCTCTTTTGCATTATTATAAAGTCAAAAAATGGTCAAAGTCAGGAACCCCCTGCAATTTACACATATTGACTTATTTAACCCTTATAACAACACTATGAAGCAGATAATATTATTATCCTTTTTCAGAGGTAAAAACTAAAACACAGAATTTATGTTACCACTTGCAAATGTGCAAGACAGGATTTGAACCCAGGAAAACTGGCTCCAGACTCCTTGCTCTTAACCTTGCCTTTTGGTAAAAATAATGCCTCCCAGGCCCAGGTGAAAAGCTTCAACTTCTCAACAAGCTTTGAGGAAATCATTTCAATCTAAAACTATATCTAAATGATCCCCCAGCCGAAGGGGTTTCACTTCCTTAAAATAAGAGTTTTTCAAATACTTCAAAGCATAAGAAACAACAGAACAATAAAACTTTTGGAAAAAGTTGTGTTACAGTTCATTGTGTGTGTGTTTCTGGCTTAGTTCACCCACTAGATTTCAGGCTCTCAGAAGGCAAGGACCAGAATTTTGCATAAAATTGGCACCCAGTTTTATAAATGTATAAGTGAATGAATGAATGAATGAATGAATCTTACTCTCCAAAGAGAATATATAAAAGGTTCTGGGGTTCCAATCCCACATACGCTGTCTCCCAGCTTTTCCCTGGCAAGGGCAGCAATACCAAATTCCCTTTTGAGTACACGCCGATAAAATAAGAAAAAGGAAAATCTTAGTTTTATTTCTAGTTCCAACATAAAATGATTTTGATTCAACATTTATCCTGGCATCAGCACAGAACAGCAACATTAATTCTATTATAATCCTAATCTTTATCCTAGCCATCCTTGTGTTAATCTTATTGTCTCCTTGACCTCGTTATTAGAGCATATTCTAATCTTAATGTAGAGCCCCCATTTTATATTTAATAATCCTAATCAGTCAGGCGCAGTGGCTCACACCTATAATCCCAGCACTTTAGGAGGCCAAGGCGGGCGGATCACGAGGTCAGGAGTTCGAGACCAGCCTGACCAACATGGTGAAACCCTGTCTCTACTAAAAATACAAAAAAAAAACTAGCCTGGCGTGGTGGCGTGCTCCTGTAATCCCAGCTACTTAGGAGGCTAAGGCAGGAGAACCTGGGAGGCGGAGGTTGCAGTGAGCCGAGATCATGCCACTGCACTCCAGCCAGGGCGACACAGTGAGACTCTATCTCAAATAATCATAATCATAATCATAATCTCAGCCCTACAGGTAAGGCTAAGCTTAATTCCACTTTTCAAATCACTGTAGTAAGACCTTTTTTTCATGACCCCCTCTATCTGCTTTCTCTTACTGGCACCTAGAAATGTCTACACTTTTCTCCTGTTTATCATCTCCCTACAGCCAGAGGCTATAATGTTTGTATATAGTAAAATCGTTTCTAGACTGACTCTAGGGGAAATGCAACAGAGAATTAAATAAAGCAGTCTAAAAGAATCTGCTTTGTTGAATAAATGGTTTAACATAGGACTTAGGACTAACATCTCTTATCCTAAATTCATTGTTTCCATGTGACAGTCATCTATTGGATACTCTGTGAGAAAATCCAATATAAAGTTACTCAGTCACAACCCCCACAATGTCCAGTGAAAATAGGGATGGTCAGGCACATAGTGCCAGCATACATGACAGTTACACAACTGAATTGGAGCAAATAAGAGTCTACAGGAATACAGAATTAAAGAATAATGTGTGTGAGTGCTTGGAGCGGCAGTGATCATGGAAGCCTCTTAGAGGTTTGAACCACAGAAGAGTAAACAAAATAAGAAGTATTTGCTGACTGTGTAGAAATGAGATGATGCAAAGACCCCCTTTTTAGGGGCTTGGGGACTCCTAAGCATGGAAATAAAGCAAAATCCTGTGTTTCTTCAAGGAAAATTCCAGGCACCTAGCTGGCTCTGAGAAATAAGTAGCAACTTGAAAAGCAACAAGGTAATAGCAGCCTAAGACAATAGCCAAGGAAGTTAAGCGTTCTGAATAGGTTTGCTTTCCTCATAGAAACTAAAGATAACCTCTTAACATATGTCTCTGCGTTGTCTCTCAGAAACTCGGAACCCCACCAAATGAATCTGCTGGCATAGACCTCAGAGGACAGGAAAATGACTGAACTTTATAACCATCATCCTTTGTTCTAAGTTTCTTCCTGAGGAGCTTGGAGAAAGTAACACCTTCTAGGCAGTTAACATTTTTCTACTGGACCCCAAATTTTTAAACAAAGGTTCTCTTCCTTAACTAATTGCAAATTTGGGGTTTTTTTGTTTTTGTTTGAGACAGGCTTTTGCTCTGTTACTTAGGCCAGAATGCAGTTGCAGTCGTAGCTCACTGCAGCTTAACCACCCAGGCTCAAGCAATTCTCCTGCCTCAGCCTCTAATTAAAAAAAATTTTGTGTGTGTAGATACAGAGTCTTGTTATGTTTCGCAGGCTGGTCTCAAACTCTTGGCCTTAAGGGATCCTCTCTCCTTGGCCTCCCAAAGTGCTGGGATTACAAGCATGACCCACACCTGGCCAGAAAAATCTTTGAATCTACCTATAACCTGTAAGTCCCTGATTCAAGATATCCCACCCTTTTAGATCAAAACCAATGTGGAGGCCGGGCACGGTGGCTCACGGCTGTAATCCCAGCCCTTTGGGAAGCAATGTGGGCGGATCATGAGGTCAGATCAAGACCATCCTGGCTAACACGGTGAAACCCCATCTCTACAAAAAATACAAAAAAAAAAATTAGCCAGGCGTGGTGGTGGGTGCCTATAGTCCTAGCTACTCGGGAGGCTGAGGCAGGAGAATGGCATGATCCTGGGAGGCAGAGCTTGCAGTGAGCCAAGATCACACAGCTGCACTCCAGCCTGGGCAACCGAGCAAGACTCCATCTCAAAAAAAAATGTGGAACCTCTATGCACTGATTTCCAATGTTCCTTGTAGCTTCTGCTTTTCTGAAATTTACCCCTGCCTTTTTTTGTTTCCTGTTTTTTGAGACAGGGTCTTGCCGTGTTGTCCAGGCTGGAGTGCAGTGGCATAATCATGGCTCAGTGCAGCCTCAACCTCCTGGATTCAAGGGATCCTCTCACCTCAGCCTTCTGAGTGGCTGGGAGTACAGGCATATGCCACCATATTTGGCTAATTTTTTTATTTCTTGTAGAGTTGGGGTCTCACTTTGTTGCCCAGGCTGTTCTTGAACTCCTAGGTTCAAGTGATCTTCCTGCCTCAGCCTCTCAAAGTGCTGGGATTACAGGTGTGAGCCACTGCACACTGCCTTACCCCTGCCTTTAAAAACCCATGTTACAATAGTTAGTCAGACACGAGCAGGGCAGGAAAGGGCCTCCTTCCCCACCAGGAATGTCAGGCAACCATCAGGTGATAGGCGGTTGTTAAGCTGTCTCTCTAAAATAATCATTGGTCACAGCCTGTGCCAGGGAAAAACAGTCTCCCAATAAATAGAAAAACCTGAAACTAAGATCTCAGGAGTTGGGCAAGTGGGCTCATGCATGGGCACTAAGGGAGAAATGACAGCATTTAACTGGTTTATAACCTTATAGGAACACTCCCTGGTAAGGGAAGAATGCCTCAAGTCAGCATGCATACTACTCCAGTAAACATACCGTGCATGCAGCCCCTCCCAAGCACTAGCAGGCCACTGTACATGCAGACAGCCCACCCCAAGGGAAGATTCAGGGGAGAAGGGACCCTGGAACCCTGCCAACATATAAAACCCTAAGTCAAGGTCAAAACCACGCACTTGATCTCTCAAGTTGCCTGCTTGGCCCCCTTCCAAGTTGGCTTTACTTTATTTTGTTCCTGCTGTAAAGCTTTTTAATAAACTTTTACTCCTGTTCTAAAATTTGCTTCGGTCTCTTACTCTGCTTTATGCCCCTCAGTCAGATTCTTTCTTCTGAGGAGGCAAAAATTGAGGTTGCTGCAGACCTGTACAGATTCGCAGCTGCTAACATATTTTCATGCCATGTAACTCTGATACATTCTGCCGCTAATACCCTTGCCTGCAAGACATCAGGGAGGCCAGGACTTGAGTGTTTAGCTGCCTGGTCCTCCCTGCGTAGTGTCCTGCAACAAATGCCTTTCTTTCTATTGGTGCAATCCTTGGTGTAAGTATCTGGTTTTATTGCACCAGGCAAGCAGACCCCAGTTTGGTTCTATAACAGAAAAGGCTAAAGACAAAAATAAGCATGTTGTGCATTAAGATAGGGAGATGTGGGGGAAGGAGTTACACCGAGGAGCAAAATGATTAAGCAGGAAGGTAGAGATTATTTCAGAAAGATACAGAAGCTACTGAATTGAATACAACCAGAAAAAAAAAAAAAAAAAAGGATCCCTTACAGATGTTTCAAACCTACATGATTTAGGTCTCCTGAGGGCAGGCACTTAACTATTCATTCTAACATGACATGTGAGTTGGAAGCCTTAAAGGAACATTATTCAAGAACCTCGTCTCTACTAAAAATATGAAGTCTCTAATAAAAATTAAAAAGTCTCTACTAAAAATACAAATAATAATAATAATAATAGCCAGGGCTGGTGGCAGGTGCCTGTAAACCCCTTGCTTGGGAAGCTGAGGTAGGAGAACCACTTGAACCCAGGAGGCGGAGGTTTCGGTGAACCGAGATCACGCCACTGCATTCCAGCCTGGGAGTTAGAGTGAGACTCCATCTCAAAAAAATAATAATAAAATAAAATAAACCTCAAACGTCTGAAGGGCTCACCTAATCATGAATAGATGCTTATGTGTAGGGCCCAGCCCTGTCTTATCCTTCTATCTCCCAGGGAAGGGGAAACCTTCTGGCTCCTCCTATGCAGAATTAATCGCTCACCCTTGAAGGGTACCAGTATATGCCACCTCAAACTATCTTTAGCATGTGGATTATTTTGAGCTAACAATTGAAAATCATCAGACTAGTGAATGCTGTAAAACAGGATACAAGTTTTCCTTTTGTAAATAAATTCACATCTGTAAAGGTACAACTCTTACTAATGGAGAAGACATCAGTTTAAATCTACATAACAAACCTTTTCTATCTGTAAAGGTACAACTCTACTAATGGAGAAGACAGTTTAAATCCACATAACAAACCTTACTAAACCACTTTGTTCCATATTTTCCTGGTCACTTTCCCATAACTTGCCTGCCCATCTACCACTCACCCAGAAGCCCCAAACTCCTTTTCCTTTACCTAGCCAAGATGTTATACAGTTGCTAAGAACAACACGATTTGAACTCCATGGATTCACTCACACATGATTTTTTTCAGTAAGTATATTGAAAATTTTTGGAGATTTGTGACAATTTGAAAAAACTCACAAACCACATAGCTTAGAAGCACTGGAAAAATTAATGGGCCAGGTGCTGTGGCACATGCCTGTAATCTCAGAACTTTGGGAGGCCAAGATGGATGCATTGCTTGAGCTCAGGAGTTGGAGACCAGCCTGGGTAACATGGGGAAACCCCATCTCTGCAAAAAAAAAAAAAATTAACTGGGCATGGTGGCACGCACCTGTAGTCCCAGTTACTAGGGAGGCTGAGGTGGGAGGATCTCTTGAGCCCAGGTGGTTGAGGCTGCAGTGAGCTGTGATTGCACCACCTCACTCCAGCCTCAATTAAAAAAATAAATAGGGCTGGGCACGGTGGCTCACGCCTGTAATCCCAGCACTTTGGGAGGCCGAGGCAGGTGAATCACGAGGTCAGGCAATCGAGACCATCCTGGCTAACACGGTGAAACCCCGTCTCTACTTAAAAAATACAAAAAATTAGCCAGGCGTGGTGGCACACACCTGTGATCTCAGCTACTTGGGAGGCTGAGGCAGGAGAAACGCTTAAACTCAGGAGGCGGAGGTTGCAGTGAGCCGAGATGGTGCCACTGCACTCCAACCTGGGCGACAAAGACTCCATCTCAAATAAATAAATAAATAAATAAGAGAAAAGTATGTCATGTGTAAACCAAAAATAAAATTCTAAGCCCCCTAACTGACAGGAAGAAAGGTAAGACATGCCAATGATACCCTCCTTCCTCTGGAGTTTAGGGACAACTGACCAGCATTAACATTACAATAGAGATCATAAGACTGACAAAAGATTCTCTGTAGCAATAAAATAGTCAACTCCAACCTGACTCTGATACAGCATCACACCACAGATAGCAGGCCCTGAAGGAAATCAAAGTATTTTACCCCAAAATATACTTATTTGACATTTTGAAATGACTCTGCAAAGCCATTTCTTGTCATGGGGATTTGCATTTTGTAGAGAATCCCCTTCCCCTTCCAGGTCTTTTTCTGATCCAGGAGGGATTTTACTAATGAGTCTGACATCTTTTAAGGTGCGATAAGAAACATTTACCATCTATTCTTTCTGAGGCCTGGAAGCTTCATCTACGTAACAAGAATCTTTGCTTCCACAAACATCTCCCCCAACGCCACCTCCACGCCCCCTTAACTCAAGCATTTCTTTCTGCTGACTTCAACTCTTTAGGCAGGGCTTAACTTTTTCAACCAATTGGCAATCAGAAAATCTGAATCCCCCTATGACCTGTGAGCTCCCTTGCTTCGAGATGTCCCGCCTTTCTGAGCTGAACCAATATATACCTTACATGTATTGATTTATGTCTTTGTCAGCAACTTCTGGCTCCCTAAAATGTATGAAACCAAGCTGTAACCCAACCACCTTGGGCACATGTTCTCAGGAACTCCTCAGAATGGCTCAGAATAAACCTCTTCAAATATTTTACAAATTTTACTTTTTTCATCAACAAATAAATGTATAAAATATATGTAGATACTACCAAAAAATATACACAAATCTACTATAAAAACCAAAAATTTGGCCAGGCACTTAGGGAGGCTAGGTGGGCAGATTGCTTGAATCCAGGAGTTCATGACCAATCCGAGCAATATGGTAAAACCCCATCTCTACTAAAAATACAAAAAATTTGTCCGGCATGGTGGCATGTATCTGCAGTCCCAGCTACCCAGGAGGCTGAGGTAGGAGGATCACCTGAGCCTAGGAGGTTGAGGCTGAAGTGAGCCAAGATCACGCCACTGCACTCCAGCCTGGGCAACAGAGTGAGACCATGTCTCAAAAAATAAATAAAATTTATCAAAACTTACGCACACACTTACAGACCATACATAAGCCACTCAAAGTCAAGAGAAAGCTTAACAAAAGATGCAGAATTAAATCATAACGGCATAAAATTAACTGTAGTGTATACTGTTCTACTGTAATTTGATAGCCACCTCCTCTTACTATTGCAAAGAGCTCAACTGTTGCAAGTATCTGCCTAAAATGCCAAGTGACACTAATCATCTCTGCATGAGCAGTTCATCTATCCAGTAAATTGTGTATAGCAGTAAAGAGTGGTCTCTCAAGATTCTTGCATATATTTCATCATGTCTAGAGCAATACTGTGAACCTTAAATAACACCATAGGGCCCATATGAAGTGCCAACAGTGATGCTGGAAGTTCTCCCAAGAAGCAAAGTCATGACTCTATAAAAAGTTGAATTGCTTGATATACACCATAGATCAAGGTCTGTTGCTGGGGTTGCTGCCATTTCAGACAGACGATTCATCATGTAAATGATGTAAACTTAAGGCATCAATAAATACAGTATAGTACCCTATATGTATTTTCCTTACAATTTTCTTGATAACATTTCCTTTTCTCTAGCTTACTTTATTATAAGAATACATATATAAGATGTATAGCATACAAAATATGTGTTGATCAACTGTTTACACTACTAGTAAGGCTTTCAGTCAACAGTAAGCTATTAGTAGCTAAGTTTGGAGAGAGTCAACAGTTATGTGCAGATTTTCGTTTGTGTGTGGGGTCAGTAACCCTAAACCCCAAGTTGTTCAAGGGGCAACTATATGAGCTCCAAATTCTTTTTTTTTTTTTTTTGAGTCAGAGTCTCGCTCTGTCAACCAGGATGGAGTGCAATGGCGCGATCTCTGCTCACTGCAACCTCCGCCTCCCAGGTTCAAGCAATTCTCCTGCCTTACCCTACCGAGTAGCTGGAATTACAGGTGCCTGCCACCACACCCGGCTAATTTTTGTATTTTTAGTAGAGACAGGGTTTCACCATGTTGCCCAGGCTGGTGTCAAACTCTTGACCTGAAGTGATCCCCCAGCTTCAGCCTCCCAAAGTGCTGGCATTACAGGCATGAGCCACCACACCCAGCCATGAGCCCAAATTCTAACTGCCCCTTTGCATTGTTCACCACTGGGTACTCCCATGTGTACATGCATGAAGCAAATGTTAATAAACTTCTATTTGTTTTTCTCTCATTAATCTGTCTTATGCCACTCTAATTTACACAGCCACGGCTGGAGAACCTAAGACAGGAAGAGGAAAAGGATTTTCTTTCCTACACTCCCTACACACACCTGGGGAATGCACTCTGCAGGCCACATGACGTTGCTTCTGCATCTGTCTCCCTAGCTTTGCTGCATCAGTCCCAGTGTCCAGCCCACACAGGCCTCAGTACGTGTCCCTATCACAGCTGCTGCTGGTGCTGAACTCACCTTCCAGGAGAGTCTCCAGCATATCCTTCCACACTCCAGGGAGCCATGTAAGTGGATGCCATACTGGTTAAATATTTTGAGTAGCATCCCATTTGAGGGAAGCTGTCACTTAACATGAACCCACCATAAGGTGGCTAATGAATAGCACCTTTCTGCCTGCCTTCAAGTGACAGCCTCCCTTAACATGAAGCCTACCTTTTGGTAAGCTTCATGTCAAGTGATAGCTTCCCTCAAGGGCAAAGTCACAGAATTATCTGTTTCAAAAGCCTGAGTGGATAAACAAACTGTTGCCTATCCAGGGTGTCCTAAAACTACCAAGGACTGTGGGAGGAGCAATTGGCAGGACCATCTTCAACACTTCCCATTTTCTGCTGGGGTGAGATCACAGCTGGCCCCCAAGCATCCAGAGGAATCCAGGGCCTGGTAAGAGGCTGTATGACAGCAAATATACAAGGCTAGGGTGCTCAGCTCAGAGGGCGGACAAAGAACATGTTAAAGTGAAGTGAACACTGGCTTTGCAGCAGGCAGACCAGATGCAGCAGACTGCTTTTACCAAAGCAGCCTGCAACACACATTTGTCCCATTCCACATGTTCTCTTTACAGTGTGACTTACGCTCATCCCACCAACAGGTGAAGTGTTTCCTCTCCTGAACCTAGGCATGGCCTTGTGACTGCTTGGACCAGTGGAATATCTCAGAAGTGATGCTACGTGACTTTCAAGGCTTTGTCAGGGAAAAAAAAAATACAGCTTAAACCTGGCTGACTCTCTACAACTGCCTCCACTTGCCTTTGGAACTGTCATTAGGTCATGAGGAATACCAGGCCACATGGAAAGGTCATGTGTAGGGGTCTCAGCTGACAGCCAATACCTCCTTTAGATGCTGAGTGAAGGATCTTTTGGACAACAACCCTCAGACTTCAGATCTTCCAGATGCTGTGGAGCAGGGTGAACCCTCCCCACTGTACCCTATCTGAATTTCTAGCCCACAAAAACCATGATGGATAATAAATGATTATTGTTGTCTGAAGCCATTTAGGGTAACAGGTTTTGTGGCAATAGATAATAATATATGCAGTTTGAATACTGGCTTTGCTCCTTAGTTTTGTGACCCCAGAAAATGAACACACAGTCCCCTTGCTTTTAGATTTGTCCTTCACACCAGAGCTAATGGCTGTGAGATGCCCAACACTCCTGGTTGCTCTCTTAAGTGATCTCGTTTGTTTTTCTGCTTACTGGTCATCTTCCCACGTCGAGAAGGTACAACGCTTGAAAGCCATCTTACTCACCATTTTGCCTCAGTGCCAAAAAAAGCACCTGCCACAGCAACTCACCATCAACACTTGTTGAAGATCACCTAACTAATGTAGCAGCCAAGTGCACACAAAGTGCTCTCTACTGGTAGACAACCAACAGGAGGGCAGGGAGGCAACAGGCTAAGTCAGGGAAAAGCAGGGGACATGGAAGCCTGCAGGCAGTCTACATTCTAGGACATTCCAGAGTTAGAAAGTGATCTGAACCCTACCCAAAGGCAGGTCTGAAAGGCAAAGCCTGCCTCACAGTGCACAGGGAGCAAGTCCTCCCAGAACTGCCAAGCGGTAGCCTCTCCACCTGGCAACACATCTCCTTTGCACCCCTTGGGGTACAATTATATATTAATTATATATCATTGTGTGTGTGTATATGTATATATGTGTGTGTGTATGTGTGTGTATATCTCATTGTAATTATATATAATGTACTAATAATTAGTATTAGTGCTAATCAATAGCACCATTCACCCTGAAAAGACACTTTCAGAAATGAATACATGAAGTCTCATTGTAGATAAGCATTGACAGATGAACATTTGCAACTGATCTTAATCATCAGGAACATTAACTGTGAACTCAAATAAGTAGTTATCTCAAAATTGTTTTTCTTATTAGTAGGAGGCCTGTATGAAAAATAGTGCTCAGTCATGTTTTAAATTTGGCCAGTAAAAATCTTACAAGTTCTCTTCTAAGTACCTTTTTAATATTCTCAATCTCACTCCTTCCCACCCCTTTGCACTGGGCACTCTGCTAGCCGCACCGTTTGGCTCTCGACTCCTGCACTCCTGCTAGCAGAGTGTCTGGCTTACCTTTGGCCACAGTAGAACTTTTCACCCTTTGTTTATAATTTACAGCCCACTTAAGTGCAATGCAAGTTTGAGATGATAATTTGGGTCTTTTAGGTTCTACCCAGGGCTGTTCTATAGCTCCTGCTACTGTTGTTTCTTTTTTTTTTTTCTTTTTTTTTTTTTTTGAGACAGTCTCACTCTGTCGCCCAGGCTGGAGTGCAGTGGCACAAACTCACTGCAACCTTCATCTCCTGGGTTCAAGCAATTATCTGCCTCAGCCTCCCGAGTAGCTGAGATTACAGGCACCCACCATCACGCCCAGCTAATTTTTGTATTTTTAGTAGAGACAGGGTTTCGCCATCTTGGCCAGGCTGGTCTTGAACTCCTGACCTCGTGATCCACCCACCTCAGCCTCCCAAAGTGCTGGGATTACAGGCGTGAGCCACCACACCCAGCCTCCTGCTGCTGTTCTGATGCCAACTATTCATTTTCCAAACTGCAGGCTTATCTACTCCATAGACTTCTTCTCTTTTCCTAGCGGATATTTCACTGTGGGAAGAAGAGAGACTCAAATTAAGTCCAACTGGTCCAAGGTGGATAATCACAGTGGAAAGTTTTTCAAGTACTGGTCTAAGATTCAACCAGCCCATGCTTTAGTGGAAGTTCAGAAATTGGCTCTTAACAGGTCAGTGAATGACAGGGCCCATCCAACCCTTGCAGCTGTCTTACAAAAATCTGAGAATCACTTTAAAAATCAGTGCCAAAATAAAAGAAAATTTGAGCTTCAAAAAAGCACTCTCCAAGATGACACAAAAAATGTTTAAAGTCTCAGGCAAATGTTTTTGCCCTTGTCCATTCAAGATTTTTTTTCAGTTTGATAGCAAATTATTTCCAAGATGCTCAGAGTTCCTAAACAAAGATGTTTAAGGTTGGAAGCACTCAGCAGCCATCTCATCCATTACCTTCTAGCAGTCATCATTCTTTTACTCTTCTTAGTTCCTGGGAAGGAGCGTCCCTAGAGGGGATGCTTAGGCACTTGCTCCAGGCTCCCAATACATGCCCACTACTGTCAAGGAACTCATTAAACAGCAGGGACAGAGGCTAACATTCACGCAACATATACCATGGCCCAAGGGCCAACCTAGGCACCTGAATGCACAATTTATAATAGTCTTTGTACCCAACCTATGGAGGAATGTATTACTGTTATTCTCATTTTCATAAATGAGGACATGGGGAATAGAGACTAAGAAAATGTTTGCATGTGGTTGGATCTGATACCCTGGCAGTCTGACTCCAGAGCCCACACTTTTAACCAGTAGTGTCCTCACTCACTAATCTCAGACTTAATCATGTCCTGCTTCATTCTGCTAAGCCCTCAATGGATCAATAAAACACCTCTTTTCACCCTCCGCTTTAATGCCTTTTCATGAACTTGGAGTCCTCTGAGCCTCCCTTCTTGGATTGAAGCCCATTCTGTTCACAGGAAGACTGCAAGGTGCCGAGTCACACTGTTCACTGGTTTATTGAGATTCGGGGAGATCCTTCCCCAAGAGACACCACAGTGTGAAAGGGACACCACCTCCCACCCCATAGGTCCATCTGTCTATCCCAACAGTCAAGGGTGCCTTCCTTTGGTCAGGATTCTCATCAACTATCCACTGGAAGCAGCTCTCCAAACCTGCCCCCACTTATTTTTCCTTAATTCCCCTCAAAAAAACACAAAACAAAAGGGAGCAGTCTTGGGAGAAGATGATTGTGAGTGTAGACTGAGGGTAGTACATGAATGCAATGGAGATGGGGGGAATCTGAGCAGAAATGGAGATTCTGTGACAAGGAGAGGGTGTGGATGGCCCCACCAAACATGAATTGGGGAAAAGTGCATAACAATGTGCAGGGTAGGGTACATATGGCTCTGTCAGAAGAATACCATGATTTAAGGGAAGAAAGTACACAAGGTACATGGAGGGTACACAGGGAAAGTACATGGATAAACATGGACGTGTGCAAATAGGAAAGACATGACTCAGCATGCTAGACAAATTGCACATGCCTACCCAAACACGCTCAAGGGCAGACCCATGACCATGAGAGGGGCACACGTAGCTGTGAATGCAGGGCACCCGAGAGCACATGTGACTGAACATGAAGAAAGCATATGGGAAAAGCGTGTGTACACATGAGCATGTTCAGTGGGCACACGCAGGAGAGGGGAGGATGCATGTGTGCTGAGCGTGAGTGCACAGAGCAGAGGCAAGGAGCATGTGAGCCTTGGCGAAAAGAATGAGCTCCCAAAGGAAGCAAAATTCAGGGGGAGCCACATGTGAGAAAGTATAGAAGGGCAAGTAAGATGGAAAGAGATTATGACAGTGGAGAAAAGGAGAGGCCCCTTTGGGGTGGAAAGAGCACTTGTTGGGAGACCCCTGCTGGACAGGAACAGAGCACAAAGGCAGAGGAGCTGCAGGGGTTGCCGTGGTAACTAGAAGAGGGTGTTGCATGGGAAGAGAAAGATGCAGTGAGGCTGCTGAGGAGGCAGCGTGTGAGCAGTGAGCAGCTTCAAGCCAGGTACGAACTAAATTGTGAAGAGGTGATACAAAATTACATGAAGCAGTAAGAGAGAAAAAGGTCTGTTTCCCAGAGGTATGAGAGACCCAAATCAGCCCAGAACTCACAGGGGGACATGTATTTACAAGAGATGAGATTGGATAGCATGTTCTTCCCAGCTGGGGATGGGGACCCCCTGCTTCCTGAGTCCCCTGCCCTTCCCCTCTCCCTTTCCCTCCCCCTACTGGCCTGTCCTCCCTCACCCTACCCTCACTTATAAAGCAAATGCACTCGACTCCCATCACAGCTAAGCCGGTCGGGGGGCTCAGGGGGTCCCCTGGGCAGGCCCCCAGAGGGTTCTGGGGGTGTCGGTGGGTGGCGCCGGGAGCGGAGCTGCTGCCGAGACTGGAGTTGATGGCGCAGTTCAGAGACACGCTCCTCTTTCTGGAGGAAGAAGCACAATTGGGATAGTAGGAGAAGAGGAGGTGATGAAGGAGTGGGGAGGAGGGAAAGAGAGGAAGGGCACAGGGAAAGAGAGGAAGGGCACAGAAAAATGTAGGGGGAGGACGTAGGGTAAGTGGACAGAATAAATTAAAAGGAGAAATCAAAACAGAACAAGAAAAGCCAGAGAACATAAGGATACCGATAGAAAAAATGCGATCAGGGAAATAAGAGAGAATTTAAAAACAAAAGGAAAAAGTGGGGAAGGAGAGAAAAGTCAGTGCACAGAGCTTCCAATAAATCAGAGAGATGTGTCAACCCAGTTGGAACATCCCTCTCTTTGGCATTGCACCAGCCCCTAATGACAGCCTGGGGCACAGTGAACGCCTGCCCAGGTCCTTTATGCTGGGGCTGCATGCTACACCCAGCTGCTGTGAGTGTTGACTACTAGAGGCTCACAGCTGCCTCTCTCCAGTTGTCACCTACAGCCAACAGCCATCCTCTTGCCTTAAGGAGGCTGAGTCAACCACATAGCTCCCACTCCAGAGCCCTTCCACCTGCCAGGCCAACACTGGATTTTGCCTGAGATAGAATCTTGCTCAGCCCTTTCCCCTCCCCTATGCTGCTCCATTCACTCCTTACAGGTTGTCTCCTAGGACCCTCCCTCCATGAGCCAAGAACATCTGACCCTGTATCTCAGGCTTGGCTTCAGACAACCCAAGCTAAGACGCAAGCCTCCTGGACCACTCCAACACCCTACCCTGACACCCACCCCCGCACCTCAGCAATGATCTTTTCCAGTTCACGGTTCTCCTTCTCCAACAGCCGGGACTTCTCCTCCTCGTTGTTGTTGGTCGATGACCCTGTCTTCATGGTGTCCTGCGCCTCCGACTGCCATTCCCCTCGGGTGATCAGCCTGCGCATCTGGGGGCAAATGTTTGGGCGTGGGGTGGCCCAGCAAGGACTGTACTAGTGACTGGCTGATGGAAGGTTGGAGGTGGAAGGAATGCTGATAAGAGTTGGGCCCAAAACAAGGGGAGGAGTGAGAGGAGGGTGAACGGAAGGGCAGAGGAACTCAGTAATATAGGAAGGAGGGATGGAGGGAACATGGGAACAAAGAGGGTGGGAGAAAAGCCAGATCCTTACCTTGGGCACAAAGAGCACAACAAGAGTGATATAGGAGGAGAAAACTATGGCAAGAGAGGCAAAGGCAAAGGCTGCATCCTGCTGGCTGGACAGAATCATGGTGACAGGAGCAGTGATGAGGCACAGGACCTAGAGGGAAAGACACATTGAGGGAGTCTCAGGTCTGCAGGCTCAGACAAGATCCAGAGTTTACTTCCCATGGGAGGGAGTCTATGCAGACAGTTTCCTGGTGAACTTTCCCTTTGAAAAGGATCCAAATTCAGGATCATCCTCAAATATAGATTGAGAAAAATCTCAAACTGTCCCAAACCAGTTTTCACTCTTGGTTAACCCCTCCCCTCAAGGCAGGAACTCCCAGGATCTCTATGCACAGATTCCGGGTCCTCCAGAGTCGGTCCCTGGCAGGAAATGTCAATAGAGTCCAGCCCATTAACCACAGACAAGCAATTTAACGTCTCTGTGTTTCTGTTTCCTCACCTATAAAGTGGGGATACTAATATCTACTTCACTGGGTAGTTGCAAGATTAATGATACAATGTCTGTAGTGAGCTTTGTAAACTGTAAAGTGCTTTATAGACCTGAAGAATTAACAAACTTTTTAAGACTTCTAAGCAACCGATCCCAGATCTAGCATTGATTCTTCCTAGTCCTCTATATCTGGGCTGCTGTGGTCAGCCTACAGGGTCAATGCCATGGGGTCAGTGCTCACTGCCACATTGTAGATAGCCATGCCCACAGCCCGGTGATCATTGATCTTCTCAGTGGACACACTCTTGGTCTCATAAGCAAGGAAGATTCCCAGCAGCAGCAGCAGCCCCTTGTAACCATAGAAAATGCCTAGGATGGCAGGAGAGAGTCACTTGAGCAACAAGGACCACAATGCTCCTCACTCAATCCCCATCCCCTCTCTGCCCTTCACCTACTCTGAAATGGAAAGGGGGCCCTCCTCTCCAATCCAACCCCTCTGACCTAGCAAACCTCACCCTGTGTCCCCTATCCCTTATGTCCACCCAACTTGCCCAGACCACATCACTTTTTCCTGGGATTCACACAGGAAAGCAATGGTGGCAAGCTGCTGTCAGTCAGGCAAGGGCTTGTTGAATATCTAGAAATAGGCCAGTCTGGGCCACACATGCCTCACCCTTACCCTACAGGTGGGAAGGTGGCTTTCCAGGCAGAGGGTAGGTTTGCAATTTGTGACCATGAATCGAACAATGCTAATAAGGCCAAGGGGGATCTAAAAGATAATGTCAAGTCTGGAGGTGGGGTTACCCCCACTTGTTCCTCTGCTGAACACAAGTTCTTCATCTGTGCTTTCTGTGCTTTGGGCCCTAAGCTCCTCATAGCAAAAGAGCAACTCTCCCCTATTCTCAGAAAAGATTAGTGCAATAACAAAGAGTAGGGTGTTCAAACTGGGTTGACAAGCTCTCTACCTCCTCTTCCAAAGACCCCTCTCCCTCCAAGCCCTCTACCCCTGCCTTCCCTCCTGCCTTTGTGCATCCCTGCCCTCCTTTGCCCACATCCCACACACCAAGCCATGTATTCATCTTCCTGGAGCTGCAATGCTCCAGCTGGGGCAGAATAGAGACGTCAATATCTTCCTTAGGTTCCTCCTTGGCAAATGTCTAGGGCAGAAACAAGGTCACAAGAAAGATGGTTGCCAGCCTCCCCTCCTCTCCTCAACGCTTCTCAGTCTCTGGCTTCCAACTGTTTTCCTATGAGACCCTCAATGCTGATGCCAAATCTCATTCTAGGCCTAAGAATGTTTTCCTGAACCCTTGGAGGTGCTTGTTCCCCACTTTCCCTGATGCCTGGAAGTTCTACACACCCTTCCCAGATCCCCACCCCTTCCTTTCTTCAGCTGAATCTGGAGGCCTATGAGGGGCTCCTTCTAGGAAGGAAAGGAAGAGCTTCCAATACGAGGAAGGCACTCTCTCCAAGTAGCTTCATCCCTCAAGACCACACACAGCCCCAGGGCCCTGATGGCCACTGAGCTCTGCTCATTCTCCTGACCATAGCACCTCCTCTCCAGTGGTACCTCAATGGTCCGGTGCAGAGGGTCCACGATCTGCCAGATGGCGAGAGTGAGGACATCCATGCCCACCAGCAGGCCCACTGTGGCATACAGCTTCCAGGGTTCCAGAGTCTGGATAAATATGTGGGGAGAACAGGCACGTCAGGGGAAAATGCTCTGTGCCCCAGGAGCCAAGGATCTGGGGGCTGAGGATTGGGCAGCAGCTCACCTTCCTCCACTCCTTCTTTTCTTCCTTCTTTGTGAAGACCGTGTGGACCCACCAAATCTTGGTGAACATGGAACCGTAGCCCAGACTAAAGCCCAGGCCCAGGAGCCAGAGGCGGGCCTAGAAAGGAAGAGAGGGCACAGGCAGAACAGGGTAGAGTAGTAGCCGGGACTGCAGTAAGGATGGGCAGAACCCTAAGGGAGAGTGGGCAGGGAGCACGGGCAGGGAGCTCATGGTGGCACAGGGAGGATGCGAAAATGTGAGCAGGACGGGGAGCGGCAGGAGGAGAGCAGTCTCCCCACCTTGAACAATTCCTCCCATCCACCCTCTACTTCCACACCACCAGGGTGATCTTGCTAAAACCTCCTGGCTTTAGTGGCCAAAAACCTCCAACCACTCCCCAATATCTATAAGTTATAGCCTGAACACTTCTGGATATGACACAGACCCTTCACAACATGCTCCCATCCACCTGTCCAGCTAGGCTCATCTCCCAGCCCCACACCTACCCCACGCTCCAGCCATGCTGTACTACTCACTTTCTCTTCATCTACTCTCTTTCATGTATTTTCTAGCCACATGATGCTCCCTATGCCCCTGAAGTAGCCTTCCTCTATTTCTCTAGCTGATAAAATCCTATTTGTCCTTCAGTATTCAAATGCCACCTCTTCAGTGAGGTCCACCCAATCACACCAGCAGTGAACTGTGTTCCCTTCTTTGCCCCCAAAGCACTTTGTGCAGATCCCTACTCTGGAACCTCTCCTATTGCACTACAGCTAATTGTCTGCTTCTCCAGCTGCACTCTGGCCTCACTGGGAACAGAGGATTCCTGATGAACTGCATGTGCATGTGCATGGAAATGCCATGTGCACAGATGTATGATCAGGACAGCACAGAGCAGAGGAAAAAGAGAGAGCAAGGACAGGCAGGCAGATCAGGAGAAAGAGTGGGTGTTTCCACCAGTGGAAAAGAGAACCACTCAGCTATCACTGTTGAAGCTGGCCTCTCCCCACAGCACTAGAACCTTCCATGTACCAACAGTCCCAGAGCCCCTCCTCCCTGTGTGGCAGTGGTCCCTTCCCCCCAGCTCTCTGCTGTGTTTCCATCTCTGCTTCTATCCTTCCAAACCCAACAAAGGCTCCCAAAAAAAGTCCACAGTTCTGATTCTCAGTCCCCATACCACAGACAAGCCACCATTGTTCAGGAGACCTTTGAGCAGATCCCCTTCCTTTGCCTTCAATGGCTCCCTCCTCTTCTCTGCAAGGCCTGCCATGGCAACCTTGGAACTGACAAGTAAACTACAGAATGAAAATGGCCTGCAGGCACAGAAAGAAGGGACAGAGCCAAACAGAGAACAGAGGGGTGATGCTAGAAGGAAAGAACAGGGACAAGAGTCAGGGAAAGCTGAGGAGGAAGGGCAGAGAATCATAAATCATGGAAGGTGCTCCTGAGACGGGTGGGAGAGTCACATCCTGTAAGGAATTTGCCCACCACCTCCTCACCTGGCAGACGAAAGGGAACTGGTTCCTCCCAATGTGGTAACCATCGAGCCCCAGGGGGAAGACAGCAGCTAAAGCCAGTGAGCAGCCCACAGCAGTCAGGTTGTTCAGGTTGGGCTGTGAGTTCTGGATATAACTAGGGCAGAGGTGGAGAGGGTGAGAGGGAGAGAGAATTACCCCTCTTCTCCAGGGAGGCTGAGCTCTCCAAATACCACACGATGGCATGACCCTAATTTCAGGGCCAGGGGCTAAAGGAAGACAGGATTGGAGAAGACAGTGGAGCCTTGAGAGGCAGAGCAATGCAGTCATGGGGCTGAAGATGGAGTTGCAGAGGGCTTCCCAAGCACAGGCCCCCACTAGAATACAGGCTATTTATGTAGAGTCCAAGACTGTGAGACCTGGCCCCAAAGGTTGTTTTTTTCTCTTCTTTTCTTTTTTCCTCCCGTTAGCTACTTTGGAGTAGGAGTGGGGGTTATATCTGGTTTCCCTGTTTTCATTCTCAACAAGTCAGAATGAAAAACTCCATGATACATGGCCATGGGAGTTACACAGGTTTTATTCTCATCCTGTCCAGGAACATGATCAGTATCTCAGAGAGGCAGACAAGGAAAACGTCAGAAGAGAAACTTACCGGACATGTGAGTTGTAGATGTTAAAGGACAGACAGACAACAGCTAGGACAATGCCCAGGCTGGAGAGAACTGAGACGGAGATAAAGAGTTTCTGTGACAGGAAGCGGAATGTCTTGATGACCAGGGTCTGGTCAGCTGGGGGGGACCCTCCTGCATGGCACAGGGGAGGAAGAGGGGAAGGGAAAAGAGAAGGGAAGGAGGACAAAGGAATGAAGACGGGATAGGAGAAAAGGGCAAAGAACTAGATTGCTGATGGACATTCAGTCATTGGCTGGGGACATGAGGCCCTAACTGCACTGGACAGAGGTTACTGCAGGCAGAATGCTCAGTGCCACTGGGGCCGTTAGGAAGCAACCAGAAATGAGATGAGAAGATGGAGTGAATGGTCTATCCATAGGTTGGGAAATGCTGAGGCATGTCCCCAAAGTTGTAGTCTTTGTTTTTGTTTGTTCTTTAAGTTTTTCTGTCTTTCTTACAGCAAAGGAAAATGGGAGGAGAAAGAAGGGGATCATTAAAAAATGTTATAAGGTTTCTTATAACCCAAATCAAAGTTTTAAATGACAATTATGGAATCATAAAGCTAAAAAGGCCTTGAAGTATCTAGTGTGGATACCTATTCTTAAGACAAACAAAAAAAGAAGGAAAGCTAATCTGAAATTTTAATCCTGGCAGGGTAATATTCCCAAATATGTTTTCCAGTTATTATTAGGGGGAAGTTCAAATTTGTCAGAGTTCACCAAAAAAAACTAATTTCAATTTGCTTAGTTTTTTTTTTAAAGAATAATTTAGGCCATGCAGCATTTATAGCAATCCAGAACATTGTCCTAAATTCGAATTGTAAAAAAAAAAAAAAGGGCAAAACTCCAGTGCTGGGAATGACTGGATATCTGCTGGGCAGGGCAGACGGCAGCCATCTTCAATGGTTGGGCCTCCCCTTCATTCTCAAGGAGGCTTTCTTTTATCAGTAGGTCCTTCCTTTTGTCCACCTTCAGTTTCTCTCCTATGTCCTATCATTTAGGCCAAGTACACAAAGAATAACTGCTTGCTTTCTCTCTTTAAAAAGTATATTTTGAGGGATGTAATACTACCTATTAGGTACAAGGTGCACTGTTCGCGTGACAGGCACACTAAATGCCCGGACTTCACCACTATGCAATATATTCATGTAACACAACTGCACGTCTACCTCTAAATTACATAAAAATAGGAAAATTTTTAAAAATACATATAAAAATAAAAAGCACATTTTGGCAGATGACAATTACATGAGGTTTTCCCTCCTCCTCCATAGTTTAAGCAACCGTTTTCCTGACAGAGACAGACAAAGAGACAGCTCTGGGCTTGAAGTAGCTGGTTCAAATATATCAAGACACCAGGACATCTGGGAAACCCAAATGGAGTTTCCATTTCCCGCCCTCTGCCCACCCCCTGCCTCTAATCCCCAGTTACCCCAGCAATGCACCATTAAAAATAGTACTAACCACCGCCTATTCCCTCTCCAAATACACCAGTCTCCCCTACCCACGCCTTAGGGGTTGTATTCACTCTCACTTAACCCTTTCTCCTGGCCCAGCTGCCAGCCACATTCCAACCTAACAGTCTCTACCATTCCATCCTCACTCAAAGGCATGACTTTTTCCCTTGACTGTCGAGAGGGGCTGAAGGAAAATACAAACAAGATCCACTCACCAATCCATTTATCTGTTTTGGACCAGGAAAGATCATCCTTGGTGCTGTCATAGTAGCCAATCTTCTTGTAGCTGCCACCTGGGCAGACGACAATAAAAGGAGTGACCACAGGTAGCCAAAGAGCTGATCCTAGGCATTTTCAACTTCCCACTTCCCTAGAGCTTTGCATGGTTGTATCTGATTTTATTTTCACCTGAGGCCCTAAGGATGCTTGGAAGGACCTACGAGACTCTTGAATCAGCAACATGACTTAAAAGCAATATAAGGTGGTTCCCAAGACAACTCAAATAAATAAGAATATCTATGTTTAAAAGTCTTCAGTGAGGAGGCTCCACAACATGTCTGCCACCTATTCCATTCCTCACACCTCTCTCGGCGAGATGTCTCTCACTTTGATTTTGGCTTCTAAAGCTTTACACATATTTCTGCTTATTCTTCCTCTCATGATGGGCAGGCTCTATTTTCCCAGTGGCTTTCATTTTAATTTTAGAACATTCTCTTCTGTTGGCTTGGGTTTTAATTCCTTGGATAAGTTATATCTGCCTCTTAAAGCGCCATTGAGTAAAATTTGGTCATTTCTAAGATTTCTGTTCTAGAACTGTTTCCGTTACCATAACTTTTCCTTCAAAAGCCAACTCACACTCCTTTCACCATGGCTGAAGTCCATTTCCTCTTGTCCTGGATACAAAGAGGAGCTGAAAGGATGTGGAGGTGGGGAGAAAGGAAGAAAGAAACTTTTCACAGGAGGCCAAGAAATAGCTCTCTTGGCCATGCCGTAAAAGACTGAGAGCCGAGTGGAGCAGAAAAATTAACTCCTAGAAGTTCTGCAAATACCTGTGTGCTAAGTTTCAAGAAAATACAATCTACAAAAGCCAAGCTATACACATTGAAGCTTTACACAGCAAGGAAATTTGGCAGATTCCCTTAAAAAAAAATAGCGGTTCTCCTAGATTCAGCTTTCTTGAGTCTAACTGACAGGTCATCAACCTCTCAACCCAAGCCACTCAAGGGGAAATTCCTGAAATTAATGGAAGCCACTGGGAAAGAGAGTAGCTGTTTTTAATTTGCATGTCTCTTTTCTTTTCTTTTTTCTTTGAGACAGAGTCTTACTCTATCACCCAGGCTGGAGTGCAGTGGCGTGATCTCAGCTCACTGCAACCTCTGCCTCCTGGGTTCAAGTGATTCTCCTGCCTCAGCCTCCCAAGTAGCTGGGACTGCAGGCACCTGCCACCACACCCAGCTAATTTTTTTTTTTTTTTTTGTATTTTTGGTAGAGACAGGTTTCACCATGTTGGTCAGGCTGGTCTCAAACTCCTGACCATGATCATGATCTGCCTGCCTTGGCCTCCCAAAAGTGCTGGGATTACAGGGGTGAGCCACCACACCCAGCCTGCACACCTCTTTTCAAGAGCAAAACCAGTGCAACTCAAAGACATCAATCTTCTTGTAGTTAAGCTTATTATTATTATTATTTACAAGCTTGATGAACAGAGTTAAAAGAGAAGGGCAGAAGTTGGGAGGTGCCAGGGCAATCTTGTGATGTCTCTGGCATTCTTCCCCAGGTGGCATCCCAGCCCAGCCCCAGCCTAGCCCCCATGTCCGGTCCCCTCCTGCCCCTGTACTAACCCTGAAGCTGCTCGATAAGCGTCCATGCCATCCGAGAGCCGCTGGCATCAAACACCACATGGCCCTGAGGGAAGGAACATGTGGAGCAAGGCAAAGGAGACAAAAGCAGGAGTGAAAGAGAACATCAGGGACTCTTTAAATCCTTCTGTTTTTGATGTAATTGAGCCTCTGAATGAATGCTATTTATGGCATTTGCCTGCATATAGGACATACCCCAGATGCCCATACCCTAGATTTTAGAAACATTATTCTTTGGAGAATGAGCTTCACTTATGAGATTTGAATGGGAAAAAATCCCCAGACAGAACACCAGCAGGCTTCTGGTTGTGTGGCCTAAGCAAGTCAGCAAATCTCTCTGGAAACTAATCTTTTCATTTTAAAAGGAATAAGAAGATGACCTTTCAGACTGTTTTGTCTTTCAAAATCCTATAGTTCTCATCTGACTCATGAATACTTGGTCTAGTTTGAAAAGAAATGAGGGGAGGGGTTTAAAAAAATGGAATACATCATTTTTTTTCCTCTAGTCTTTGATGGGTTCTTCTAATTTGAAGGTCCCTACTTCTCTGGTCGGAGACTGATTACTGCAAAGAAGTAACTGAGAAAAACAGAGAATGCATGTTTGTAGAAGGTGCCTCTTGGGAGTCTCTCTCAAGATTGGGAAGACAGGGGAGTATGAAGGAAGTTGTAACTCACAGAGACACCCTCAAAGGACGAGGAGTTCATTGCCCGGTAGATTTGGTCGGTAATGGTCTGGTTGTTGTAGTTGAAGTCCTCCAGGCGCACGCCGGAACGGCCGCCTCCTCCAGATGTCTTGTTCAGGGCCAGTGCCAAGGCCCAGATGGCATCATAGGCCAGCGGTGCCTCCTGGAAGCCTCCTGTCTCCTCAGGGTGTCTTTTCAGTCGCTTGGTTAGTTTCTCCACAAATTCCTGGGATGTCTTGGGAGGAAAAAATCATGAGGAAAGAACTGAAATGTGTGTGGGTGTGGGGGAAGGGGTGCAATCCAATTCTGACTCAAACACTTCTACTTGAATGGATGGTTTGTGTTACTGTTGTCAGATTGGACACATGTACATTCAAAATCTTTAACTATACCCATGTGTCTGCCTTAGATCGGAAGCTACTAGACTAGAGTAGGTATTAGCTGTGTCTGATGGTGTTAGTGTGTACAGTTGCTAGCTCAGAACTGCAAACAGAGAATTTTGACAAACACTCTGGATAATTAGTGGCAAAGGATGGAAGGTAGAGCAGAGTAAAGGAGGAGACATGGATATTCCAATGAAGAGCTGTGACACTGATGTTCTCTGATCCTTCTGACTTTCTTCATAGAGTTAACCCAGGATCTAACAGCTCCTACAATTCCAAAAGATTCTAGAAAAGGTGATAGCAGTCTTCTCACTCTGCTTGCCAGCCAGGAGGATATTTCTTCAGCGTGCTAACTTCTTGCCATTCTTGTGTGCTTTTGGTTCACTGCCTCTTAGAAGGCTTTCAGAAGAATGAAAACTACAGAAATACCCTTCACATTTTTGAAGTCCATTATCAATCCTACCCACACCCCTCCCAACACTCAACCTTCTTTTTCCATGAAAGCTAAAAAGAATGATAGTTCCTTTAACTCTCTCATGAACTGGGTCAAGAGACCTGACTTCATATACCTTGCAGTAACCTTGTTTGGCTAAATAACTGTAAGTAAATTACTTAACCTCTTGGAACTGCATTCTACATACTGGAGAAAATCACATCATTCCTTCCTTACCTCACAGAAACCATACAAGGAAAAGCTTAGCAACTACTTCTTGGGAAACCACAAGTAATACACAGGGGACCATACAAATAATTGTTTGGGTTTGGAATGTTTTAACACAAACGGTAATGAAAGAATAAATAGATGAATGAAGAATAAATAAATAACTTTGTTCCTCATGCCTTGCTCACTTTTCTCTCCAACTTTCTAGAGAGATAGAGGAGTGAGATATGCAAAGGGCACAGGCAAGGTACAGCAGTTGCTACTACACTGGGCTTTGAAGGAGCCTGGGCTTTGAAGATGCAATGGGCCTAGGTTCTACCCTTGAGGACAAGACCAAATCCCATGCCCTCTCTTAATCATCAGCATCTAGCACTGTGCCCAACCATAATGAAGTAACAATAAATGTCCATTGGATTAGGCCAGTGAAAATACTCTGTAAAGTATTTAATAGTAGATACGTCTCATTATACATTTGTCCAAACCCATAGAATATATAACACCAAGGGTGAACTCTAATGTAAACTATGGACTTTGGTTGATTATGATGTATCAATGTAGGTTCATCAGTTGTAACAAATGTACCACACTGGCGGAGGATGTCGATAATGTAGAAGGCTATGCATGTGGGAAGCATATGGGAAGTTTCTGTACCTTCATCTCAATTCTGCTGGGAAACTAAAACTGCTCAAAAGAAAAAAAAAAAAAAAAAAAAAGGCCAGGCACAGTGGCTCACACCTTTAATCCTAGCACTTTGGGAGGCCAAGGTAAGCAGACTGCCTGAGCTCAGGAGTTAAAGACCAGCTGGGCAACATGGTGAAACCCCATCTCTACTAAAATACAAAAAATTAGCTGGGCATGGTGGTGTGCACTTGCAGTCCCAACTACTCAGGAGGCTGAGGGCTGAGGTGAGAAAATCACTTCAACCCAGGAGGTGGAGGTTACAGTGAGCTGAGATGACGCCACTACACTCCAGCCTGGGTGACAGAGCAAGACTCCGTCTCAAAAAAAAAAAAAAAAAAAGGCATTATAAAAAACAAGTCAGGCTGGGCACAGTGGCTCACACTTGTAATCCCAGCTCTTTGGGAGGCCAAGGAGGGTGGATCACCTGAGGTCAGGAATTCCAGACAGCCTGGCCAACCTGGTGAAACCCGTCTCTACTAAAAATACAAAAATTAGCTGGGTGTGTTGGTGGGCTGCCGTAATCCCAGCTACTTGGGAAGCTGAGGTAGAAGAATCGCTTGAACTCAAGAGGCAGAGGTTGCAGTGAGCAGAGATCATGCCACTGCACTTCAGCCTGGGCGATGGAGTGAGACTCTGCCTTAAAAAAAAAAAAAAAAAAAAAAAAAAAAGGCAGCCAGGCACAGGGGGCTCACGCCTGTAATCCCAACATTTTCATTTTCAGAGGCCAACGCAGGAGGATTCCTTGAGCCCAGGAGTTTGAGACAAGACTGGGCAAAACAGAGAGGACCCAACTCTACAAAATTTTTTTAAAAATTAGCCAGACTTGGCCTGGGCACGGAGGCTCACATCTGTAATCTCAGGACTTTGGGAGGTCAAGGCGGGCAGATCATGAGGTCAGGAGTTCAAGACCAGCCTGGCCAACATGGTGAAACCCTGTCTCTATGAAAAATACAAAAATTAGCTGGGCACGGTGGCTCACGCCTGTAATCCCAGCACTTTGGGAGGCTGAGGCAGGTGGATCACCTGAGGTCCGGAGTTCGAGACCAGCCTGAGCAACATGGAGAAACCCTGTCTCTACTAAAAATACAAAATTAGCCGGGTGTGGTGGTGCATGCCTGTAATCCCAGCTACTCCGGAGGCTGAGGCAGGAGAATGGCTTGAACCTGGGAGGCGGAGGTTGCTGTGAGCCAAGATCGCGCCATTGCACTCAAGCCTGGGCAATAAGAATGAAACTCTGTCTCAAAAAAAAAAATACAAAAATTAGCTGGGTGTGATGGTGGGCTCCCGTAATCCCAGCTACTCAGGAGGCTGAGGCAGGAGAATCGCTTGAACCCAGGAGGCGGAGGTTGCAGTGAGCCAAGATCATGCCATTGCACTCCAGCCTGGGCAACAGAGCAAGACTCCATCTCAGAAAAAAAAAAAATTAGCCGGACTTGGCTTGGAGCAGTGGCTCATGCCTGTAATCCCAGCACTTCGGGAGGCTGAGGAGGGTGAATCATGAGGTTAGGTGTTCGAGACCAACCTGACCAACATGGTGAAACCCCATGTCCACTAAAAATACAAAAACTTATCTGGGCATGGTGGCACGCACCTGTAATCCCAGCTATTCAGAAGGCTGAGGCAGGAGAATCACTGGAACCCAGGAGGCAGAGGTTGCAGTGAGCCGAGATCACACCATTGTGCTCCAGCCTAGGCAACAGAGCAAGACTCTATCTCGAGAAAAAAAAAAAATTAGCCAGACTTGGTGGCATATGTCTGTGATCCCAGCTTACTTGGGAGGGGCTGAGGTGGGTGGATGGCTTGAGCCCAGGAGGTCAAGGCTGCAGCGATTGCACCACTGCACTCCTGCCTGGGCAGCAGAGGGATACTCTACCTCAAAAAAAAAAAAAAAAAAAAGGCTGGGCGCGGTGGCTCACGCCTGTAATCCCAGCATTTTGGGAGGCCGAGGCGGGCGGATCACGAGGTCAGGAGATCGAGACCATCCTGGCTAACACGGTGAAACCCCGTCTCTACTAAAAAAAAAAAAAAAAAAAGTCTGTTGGATAGATAAATGGATGAATTCATATTCTAATCATTTTACCTGCTATGAAATCTCAAACAAGTTATTAAACCTCACTAGTTGGTTATTCAGCTTTACAATGAGAATAATACTATCTAAAATAGTATGAAATGAAATTAGAACATGTATAAAAATGCTGGGTATGAAGTAAGTTACATTTTCTCTACGTGAATTTCCTTGACTCTCAACCTCATCTTTGTTATTGATACTCAGATCTATAATTTCAGCCCAATATTTCAAGTCCATATTTCTTTTCTTTCTTTCTTTCTTTTTTTTTTTTTTTTGAGATGGAGTCTTGCTCTGTTGCCAGGCTGGAGTGCAGTAGTGCGATCTTGGCTCACTGCAACCTCTGCCTCCTGGGTTCAAGCGATTCTTGTGTCTCAGCCTCCCGAGTAGCTGGGATTACAGGCACACGACACCACACCCAGCTGATTTGTGTATTTTTAGCAGAGACGGGGTTTCACCATGTTAGCCAGGCTGGTCTTGAACTCCTGGCCTTGTGATCCACCTGCCTCAGCCTCCCAAAGTGCTGGGATTATAGGCGTGAGCCACCGCGCCCAGCCTCAAGTTCATATTTCTAACTGACTCTGAGGCATTTTTAATGTATGATGAATAATCTCAAAATCAAAATATCCAAGATGAAGCTCAATTTTTTCTTACTCCCAAACAGCTCCCAGTAAATGAGACTGAAGCCTTGGAATTACATCAGACCCTTTCAAATCACTGTGTCCTCTTAACTCTTTTGTTGAAATGTTTCATTGATATCGATCCCTCCTTACACAGGATGATGATGATAATGATAACGATGATGGTGGCTAACATGTATACAGTCCTTAGGACGTATCGAGCATTTTCCTGAGGAAACTATATCACCTTATTTAATCCTCAAACAATCCAATGAGGTGTTATTATCCCCATTTTAGAGATAAGAAAACTGAGGCACAGAAAAGTTATATAACTTGCCTATAAAAAAGTTATACTATTAATGAGTAGCAGAGCTAATCCATACTCTTACCAGCCACCCTACACAGTCTCTGTACATGAGACTGCCTCTCTCTAAGAGCACCTGCACAAATAGCAGCTAGGCTAATACTTTGAGTAGTCTTTTGGCTTCAAATTGAAAGATTGGTCTATCCAATCTTCAGTTCAAGGTAAATATGGCATCAAAAAAATCACCCAGAAAGAAAGGGATTAATCTGCTCAGCACGATGCGGTCCCCTGCTCAGGTGGTCAGACCCTGTGCTCACGCCAGGTCACTACCACTAACACGCCTAACCACTGGGGGCACCACTGCTCCTGCCACCCCAAGAGTAAAGAAGAGTAGAATGCTTCCCCCTTGAGTCAGTAAAGATACAGTTATAGATTGTCGAAGAGACACTCTACTCTGCAGCTTAAGGAAATCTGAACAATAAAGACCCCTCAACCCACAGCAATTAGTTAATCAACCAAGTGCAAATTTATACCTAATTTTTTTAACAGCCTTGTCTGGCTCTCAAGAATGGATGCTTGACAGTGGGCTAAAATGTATATCTTGAGGTAGCTTTTTAGTTTGTACTGGTCCTAGGTCTGACGGGATCTCTACCCCAATCAAGATTTCCTCACAATCTTATCTCCAGGATGCCACCTCCCACATTCCCCTCTAGCCCACAGCTACATTTCTCTAAAACCACTCTAACCCACTCTCCATTTCCACATATTGCCCCTAAAGATGTTTTCTCTAAACTAGGGTTTCTCATTCTCTGCACTATTAACATTTTGAGCAAGATAATTCTTTGTTGCCAGGGGCTGTGCTTTGTAGGATATTTAGAATCATCTTTGGCTTCTACACATTAGATATCAGGAGCATGTATCCCTCCCCATCCCCTACCCCCAACTGTAACAACCAAAAATGCCTCCAGATAGTGTAGCGTCTGAGTCTAGGGTAGTAGTTGAAAACCACTACCCTAACTAATAGTTCTCGAGGTGTGATCCCCAGACCAGTACATCTGCATCCCCAGGAACTTGCTAGAAATGTCAGTTCTCAGGCCCTAGCCCAGATCTACTGAATCAGAATTTCCAGGGGAAGGGCCTGATAACCTGTGAACTAACTACCTTTCCAGGTGGTTCTGACGGATGTTAAAGTTTGAGAACTATTGATCTAAACATAAGGCCATCCTTAGGGAATAAAAGCAACTCTGCTTCTTTTCTAAGTCTCCATGGCTCCGGCCCCCTAGGTCCAACCCTTGCTTTGATCCACTTCTATTTGTGCTGTTTGATTAATCTATAATCTCTTTTGCCCCTAACCTATTGTTAAGACTGCTCTATCCTCTTCAGAAAACATTGGCTTCCCCACTGGCATTTTAGGCTGGTCCCACTGGAAGCCCTATGGCCTCAAAAGCAGGAACCATCTTTCTCTAGACACAAAGTCAGAAAGGGACCTTCCAAGTCTTCCCACCCCAATGCTCAGGTGTCCCTCTATGTCCCTAACCATCTCTCTGTTCTCTCTCTCTCTCTTTTTGTTTAGAGCTGGGGGTCTCACTATATTGCCCAGGCTGGTCTTGAACTCCTGGGCTCCAGTGATCCTCTGCCTTGGCCTCCCAAGGTGCTGGGGACTACAGGTGTGAGCCACTAGATCCAGCCAAATCCCTGCTATAAGACAGAAGCAACGATTGGCAAGTCCTGGGCTCAGGGCACCAACAAGTCTTTCTGGCTTTGGTAGCCAGTTCCAATACTTTCCCAGGTTTTATGGATGACTCACCTCTTGGGTACTCTACAGGAAAGTGATCTTCCAAAATTTTTTCATTGTATTTTTCAACTAACATACCTTAAAACATAGAGTCCATTTAGAATGTCCCAAAACAGTGTGTATCATCAGAGTCCATGTGGCAGCAGATCTTTCATCACAACACACCACCAGAGTCAACTTCCTAAATCTTATTTCTCCTTTGCTCAGCAATTGCCAGTAGCTAAACAGTGTTAGCAGATAAAAGTACAAACTTTTTAGTCAGGCTTCATGGTTTTCCATGGGAAGTGATGAGCAGAGCAGTTTGGAGTCAGATTTAACTAGGATTCAATTCCAGCTGGACTGCTGAGTAGCTGCATGACCTGAGACAAGTCATTAAACCACTCTGAGTCTCATTTTCCTGGTCTACAAAATGTAGATAAGTCCACATCAGAGTTTTGCTGTTAGAATCCCTGAAATCATGAATCTAAGTACCACACAAATGCCACTGTTAGTAAAACTTTTTAAATCAAGCTATTTTGGGGCTTTACAACCATTAACTCACCCCTAACATGCTCTCCAAAGCAGGTACACACTTGGTGTGATAAGCAGACACATAGGTGGCCGTATCGAGCTTACCCAAAATTCCTGTACTCTTTACAATGTAGTGCTGAGCAACAAAGAAGCCTCTTCCCCTACGCCCACACCCACACTCACTTCTGCCCCTCAGCTGCAGGGCTGCCCCAGCCCTCTCAAATCAGAGAATGCGCCTCCTCGCTCCAAGTCTGTCATTAACCAGCTGTCTGGGGCTAAATGATTTCAAAAGCCCCTTCTCCACATAAAATTCTAAAAAAAGAATCATTAAAAAAAGCAACAGGATCCAAGCTAATTGCATATCAATCATGAGTGAATATTAAGCAACTCTAAAACACTAACATAAATCACCAAGAAAATGAAATGCAATTCTGCCCAGACACAGTGCTCCTGTAAAGGTGTGCTTGCGTATACAAGCATCCATATTATCATTAATGCCGGTTCCTCCTGACTTCTCACCAACTGCTCCTCGTCTCCATGGTAACAGCCCTTCCACTCATCAGGAACCTACTGAACATACAACTCCATCGTTTTTTTTTTCTCTCTCTACCCAAGGAAGTCAGAGCAAAGGTAGGATCCACAGGAAACATAATGCAGACAAGTTCAGGGTGGGCACAGCCCCCTCTTCTCCTTTATATCCAAATTCCGCACCCTCTCCCTGCCACCCTTTCCCCTGCAAGGCCCCCTCAGTCCTCTCCACCCTCCCAGGTGCCAGACTGCAAGTCCCCACACTCTCACCATGTTGGAAATGCTGCGGGTATTGGCAGGATTCAGCATGACAATCTCAGTTGTGATGTGGCCCTCCACCGCCTCAGTCATCTCATCCACTGTGCAGTTGATAGAAGGGTCGTAGATCTTGAACCAATTGTCAGCATACCACCCAATGAGGAACCAGACGTACTTCTTCCCAAAGAGACGCTCCTTGTACACCTGAATACAGAGGAGAATGGCTGAGTTTTTGTTTGCTCATTTGTTTGTTTTTGTCTTATCTCACTTGATACTATTTAGCCTCTTGGGAATCAGGGAAGAGCAGTAGAACTAAAAAGAGAAATCTACAAGTCTTGGGGATAGTAGGAAAGGCTGACAATTCTTCCTTCTAAGTTTCTCCCCAGCCCCTGTATTTCTGAGTGGCCTTTTCCAGCCAGTCAGGACAGATGGAATTCATGGGCTTCTCAGGAAACACAAAGCAGTAGAAAAATGAGATCTGAAGAAAGTATCATGTGTGTGCAGACAAGGGATGCAGTCAGAGCCAACAGACAGAGACATCCTATGAATCGTCACCTCAGATCATATGCTATCAACTCAGGCACAGATGCCAAGAGGAGGCCCCACAAGAAAACCAAGGGAAACTCCCACCCAGTGCCCCTCCCTCTTCAGATCCAACTCCACCTCACAAAAAACTTTCCGGGCTTCAGTCTCATAGAAAAGTCCCACGATGATTCGGGCATCCTGGCGCTACAACAGAGAAAGAAACAGCTCCTGAGGGATGCCCGGGAATGCCTGAGGGGCTAAGCCAGATGTCTTCACAGCTTTGATTTCCCATCCCAAAGTGCTTAGTGCAGGGTAACGCTCAACGTATAGTGAATAAACGTCAACTGGAAGATGGAGCTAAACTTCCCCAGGAGATGCTATTGCCTCAGAGAATCAAAACCTGCCCCCGCCTGGCTTTCCTCTCCAACCAGTCACTGTCCCCCAGCTTGGTCCCTCCGTAAACAGAGCCCACCACTCCCAGCCATCTGACCTTCAGGTTTTTGACGGGCACAGCTGGATCTGAGAAGAAACTCTGGCGGAAAGTAATCTCAATTCCAGCCTCCTTCACTCGTTCCTCCAGGTCGTCCAGAGTCTTGGGTGGGAATAAAATACAAGTTGGAAAAACACGGGGTGCATGAGGGAATAAAGACCAGAGAGGTTAACTGGGGATTTCAGAGCAATACTCAGATAGAGCAAAGAAGCAGCCATTCTGAACCTTCCTTCAACAGCTTCTGTCCCTGAAGTGAGGAGTTCGGGAAGGCATCTGGTCTTAGGATGTGGATTCCAAGTGGGAAGGTGAATGGTGAGCCCCTGCTGAGGCTCTGTGTGGGGGAAGCCACTCCATTCACCCACTCCTACCACTGAAGGCAAAGATGGGGTAAAGAAACATAAAGGAACCAGGAAAAGACAAGGCAAGGACTGGGACAGACAGCATGATGTCAACCTCAAGAGGCAAATGGGCAGACAGACAAAGGATCAGAGAAGAATGGTCTGAATCAGAGTGAAAGTGGGGGAGGATTAAAGGGCCACTGAACACAGTGGATAGAAGACCCAAAGAATAGAATAAAAGGGAGGGAGCAGACTGCCTTCTTCAGATGTAGAGCCTGTATTTCCTCTCTACCTCCCCAAATCTCCCTCTTCCCCCTCAACCTCTCCTTGTCTGTCGGCTTCTCTCTCTTAGTACCAACTACCAGATCCATGCAGCTGTCTTTCTGCCCCTCTCTCTCCTCTCCCTCATTCCTCTCTCTCTCTCTCTTTCCTCTCCCTCTCTCCTCTGTAATCCACTGGCTCCATCCCCTCTGTTCCCATTCACACCCACCCACCACCCCCCTTGAAAGCCTCTGGAATCTGCTGCCTTCCTGGATTCCTATCTCATCTTCGCTCCCATCTCTTGCCCCCACTTTGGATTGAACCTACTTTAACAGAACTGAGTCATTCTGGGTCTATATGTCTGGGGAACAGGGCATCAAACAGGGGAAAAAAATCATAAAATCATAAAGACAGAGAGGATCCCAAAAACTCAACTCATTCTTTCCCCTGGCTACAGAAAGAACTGCACTTACTCCACATGGAATGCGTTCTCTTTCAATGAAGAATCAAGTTCTTGCCCCTAAAAGTGACTCTCACGTCACATCTCCTGGTGCTGGAATTTGAGCTTATGTCCCTTTACCCCTTGCCCAACCCCTCCTCACCGAAGTGAAGACCTCAGTGGTCTGCTGGATGGTAGCAATCTTCTTCCAGCCCCACTTTTCAAAGAGTTTCACGCGGGTAGGGTTGTGGAGTGTGGCTGATGGGTGCGTTCGGAAGAAAGTGGGGAAACGCTGCCGGTTTGACAGGGCTGGTGAGCTGGAGCCATAGGAAAGCTGTGGGGCAGGGAGAGTGAGTGCAACAGGGTCTGTTCACTGAGGACACCAAGAGTGGCCAAGAGTTCCTTTAACCCTCTTCCTGCCTTTGGGTTTCTCTTCCTTACTCTCTCCAAACCTCCCCACCTCTGGTCTGCCTAAGGAAAAGAGATTCTCAAAGGCCCACACACCCCTCACAACCGGGATGCTCTTTCACTGATCTAATTTCAATTCCTTCTGAAGAAGGAGGTCAGCTGCAGCACTGTCAGGCCACTGTTGCTAGGAGGCTGCCTAGCTCAGGTCTGCAGAGGACTCTGAATCTTAGTAGCAGGTCCTCCACACTCCTTTTCAATACAAACCCACAATCGCCATCGTCCCTTCAGTAGAGCTCAAAAGGGAATGACCCCATCTTCTGACCCCCATAGCCCTGCTTACCACAATGAGGTTCCACATCCTAGCAGCCTCAGCCACCAGCGTGGAGACAGAGCTGCAGCCAGGCATAAGGATGATCTTGATAGGGTCGTTGTAGAGCAGCTCATATAGGTACTTGGTGGCTTGGCCTGGATCACACTGAAAGACAAGAGGAGATGAGGGCAAGCTCTCCTGGGGCCCCTCCCCTGTCTGCAATTCCTACTCTTATCTTTCTCGAACAAATTAGTTCCTTTCTCAATTACTCACTTTCATCATTAATTACCGTTTTCTTCTCCTTTCTGGCATCTCTTCCTGTCAAGTGCCTTTTTTCTCCTCTTTCATTAAACTTCCTTCTCTGTCTTCCATCTGGAGCCTTACCCATCACCTCTCCTGCACACCCCTCCTTTGGTATTAATGAACATACCACCTTACCTCCTTTCAGCTCACCCTCAGACATCCCCCTTCCCTCTGTCACCAAGCCCTTTACCCCATGTTTCTATGCTTCAAACACCAGTGGGTGGAAGAAGTCAGTAGGAATACGGTAAACTCTTTCCACATCCCCAGATAGCTTGCTCAAAGCCATATTATGAAAATTCCTTCCTCACCTCTGCAAACCCCTTCTCCCCACCTTCCATTTGTTTCCTCCCTCTTCTCTTTTCAGAGCTAGTGATAAGTAAAGAGAGAACAGGAACAAGACCAGTAGGGGGTCCCGCTCAGTGATCCATCCCTCCTGCTGGGCGCTGACATTTGACAGGTCCATTAGAAAAAAAGACACTGGGGGGTGGAAGTAGGGAAGAATGTAGGATGAGGAAAGAACAGAGAGAATGAATAGAATGGAACTCTCAAGAAACCAGACAATTTGAGAGGTGCCTTAAAGAGAGGCTTGGAGCTAGGGAAAGTAAACAAGCAGAAAGCTGGAGAAGAAAGGAAGCTTGGGAGGAGGGGAAATGGGGGAGGAAGAGCCAGCCTTGGGTCTCCCACTGCCTGTTCCCCTCCCACTGACATATGACATTTCAGAAGCTGCTGGAACCCCAATACATGTGAAGAAGAAATGGCAGCCAGTGGGGAGCCAGGGCAGAGGGGACACAGACAGGGGGCTCAGGGGACTAAGGAGGGTGAAATGTTGCCAGGAGGGGAGGATAAGTAGAAAGGAAATAAAGAAAGCACTCTGGAGCCTGCTTACCTCCCACTGAGGCCTGACATTTGGGACACGGTGGGAAGTTGGAGAAGGGGGAGCCAGGGGAAGCTGTTGGAATCTGAAGAACCAGCAGTCACTGAGAATTCTCTGTTGCCCACCCTACCCTCACTCTGGCCAAGGGCAGTGCTCAACAACATTGGAAGGTTTTCTCTTTATGCCTCCCACTAGGGCAACTTTGTAAATCTTTACCATTCTCAGAACCCACCTTCCTGCACTCTCCCCACATCTATTACTCCAGATCCTGCTCCCAGCGTCTCCCACAGCCCCTCAGTGCCCCTCCACTTCTCTAAAGACAGGGTTAATAGGAACAATGAGGACATACAAGAACATATAAGATACATATCAAC
The DNA here is from genome assembly GCF_000001405.40 of Homo sapiens. Classification (NCBI taxonomy): domain Eukaryota; kingdom Metazoa; phylum Chordata; class Mammalia; order Primates; family Hominidae; genus Homo; species Homo sapiens. The sequence goes on from NT_167246.2 coordinate 890,555, forward strand.
AGGGCAAGGCATGCCCCCCATTTTGTTTCCTGATTTCTTATCTACCTTTTCTTGCAACCGTTTCCCTCTTCCACACACTATTCATCACTGCAGATTCTCTCCACCACGTGATTCTCTCCCCCTCCCCAATAGATTTCCTTAGTTCTCCTCCCTCTCTTTGCTCTTGCAAGGATCTGGATTTGCAGGCAGGAAACCGACTCATTCCAATTGACACATTCTGGTTCTTCTGCCTTCCCATCCCACCCCGCTTGATGCCTCTGATGTTCTCCAGTTCCCTTCTCCCAGGTCCCGCGTCTGCTCCCCGCCACCTCCAGGGAATCACCTGTCATGGTGGATGAGTTTGAGCTCACAGCCAGGCCTCCCCTATCTCCTGTGATCCCCTATCATAAAGCCTGCACCCATCTCTCCCTGTCATTTTCTTCACACTCCACTCCCCAAAACCAATGATCTCTCTGACTGTCCCAAGTCTGACCCTCTACCAGATCTGATCCTCTACTTCTCTTCCTGCCTCCCGTACCCTAATACCTAATTATTTTCCTGTACCCTGCTGCTCTTCCCATAGGCATTCTGGGGTTAGCTTACAGCTCAGGAATCCACCAAGATAGGATGTCTATTAGTAAAAATACAGATAAATACTTGGGATTCATCCCTGACCAAGGAGCTAGAATCTGTATTTTTAACAAACTCCTCTGGTGATTCTTATGTACACTGAAGGCTGAGAACCACGAGAAAGTAACAGTCAAAAAGGATTTTAAGTTCTCTTGCCAAGCTCCTGATAATCCTTGTGCTCTCTTCTCTTCAAGCACCCTACCTTCAACCTCACTTCTGTCCCCTCACACACCTATCCCAGACACACACCTATTTCTAGGTGTATAGTGATGTTCTAAAAATGAATATAAATCCTTGGATCACCCCAAGGTTGATATTTGGTAAGATCACCAAATTCTCACCTTGTGTACTCTATTTCACCCTAACCCAATTCCTTAAGTCTCTGGGGCCACATGTCAGTGAAGATAAATTTGAGATCTTAAATCTCCTTCCCTGTGTCACATCCTTCCCTGCACCCCCAATTATTCATGTAGGGGAGAGGGGTGGGAAAAAAAACCTCATTATAAGCTATCCCCTAATACCCCTGGACCCAAATTTGCTTACCTTCTCTCTCTCCCTCAACTCACCTCCCTAATCCCTACATCCCATTTCCCTTCTCACATCCTAGAGGCCACAATGCTATAAGGGAAGGGAAGGTCAGGACCCAAGTTCCCTAAGGTGCCCCAAGATCTCTCATTATCCCCACGCTACCTCCTTGCCCCTCTCCCCCACTGCCATTCTTTTCTGTTCTCTTCTCCTTGTATGTTGACTCTTCTTCATCCCCATGCTATTGTGGGGGTTCCCATGTGGATCCCCAATCCAATTCATTTTCCCAGTGCCTCTGCCCACCTCTTGATCATTAGCCTTCCCCAATCACCATATGCCATCTATCCCACAGTCTGGGAATGCTCAACAGGGTTGGGAATAGAAGGATGAGAAGGAGTCAGGTAGGGCTCACCACTACCTTGCTGTTTTGTTAAGATAAATAAACTAGAGCTCTCAAGTCTCTCAAAATTTTCCTCATTCTGTCCCTATTCCTTCCAGCTCCAACCTACGCCAAGATTTTACCTTGTTACCATGGTAAATGTAAACCCCCAATCCAGCTCCCCACCTCTGACATTCCCTCCACCCCCAACCCATTCCAGGGTTAGTTTACTCCCTCAGAGGATCAGTGTCTCCTAATACCTTAAATCCACCACCAGTTTCTCCAAACCCCGACACTTCTGCGAGACTCCCGCAGCGGGGCAGAAGGGTCTGCCTTGCAGCATGCTTAACCATCTTGAGCCCCTAGACCCTCATCTTGGACCTCCAGCCCCTGCGACTCTCCCCAAGCTCCTGCACCCCCAGCCCATCTCCTGCCAGTCACACAAGGGAGGGGTCTGCCTCGCAATCCCAGAGACGACTCAGACAGATGGGGGCGCGTGCAGCTGGCTGGCCCCCTGCCCCGCAAGCCCCCACCTCCCACCCACCCCCATGTCCAGGGCTACCTTGCTGTCGTGGTGGATGAGCTTGAGCTCATAGTCCGGCAGGATGTCCCTGCGGCTATTCACGTCCTCCAGCGCCATCTCCACCGCGGGCTGGCAGGCCTGGCCCCCTGGCCAGCCCCCGCTCATGGGAAACAGTGCCCCGATGTACACTGCGCGCCGTTCTGAGGAGGGGTGCGGGGGGACCCGCGAGTGAGGCCGCGGGAGATGGGGGGAGTGGGAGGCCCACACCGGAGCCACCCCTGCCGCCATCACAACCAGAAGCGGCAGTGGCCACCCCACCCGGGCAAAAGGGGCCCCGGGCCCCATGGCGTGGGGGGCAGGGGTAGCTGTTGGGGAGCGTTAGGAGCTCAGGGGGGACACTTTTCCTGGGGAGGGCTGCTAAGAGGGTGCCGGGGAGGCGCCTCCATCCCTGATTTTGTGGGGAGGAGGGGGCGAGGGCCCCGGAGAAGCAGGGAAGGTTGGCTTCCTACGGCCCCCGCGGCTCTCGCCACCGTCGCCGCCACCGCGGACTCTCCTCGCGGACTGACTGACCGACGGAGGGGAGGAGGAGGAGCAGGAGGGAGATGTGGGGCTGGGAGGGGGCTCTGACGTCACGGGCGGCGCGCGGCAGCGGGGGGTGGGGGGGCGGGCGGGAGCTGGGGAGGCAGGAAGGGGGCGGGGAGGGAAGCGAGCGCCGAGGTGGGAGCGACAGTCGGAGGGGCGGGGAGGGGAGGGGGGATGCAACCTCGAGGAGGAAAGGAACGAAAGAGGAAGGGAGGGATCTCACTTAAGGGGACCCGAGGGGAGGAGAAATGGGGACGGGGCGTGCCAGGAGGGCGGGGTGGGCGGAGGGAGCCGCGGGAGGCTGAAGCACGGAGGAACCAGGGTAGGAAGGGAAGGATGCGAGTGGGACGGGAGAGAAACGGGGCTGGCGCCTGAGGTCTGAAGTGGGAGTATGAGTCGATACAGTGAAGCACTGAGGATGTGGGGGAGAGGAAACGGTTTTGGAGGGAACGAGTTGGGTACGGAAGGGAGGCTGGTTTGAGGGAGTGGTGGGGTCGTGGAAGGGAGCCTGGGGCTGGGTAGACAGAAGCCTAAGAAAGGGAGACAGGACATGGAATTGAGAAAAGACGAGGGAAGGGGTACACGGAAGGAAAAGATGTGGGGAAGAGCGCGAGAGGCCTGGCCAGGGTTGGGATGGGTGGGACAGGCTGAGAAAGTCCATTAGGTGAAATCCTAGGAGGCAGCAGGCTGGAAAAGGTTCCAGCGAAGGTCGCAAGGAACCCCACAGGGGAAAACGTGGTGGGAGCTCAGGGTCTCCCAGCACCCTGCCGCCCTCTGCTGGGCTCTGCCTGACACCGGCGAGGCTCAGTCTGGGAGGAGGTGGAGCCCAGGGAAGTGTAGCCAAGCAGGGACAAGGAGAGACCGCAGCCTCGTGGAAAACCGGGACTGGAGGCAGGAAACAGGTAGGGAGGGAAGGGGGTGGCCGCAAACTGGGGTGGGTTGGGGAAGGTGCGAAAGGACGACGCCCCGTAGCCTAAGGGCAGAATTTCAGGGGGGTGGAGGGTGCAGAGTGAAGGGGAGGGCATTGCAGTGCGCGCGGTAAGGGTTTCTCATCTCACCTGAGTGTGGCGTTCGATTCACTGGCAGCAGGAAAGACGGGGATCAGAGAAGAGTTACCACTGGCGCCCAGCTTCCCTGGCCTGATCCCCAGCCCCCTCCCACACCTGTCCATGCTGAAGACCGGGGAGAGCAGAAGCCTGCGTTTCTGAGGGGAGGGTGCCTGGGGATAAGAACAAGGTGGGTCTGGGGGTAAGGGGGTCAGGACTTATTTTCTTCTTCGATTTTTCATAGGACAACAGAATTTGAGACGGGAATGCCAATAGCTAAGTTTGGGGCAGATCTTGGTTCTGTGGTGCCTGAATATTACAAAATTGGGAGTCTTTAAGAAAAAAAATTACACATACAATTGGCTTTAAGCAATTGCTGTTAAAATCTTATTTCTGCAATTTTTACAAAAGCCTGTTACCATATGAACACATATCCATCGAGCCCTCTATATTATTAGAGCACAGGAAGAGGGCCCTGTAGGTGAGGAACCTTGAAGTCTAAGTTTCAGTAGTGTCATAAGTCCACCCCTGGATGGGACTCTCAATTTCCAGAATAAAATGGTAAACTAGAAGCAGAATAACTGAGTTATGTGAGGAAAGTAAAGCCCAAGGATCTTGAAAGAATCTACCAGGGTAGAGGAAGTATGAGGCATACAAATGGGATGACTGCATCCCAGGAGAGAAGATGGCAGAGAGTTCGGGTGCCTAGAAAAGGGAGAGTTTGTAAAATTACGTGGCAAAAAAAAAAAAAAAAAAAAAGTAGACAGACACAACACTGATTCCCTTAGGGAATAATGGAGGTTGTCTAGGAAGTACAGAAAAGGACCTGTCTTCTTCCCACCCCATCCCTGAGTTGTTCTTCATCTTCTGATAATGCTGCCTCCAATTTTAAGTCTTTTACCCTAATATGTTTCCACCCCCAGAGCTCCCCTTCTCAATTTTTCTTAGTAGAATGTTTGATTTATTTCTGAGTCTTTACAATAAATCAATTATATAAGGAATGGTGAGGGATGAATTCTAGAAGAGGGTGATGCATGGAAATTTCTAAGTTTAGAGAAAGGGAAAATTGGAGTATTTAAACCTGAAGAAGGTGAGAGAGGTGAGATTCATAAAGGAAAAGAGAAAACGTGAGGTCTAAGAATCGGGAGCAGGAAGATTTTTTTAAAAGGTAAAGGAAGGAAGCCCCCAACCTACAGAGGATACCGGGGACTGCAAGAGGAAGTTTGAGGCAGGTGATGGAGGAAAAAGGGACTTTCATCTCCCCTTTCCAATGTCCTCCCCCACATTTTTATAGCTCTCCATTCTTTCCCATTATCCATTCCCACCCCACTCCCATCCTCACACAAGCGTCCTCATCAGCTGCATGCAGGCAGCTGTTCCCCTCACCCTGGCAGTGGGGCTTGGGGGTGCTCCACTGGCCCTGACTACAGATGCTCCGGGAGCTGCCCACCAGATGGAAGTCGGGGTCACACCGGAAATCCACCCGGGCTCCGTCCAGAGCTGGGAGGTCCCCACCCGTCAGGAAAACCTTCCCATTTTCCAGGGTCAAATAAGACTTGGAGCAGATTCGGACTGTGGAGAGATAGGAAAATAAGAAGAGAGGCGAGTTGAAGAAGGCTCTTTCCCTTTAAAGAGCAGGGGACTCAGGTGCAGGTTTGGGTCCACAAGCATCCTGCTCTAAAGAAAATCACATGTGAAAAGGATTTGCCTACCTATCTTCCAATCCTCCCTTACCTGTGCAAGCATCCACACATTCCCAAAAGAAAAAAAAAATTACCATTTTAGGAACCCAAGATGGGGCTATAAGCACACAAAATGGGATCTCTTCAAAGTCAGCTACAGTGGGCGGTTCTCTGGCTTTGAAATATGTAGATGTATATAACTTTGGATGCACAATCAGATTTGCTTTTCTTATTATAGTTGGCTTCTATTAATATTAAACTGGCTTTTGTTTCTTGGGCATATGGTCTCTGGGTTGGTGACAGAGGTATTCAAAAATGTGATGAAATCATTTTAGAATTTTTTTGTCATCATCTGCCACTAATGATCCTCAAAGAGAATAACTGACAAGATGAATTATCAATGTTATAGGCCAATGATCAGTGGCCTAATGAAGGGAGGATGAAATGAACTGTGCAGGCTGCTAGCTCTACTACCTCCAACCGCACAGAGCAAAATTGCTCTTATGTAGTAGTCATTCAATAAATGTATTTGTGAATTTTGGTATACTGGATTTAAAGTGCTGACTTGCAAGCAGTAATGCTAAGTTTGCGGCAGGAAAAGGAATAGTCTTGAAGAGGGGAGGGGCTTCCGAGGCTACTCACCACAGCGGCTGGGTGTGTCCATATCTGTCCAGGAGCCGTTGGCCAGGCACTTGCGGACCTTGGGCCCCACCACCTCGCGCTCCCCCCGGCACACATACTCAATCTCATAGTCCACTGGCAGGAAGTTGATAGCCTTCACCTGGTCCCGAGTCAGGCCCCGGTACCTGATGCCCCCTTCCCAGGGCGGGTGTATGATCTGGCAACCTAAGGGGTGAGTCGGGGAGGCATACAGAGAGGAATGGTGGGAAAGAGGAAAAGGCAGGCTCCCCAGTGGGAGGAAGGGGAGAGTAGGGCGTGGTCTGTGGGCAGGCTGGGGACAGAGGAAGAGGGATGGGGCACTAGAGGGTGGGAGTGGGGACAGGTACAGATCCCCTGGCTAAAGGACAGAGAGTAAAGGGCCAGGGTTAAAGCTGATGAGAGAACCCACAAGTGGGGAGGGAAGGGTGCTGGGTGGAGGTAAGAAAGAAAAGTAATTAAGAAATCATGAAGGGTATGATATGTGGGTGGAGCTTTTCTTTAAAAAAAAAAAGGCTAAATGAGGATATTCGAGTTGAATTAGGATAGGAGGATAAAGGGAGGCTAATAAGATCATCTGGACAGCAAAGTGGGACCAAGAAAAGGGAGTAATTGAGGTAGTAATGTGGGGCTGGGAAAGGGGATTGAGGCGGAGAAAATGCACAGGAAGGTGGTATAGTGTAGCAATGTGGGCAGAGAAAAGAGGTGCTGGATAGTAACGTGGGGTGACAGAAGGAGGTCAGCAGTAGTAAAGTCGGGCCGAGCAGAAGGGGTTGCCAGACCGGGATGATATGTGGGACTGATGGGATAGTGATGAGGACCAGAAATGAGGAGATGCAGGGAAAGGGAAGTGGAGCGAAGGAGGGCCCGAGGTCGTCGAAGAAGGATGCACCTTCTGAGGTGGCGTTGGGGGTCTGCACCCCGCCCGCGCCCGGGGGGCGGAGGAAGAGTGGCGCCAGTAGCAGCAGCAGCAACATCTAAGTGAGAGGCGGCCATGAGGACTGGACCGAGCCCCGCCGGCGCGGCCCGCACCCGGAGACTACTCGACCTCTTGCCGGTTGCCTCGCAGGCTCCGACCGGGCTCAGCCTGGGGACCAAGAGAGCGCCCCGCGGAGGAGGCGGGGGCGGAGCCCCGCGCGGGGTGGGGGGAGAGGAGGAGAGAAAGCCTGTCCCCACCCTCCTCCTGCCTCCCTCGGCCCCCAACCCTCCCGGGACTCCACCTCTCACCACCTCCTCTCCCCCGGCCCCCGCGGCTCGCAGAAGCCTGGCTTACCCACGCTCCCGGCATCGGCCGCCTCAGCGCTCCCCGATTCCATCCCCGCGGTTCCTCCTCTCCCCCAGCCCCGCTTCCCCCAGCTGGGCCCTGCGCCCACTGCCCCCTCCCCCACCACGCCGCGCGCCCCCTCTCCGAGCCCTGCTAACCCGGGGCCCTGGCTCTTACCTCGGCGCGCGGGCCCGGCTCCCCGGCTCTCCCCGGGCCTCAAGGCCCCAGGCCCGGCCGCTCCTCCCCGCTCCCCCCTCCCTTCTCCTCCACCTTTCTCCTCCTCCCGTCCCTCCTCCCCTCGAATCCAGGCTCCAGCCTGGCCAGGGTCTCTCCCCTCCTCTCTCGCTTCCCCCAAACCCCACCCCTGTCTCTTCTTCCCCGGGGCGGCGGCAGCCACGGGAGCGGGGAGCGGGGAGCCGGGAGGGAAGGAGGCGGCGCCGGGGACCAGGGAGAGCTCCCGGGCGGAGGGAAGAAGGAGGGTGCAAGGGAAGGCAGGGCGGGGGGAAGAGAGGGGAAGACCGGGGAGAGGGCGCCTCCCACAACCCGAGCCCCGGGAGCCGCCCCGGATCCCAGCCCCGCCCTGGACCGCCCACAGCGCGGTGGGGCGGGCGGTGGAGAGGCGCGGGGCTGAGAGGTGGGGGAGAGGGAGGTGCCCTGGTGCACACGCACTCGTCGGGGGGCGCCGGTCACTGCCGAGGGACCTGCGGGCCAAACAACTGGAAGCTGGGGTGGGGGAGAGGGAACCCGAGCCAAAGGCAGAGGAGCTGGCGCTGAGACAGGGAGTCTGGGATGAAGGTGGAGAAAGACGGCTGCACAAAGAGAAGGCAGCCCTAGATCCGGGTGAGAGGAGAGAGGCAGAGGCAGATGCCCAGGAGAACTGCGACCGGAGGGCGAGAAAGAAGCCTGGGTCAGAAGGAGGTGGGGGAGGGGGACTGAGGACCACCTAAGCGCAAGAAGGGTTGGGTGTAGAAGAGATTTCTGGGAGACTAGAGCAGCTCCATGGTCCAGCAGCATTGCTACTCGCCTGCTCTGCAGGGAACGCGCAGAACGGATTGGAGGCAAAAAACAAAACAGGGAGGGGGACATCAAGGAGAGAAATTGAAGTACGAAAGGAGTAAAAGGACAAGAGAAAAGAACCTCAGGGTGGTTTAGAAGCCAGTATTACCTGATGTACTCCAGCAGAGCCTAGCAAACAGTATTTCTTGACCAAGGGCAAACTGGAAGCTCTAAAGACAGCAGGTACAGACCTTTTTGACGGCTCCAGAAGCTCTTGGCTATACCTTGAAGTGGAGGGGTGTGTGTGTGTGTGTGTGTTGTGCTGTTGTTGTTCGTAGGCCTGAGTTTGGGCTGGGAGAGGAAACAGTGGGCTCCTTGTTGGGGGGGACAAAAAAAAAGCTGCTTTCTGGCTGGTCCTAGGGGGAAAAATGGTAGGAAGAAACCAAACACTGAGAGACTGACTAGAATTGAGATTCTCAACCTCCAACCCTTTTTTACAATAAATATTTTGTAATGACACTTTTACTGTCCTAAATTGAGATTCATAGATGAGGCTCACGCCTGAAATCCCAGAACTTTGGGAGGCCGAGGAGGACTGATCACTTGAGCTCAGGAGTTTGAGACCAGCCTGGCCTGGCCAGCATGGCGAAACCCCATCTCTACTAAAAATAGAAAAATTAGCGTGGTGTGATGGTGTGCGCCTGTAATCCCAGCTGAGACACCAGAATCGCTTGAACCCGGGAGGCAGAGGTTGCAGTGAGCCAAGATCGCACCACTGCACTCCAGCCTGGGTGACAGAGCAAGACTCCATCTCAAACAAAAAGAAAGGGAAGGAGGGAGAGAAAGTCATAGATGATATAACCTACCTACATACACAACTTTAAACAGAAAGCAAAATGCTTCCCTTTCTGTAACGTAAAGGGGAAATGAAAGAAAAGTAACTTGCAATAAAATAACATAAACAGTATTTTAATGTGTGAGTGCCAAGGCCCGACTACCCTAGAAGTCCTGATGGAGTAAGCAGATGCTTCCACCTATTCACAGAACCACGGGGATGAAACTGCTACCAACACAGGCTGATCCAGGTGCTGAGTTGGTGACTCAACTACCTCCAGCATGTTGCCATCAATGAAGTGATTTAACAAAATGTTGAACAACTCTTGGTAGCAAAGTTAATTTTCCCTAATTTTACACACAACTATAATTGCATTCCTAGAAAGTTCACTGTATATTTAAAAAAATATTTTAAAACTGTATTAAGTTATAGGCTCAGATAATTAAACACAGGTTTTCACTACGTGAATGTCCTGGGGGACTTTTGAGAATCTGGGTGAGGAACAATTCTTCAACATGTAGGTAGTGCTTTGAAGAATATCTTACACCTCTGCCCCAACCATAAATGTCAATAGTGCCCCTTCCCTTATCACCTGAGGTTGGGAGTTCGAGACCAGCCTGACCAGCGTGGAGAAGCCCCAACTCTACTAAAAATACAAAATTAGCCAGGCATGGTGGTGCATGCCCGTAATCCTAGCTACTCAGGAGGCTGAGGCAGGAGAATCACTTGAACCCGGGAGGCGGAGGTTGCAGTGAGCCAAGATCATGCCATGCCATTGCACTTCAGCCTGGGTGACAAGAGTCAAACTCAGTCAAAAAAAAAAAAAAAAAAAAAAAAACAGCTAAAAGATGCATCAAAATGTTAACAAGGATTGCCTCTGGGCCATTAATTGTTGCATAACTTTTCTTTTTTACTTTTTTTTTTTTTTAAACAAGAAGTTTATTTAAACAACAAGACGCTTGACTTGAAGGGAAAACTATCTAGGATTCTTTTTTGTTTTAGAGTAATTTATCCCTACTTAAAGACAGATTGCTCTGCATGTAACAGCTAAGTACAAAAAAGTTATAAAATTGTCCTTGGTTTTACAATGATAAATGAAAAACATTAAAATTCTCCAATTGAACAAGGTATGCAAGGATTTTTATGTTGTTGTTTTTTTGTTGTTGTTGTTAAAACAGTGAGAGCAAAATAACTTACTGGAATATAAAGATAAGAGCTGAATGAGCATGCCACTAATGGAGAAAGGGGGTATTTTCACAGAATCAGTATTTTCCCCCCCGTCTCCACTTGATGTCAATCAAAACATACCATTGGCTGTTTAGTTTTAAAAAAAAAAAGTAATATGCTTGTGCACATATACCAGTTACTTTATGTACAGTAAAGGAATGGGGAAGGGGGAAATGAAAGAATAGAGAAAACTATACGGTAGTAGTCAGGATGTGGTGGAAGCAAATTGCAGTTTTCTAATTGAGAATGTAATCTTGGTCTTTAAAGAACAGAGTTCTGGAGTAAAGAAGCAGGTTCCCTTTTCAGTAGACACCTCCCGTCTGCTGTTGGAACACATCAATTGTATCTTCATCCTCCATTTCCAACTGTGCAGGTGTGTCTGTTTCATTGGTTGCCCGTCGAATCGGAATCTGATCTGCCTCATTGACAATCCCTGTCGTTCACAATAGGCTTTCATTAGTTTACTAAGTGGTGTATGCCTCTTAATCTTAAACTGCACCACAGAACCATCCTGCCCCGCCACCTTCAAATTAATATGATCGTTGTTCTCAGTCTTGACTCCTTCCTTGGGCTTTTCTTCGGCCATGGCGAGCGCCGGAGTCTCCTCAGCTGCCGCTTCACAAAAGAGGTACCAGGTCCGCTCCAAACGAGCACACAAGCAGCACCAGGAGCGGCAGAAGAAGGAGGCGGCAGCAGTGGACAAGGGGAGAGGGTGCGCGCACGTCGTGCTCTCCCTCCCTCCACCCTCACTTTTCTTTTTTTTTCTTTCTTTTTTTTGGTGGGGGGACGGAGTTTCACTCTTGTCACCCAGGCTGGAGTGCAATGGCGTGATCTCGACTGACGGCGACTTCCGCCTCCCGGATTCAAGCGATTCTCCTGTCTCAGCCTCCCGAGTAGCTGAGACTACAGGTGCACACCACCATGGCTGGCTAAATTTTGTATTTTTAGTAGAGACAGGGTTTCACAATATTGGTCAGGCTGGTCTCGAACTCCTGACCTCAGGTGATCCACCTGCCTCAGCCTCCCAAAGTGCTGGGATTACAGGCATAAGCCACTGTGCGGGGCCTGCACACTTTTCTTTCGTCATATTTGTTGTTCAACTTTTATTCAAATGTTTTACAAGTGTCTCCTCTATAAATCATTTTTAATTGATTTATAAAGGTTTAAAGAAAACCTTCCTAGCAAGTTGCATCAGTATAGCTAAAATCTGTTACTTGTTTGGGAGGCAGAGGCATTTGAGGGTACAGACAAGGGCTCCAATTATGTTCATTATACAAACCACTCACCTTTTTCCACCAGTAGCTACAACTTCCCCCTTTCACATCTTTTCATATTCCAATGTCACTGCCAGGATTCCTGGCCATATTTTTCAGGATATTTGTAGAGGTCCTTCCAGAACCACTACTTGAGTATCCTAATTTCATCCTCCCCACAATCAATCTACTTCCTTCTTTTCCTTTTACATCAAGCACAAAACTTCTTTCCTCTGGAAGGATCCCCAGGCTTGATCCCATCCTTCTCTCACTTCTGTACAATTTGTGCCTTTGGCAATGCCATCTCCTTTTGTAGTTTTTGACGGTTTTTCATAGAGATAGTGGAGTTCCTACTCAGATTACTGGAAAATGACAAATCTTATTCATTTTAGTTCCCATACTTTCTTTTTTTTTAATAATTTTTATTTTTTATTCTTATTTATTTATTTTTATTTTATTTATTTATTTATTTTTTGAGACAGTCTCACACTGTCGCCCGGGCTGGAGTGCAGTGGCGCGATCTCGCTCACTGCAACCTCTGCCTCCTGGGTTCAAGCAATTCTCTTGCCTCAGCCTCCTGAGTAGCTGGGAATTACCGGCGCCCCACCACCACGCCCAGCTAATTTTTTGTATTTTTAGTAGAGACGGGGTTTCACCATGTTGGCCAGGCTGGTCTCAAACTCCTGACCTCATGATCTGCCCGCCTCAGCCTCCCAAAGTGCTGGGATTACAGGCATGAGCCACGGGGCCTGGCCTCCCATACTTTCTTTCTACTTCCTTTTCTCTCTTCTGCCTCATCTTCCATCCATCCCTGAGAGCATATAGCCCAGAATTTAACACTCTGGGAGCCCTGAAAACATATTAACCAACGTAGTTCACTTGATTGATGATCAGGTAGATGCTAGGTACATTTTGGGAGTATCTCATTAAATTCTCACCTAACCACACAGAGTGGATATTCATGTTCTATACTGAGCCTAGTAAACTACCATTTAAAGAAAGTAAGAAGCAAATCAGAGGTCACACAGCTATAAAGCTGACAGAGCCAACATTTGAACTTAAGTTCGTTACCCTATTTTCAAATTCTTTCTACTGCATTGAGAGGCTTAGTTTTGAGGCACTTCTCTCACCCAACTCCCACTCCAAGTCTTTTTCTTTCTTTCTTTCTTTCTTTTTTTTATTGAGACGGAGTCTTGTTCTTTTGCCCAGGCTGGAGTGCAGTGGCACAATCTCGGCTCACTGCAACCTCCGCCTCCCGGGTTCACACCATTCTCCTGCCTCAGCCTCCCGAGTAGCTGGGACTACAGGCGCCCGCCACCATGCCCGGCTAATTTTTTTGTATTTTTAGTAGAGTCGGGGTTTCACTGTGTTAGCCAGGATGGTCTCGATCTCCTGACCTCGTAATCCGCCCACCTCGGCCTCCCACAGTGCTGGGATGACAGGTGTGAGCCACCACACCCGGCTCCAAGGCATTTTCTGTCAAGGGTCAAACTGCAGTTCTATTCTCTCATCTAAAGTAGTGGTGATCACTGGGTGAATGGAAGATGTTCATGTCCTCTTGGGTTAGGATGAAAGACCTGTCTTCTGGGAGAGTTTTCTGTCCTGTAACAGCTCTTGCTCTTTAGAAAAATGTATAGGGCAAAGGTTTATTATTCAAACGTGAAGTTATTTACACTCTGGGATTCACTCTGGCTTTTTAGTGAGGTTTTGAATCCTTTGCATCATATTTAATATCACTAAAATAGGATATTTTTGTGAAACTGTTTGATCCTTCCCCTCAGTTTCCATTTGTGTGTTCTCTTTCTTCCCGTCTTGATAGGCACAGGCACTCAGAATCACTGGGCCAGAAAGAAGTAAGAGAGTAGGCCGGGCACGGTGGCTCATGCCTGTAATCCCAGCACTTTGGGAAGCCAAGGCGGGCAGATCACGAGGTTATGAGATCAAGACCATCCTGGCTAACACGGTGAAACACCGTCTCTACTAAAAATACAAAAAAAATAATTAGCTGGGCGTGATGGTGGGCGCCTGTAATCCCAGCTACTTGGGAGGCTGAGGCAGGAGAATGGCGTGACCTGGGAGGCGGAGCTTGCAGTGATCAGAGATCGAGCCACTGCACTCCAGCCTGGGCGACAAAGTGAAACTCCGTCTCAGGAAAAAAAAAAAAAAAAGAGAGAGAGTAAGGGAACATCTTTCGTTAATAAACCCTCTCTATTGCTCCCCACACACAATCCTAGTTTGGTTGCTGTCTTCGTCTGTTTGGGCTGCCATAACAAAATCTCTTGCACCGGGTAACTTATGAACAACAGAAATGTATTTCTGACAGTTCTGGAGGCCGGGAAATCCAAGATTAAGGCACTGGCAGATTCAGTGTCTGGTGAGGGCTGGCTTCCTCATAGACTGCCATCTGCCATCTGCGATCTAGCTGTGTCTTCACATGGTGGAAGGGCAAACAAGCTCCCTGGGGCCTCTTTTAGAAGGGCACTAATCTCATTTGCAAAAGTCCCCACCACTTAATACCACATTGCATTGGGGATTAGGTTTCAGAACATGAATTTTGGGGGAACACAAACATTCAGACCATAGCAGTTGTACATTCTTGGCAGTTCTGGCCTTGGTTTATTGTGCCAATAAAAGTAAGCTCATGAAGCTATTTCTATCATGTCTTTACAGGCATGTACAGGTGAGCCCAGTTTGGGAGTCACAAAACTTCAGTGAAATTAAAAAGCCACACTATGAGTACCTGCACTAGCACTTACCACTCTCACACACAAGAATCCCTGAGGCAGTGGGGATCCTACCCCTGTCTCAGGAGTGCACAGAGCCAATAACCAAATTACAACATTGACATTGTGAAGTTGCCTCTAGAAATAATTTCTCAATAAGTACACCTTTATATAATAAGTGAATGAACACAATGTAATTAAATGCTAGATTAACCTAAGAAACAAAAAGGAAAATAGCTTCTTTGTCCGTTCATCTACAGGATAATGAGGTCATGTTAAAAGACTTAGAAAAGGTTCAGTTCTCCTGCCGGGCGCCGTGGCTCATGCCTTTAATCCCAGCACTTTGGGAGGCCTAGGCGGGCGGATCACCTGAGATCAGGAGTTTGAGACCAGCCTAACCAACATGGAGAAACCACCCATCTACTAAAAATACAAAATTAGTCGGCCATGGTGGTGCATGCCTGTAATCCCACCTACTCGGGAGGCTGAGGCAAGAGAATCGCTTGAACCCAGGAGCTGGAGGTTGCAGTGAGCTGAGATTGTGCCATTGCACTCCAGCCTGGGCAACAGGCAAAACTGTCTCCAAAAAAAAAAAAAAAAAGGTTCAGTTCTCATAAACACAAATTTAATGAGCATTTTGAAGATCTCAAAATAAGTATTATATTTAATTAAACGTGTAATTAAGTATATACTGGTATGAATATCTACAAATAATTATTCATACTAATCTGAAAAACGTATGCATCATAATGTGTGTATATAATTGGTTGCTAGGGGATTTGTTTGTTCATTTTGCTGCAATAGATTTCTGTCTCTCGTCATATTCTGTTCAAGTACCTAAAATGATTGCTCACTTATTCGAAGCACACTAATGAAATAATACTCAGAGTAAAAGGATATATCACCCAGATTTTTCTATTAGAAGCTACACAATACTCAAAAATCTATCATTTAATATGTGTATGCAGGTCTAAAGCCCATAATAAGCAAAAATATATTTTCACGTTAAATGTATGGCTATTTACACTAGATGAGGTAAAGAAAGACTATAAATAGCTTCACATCTCGTTTTGTCACAGAATGAATGCAAGTCAGGCCAGGCTTTGCCGCCAAATGAGTTACAAAATTTTGGTTTTCAGAGTATTGTGAATTTTGGAATTGCAGAAAAGGATATGTGAAACTGTTTATAAACATGAGAAGATGTTTACAGATAGATGTTTTAGAAGTCAAATGAACAAATCTGAAGCAACAGACTAGAAATTCTATTCATGGAAATATGATAAAAATGCCAGTAAGAGGGCTGGGCGTGGTGGCTCACACCTATAATCCTAGCACTTTGGGAGGCCGAGGCGGGTGGGTCGGAGTCCGAGACCAGCCTGGGCAACATGGCGAAACCCCATCTCTACCAAAAATACAAAACCCCGTCTCTACCAAAAATACAAAAAATCAGTTGGGCATGGTGGCAGGTGCCTGTAATCCCAGCTACGGGGGAGGCTGAGGAAGGAGAATTGCTTGAACCTGGAAGGCAGAGGTTGCAGTGAGCCGAGATCACACCACTGCGTTCCAGCCTGGGCGACAGAGCAAGACTCCATCTCAAAATAAAATAAAATAAAATAAAATAAATTTTAAAATGCCAGTAAGGATCTCCATAAAGGCTATGTATGAAAACCTGACCATGTCACATCCATGACCCTATTACAGCAGGTCAGATTAATCTTACCCTAGTCCAGAGAACCACGGGAACCACTGAGTCCTAGTGGAGGGAAAGCCTGGAACAGATGTGAAGCAAGCTTGGCTTTTAGCAATTGAGAGTAAACAAACACCTGCTGAGTTTACTCTTCCTTGCCTGTCTTTCTAAGCCATCACTCTGAAGACCTAAAAAGCAGACATGACTCATACACACCTTCAGATGCTTTCAGTATTTGTTACACCTAGATCTGTGCAGAAACTGAATACCTTATTGGTGCATAATTTACAAAGAATTCTCACATTAGCTCTTCTAATTCTTTCTGTTGTTTCTATATGATAATATCTCCATTTGTCAGATAGGAAAACTGAAGCTCAGAAAGTTTGAATGAACTTCATAAGATCACACAGCCAATAAATACCAGAGCTTGGCCTCAAAGTCAAGTCTCAGGTCCTTCTGCCCTTCACTAACAGTGCTCCAGCCATGGTCGTCTGACTGCTGTTCTTTAAACTTCCTTAACTTTCAACTCAGAAACCAAACACACCCAGCTCCCTCTGCCTGGGCGTGGTGCTCTGTTCAGCCTCCTCACCCCACACCCATGTTGCTAACAGCTTAAATGGCACCTCCTCAGTAAAGCCTCCCCTGAATTCCCCAGACTTAGAACACTGTTTCCCCAATCCCACTAGCCACTCTCATATATGGCATACTGTAGTCATTGTTTTGTTTGTTTGTTTTTTAGAAAGAGAGAGAGAGAGAAAGAAAAGAAGAAACGAAAGAAAAGAAAAAAAGAAAAGAAAAGAAAATCAAAATCCATGTGGGTGTGGTGGCTCATGCCTGTAATCCCAGCACTTTGGGAGGCCGAGGCAGGCAGATAGCTGAGGTCAGGAGTTCCAGACCAGCCTGACCAATATGGTGAAACCCCGTCTCTACTAAAAATACAAAAATTAGCTGGGGGTGGTGGTGCATGCTAAAGGGAAGGGAAGGGGAAGGGGAAGGGAGAGAGGAAGGAAGGGAGGGAGGAAGGAAGGAAGGAACTTATCTCCGTCTGGGTAACATGAGGAGACCCTGTCTCTAACAAAAATTAAAAATATTAGCCGAGTGTGGTGGCATGAGCCTGTAGTCCCAGCTACTTGGGAGGCTGAGGCAGGAGGATCGATTTAGCCTAGGAAGTCAAGGTCAGTAAGCTGCGATCATGCCAATGCACTCCAGCCTGGGTGACAGAGAGAGATTCTGTCTCAAAATAAAAATAAAACCACAAAACTTATCTCAGTGGTAATTAAGGTAACTGTGGAATCGTGTATTTACATTTGCCTTCCTGACCAGACCATAAACTCCAGGAGGGCAGGGATTTTGACTATGTGGCTCATTTTATCCCACTAAAAGAGCTACATATTTTCTGACTCAGAGATGAGTTTCATTCCATTGTACAGAATGATCACACCAGTTTCCAAGTCTATTAATCTAGCGGTCTCTGTTGTTTGTTGAAGACCTACTAGGTATTGGTAAAATGGGTTGCTTTGTTCCATGGGCCATAATAGTGACACATTCTAAACACATTTAAGTCATTCCACCCTATAAGTTACAGGATAATAATAATAATAGCATTTATTTTACTATAACCAGTTTTGGGCTGTGTGTTTTACTTGGATTGTCTCACTTGCTCCTTATAGCATTCTCTGATATAGATATTAGTCTTCCCATTTACAAAATGGGAAAACTGAAACTCAAACATGTTTAATAATCTGCACAGTGTCTCACATGTAACAAGCCAACATGAGATTACTGATTCCAAAGACCCTGCTCAGCCCAATGACAAGATGTGGAAAGCACCCTCAAGGCACCCAGGGGTCTCTCTCCCTGAGAGTCCTGTGCATATCAGCAATGCTGCTAAGGATTAAATCACTGCGGTTATCACTATGTGGGTAAGATTTCTGTTAGTAGAAGATCCAGAAGATTCACCCTGCCATAGAGCAGGGGGCCTTGGCTGAGCCATAGGCAGAATCACTCTCCAAAAAGACTTACCAGTGTTTATCTGAATATTTTCTTTTAGCAATAACTTTACTTACTTGCGTTATTTGTAGGTGCTGCCATTTTGCTGTCCATGATGCTACTATGCTCAGTACCCTTACTGTACTGCCCAGTAGCCCTTACCATTAGCAAACTAAAGCTTCCTCACCAGCATTAGACCTGGCAAGACCTCTGTGCATCCCCCACCACCCATGAGTATTTTGATAGCATTGCAAGTATAATCTCTGGTGCATGCACAAATTCTGCTCCACATAGCAGCGCTAATGGTGGCCCACATCGGGAATAGGAGTAGAGCAAGATGTTACCAGGAAGAGGGCCTTACTTCTCTTCTCTCTCTTCTCGCTGCTTTTTTGTTTGTTTGTTTGTTTGTTTGGTTTGTTTTGTTTTTTAGATGGAGTCTTGCTCCATTGCCCAGGCGAGTGTAGTGGCGCAATCTCAGTTCACTGCAACCTCTGCCTCCCAGGCCTGTCCCAGCCTCCCGAGTAGCTGGGACTACAGATGCCTGCCACCACGCCTGGCTAATTTTTGTGTTTTTAGTAGAGATGGGGATTCACCTTGTTGGTCGGGCTAATCTCAAACTCCTGACCTCAGGTGATTCACACGCCTTGACCTCTCAAAGTGCTGGGATTATAGGCATGAGCCACTACGTTCAGCCATTCGCTGCTCTTAAGAAAGTACTTTTCCAAAGATCATTCTCCTTGGTCTTATCTTAAGATCCTGCTATGAAATAGGGACACGGGTGGAAAATTTTCACCTGTGCCTGCAGCAAACTTTCATTCTGTCTGAATAATTATAAGTAGGATGGGGGAGGGGAGAAGAAAAAGAAAGAGACCATGATCTGAAGAACCTTAACTGTTCCCCTGTTATCCCTGGTTACTGTCAAGCAGCTAGCAGGCTAGGCTAGGTGGGGTATCTTCTTTAACTCTACTCCTGCATTAGCTGTTCTAAATCCTAGAACTCATGCCCTGTTTGAAATTTCTTTCCCTATGCCCAACTCAAGTGATGCCATCCTATTTTCTATTTTCCACCATGGGAAAAATGGAAAATAACAGGAGAAATGTATTAAGAAAGCATTCTTGAATTTGAGTTTGTTAACTTTTTTTTTTTTTTTAACAGTCTTGCTCTGTCACCCAGGCTGGAGTGCAGTGGTGCAAGCTTGGCTCACTGCAATCTCCACCTCCTGGGCTTAAGCAATTCTTGTGCCTCTGCCACCTGAGTAGTTGGGATTATAGGCATGCACCACCACGCCCAGCTAATTTTTGTAATTTTAGTAGAGATGGGGTTTCACCATGTTGGCCAGGCTGGTCTTGAACTCCTGACCTCAAGTGATCCTCCCACCTCGGCCTCCCAAAGTGCTGGGATTACAAGCATAAGCCACCACCCCCGGCCTGAATTTGTTAACTTCTTACCAACATTTTACAAAGAAGATTGAAGGTAATGTGGGTTCTAAGACTGAAGAGTACAAGGTAAGCTGGTGGTTAATGGGGAGGAGGGATGATGGATGAACTGGTCAGGGAAGAGGATGAAATGGCTCAAAATAGAGGTACAAATAGAATGGGCTGGGCTCCTCCAACCATTCCTTGTGATTTTATTTTTACTTTTTTTTTTTTTTTTTTGGTGGAGTTTCACTC
Organism: Homo sapiens; assembly: GCF_000001405.40. Classification (NCBI taxonomy): domain Eukaryota; kingdom Metazoa; phylum Chordata; class Mammalia; order Primates; family Hominidae; genus Homo; species Homo sapiens. The sequence continues at coordinate 910,202 of NT_167246.2, forward strand.
TTGTTGCCCAGGCTGGAGTGCAATGGTGCGATCTCGGCTCACTGCAACTTCCACCTCCTGGATTCAAGTGAGTCTCCTGCCTCAGCCTTCTGAGTAGCTGGGAATGCAGATGCGATCTCGGCTCACTGCAACTTCCACCTGGGTTCAAGTGATTCTCCTGCCTCAGCCTTCTGAGTAGCTGGGAATGCAGGCGTGTGCCACCACACATGGCTAATTTTTTGTATTTTTAATAGAGATGGGGTTTTGTCATGTTGCCCAGGCTGGTCTTGAGCTCCTGACCTCAGATGATCCGCCCACCTCGGCCTCCCAAAGTGCTGGGATTACAGGTGTGAGCCACCGCGCCTGATCTATTTTTACTTTTTTAAAAGACAGGTCTCACTCTATTGCCCAGGCTGCTCTTGAACTCCCGGCCTCAACCAATTCTTCCTGCTCAGCCTCCTGAGTAGTTGGGACTACAGCACTCACAACTGTGCCTGACCCTTCTCTTAATTTTAACTCCTGAGTGATTTTCTTCTCTGGACCCCAAGGAGTCATGATATCTCTAAATTATATCCTGAAGTTATTTCAACTTTAGAAAATAAAGTTTTAGGCCTGGTTCAGTGGCTGACACCTGTAATCCCAATACTTTGGGAGGCTGAGGCAGGCAGATTGCTTGAGCCCAGGAGTTTGAAGCTAACATGGCAAAACCCCATCTCTATCAAAAAAAAAAAAAGAAGAAGAAGAAGAAGAAGAAAAGAAAAAAGGCTAGGCGCGGTGGCTCACACCTGTAATCCCAGCACTTTGGGAGGCTAAGGTGGGCAGATCACGAGGTCAGGAGTTCGAGAACAGCCTGACCAACATAGTGAAACCCTGTCTCTATTAAAAATACTAAAATTAGCCAGGTGTGGTGGTGGACACCTGTAATCCCAGCTACTCAGGAGGCTGAGGCAGGAGAATCACTTGAACCGGAGAGGCAGAGGTTGCAGTAAGCTGAGTTTGCGCCATTGCTCTCCGCCTGGGTGACAGAGTGAGACACCATCTCAAATAAAAAAGAAAAGAAAAAAAAGATCTTGGAATGCTTTTTTTCTGCCTGTGTATTGATATTATTCTTAAGGGGCTCATAAGAAAACTAAATATATATATTTACATATATATATATATATATATATATATATAAAATCACCCAGGTTGGAGTGCAGCGGTGCAATCTCAGCTCACTGCAATATCTGCCTCCAGGGTTCAAGCAATTCTTTTGCCTCAGCCTCCCCAGTAGCTAGGATTTCAGGCATGCACCACCATGCCTGGCTAATTTTTGTATTTGAAGTAGAGACAGGGTTTCGCCATGTTGGCCAGGCTGGTTTTGAACTCTGGACCTCAAATGACCCTCCTGCCTAAAGTACTGGGATTACAGGGGTGAGCCACCATGCCTGGCCCAGAAAATATTATTGTTATTTAATATGACCTGCCATAACTACCATTAAAAGTAGTACAGGTGTGCAAAAGAAACTTATCTGGCTATGGCTGGGCGCGGTGCTCACGCCTGTAATCCCAGCACTTTGGGAGGCTGAGGCAGACTGATCATGAGGTCAGGAGATCAAGACCATCCTGGCTAACATGGTGAAACCCTGTCTCTACAAAATATACAAGAAAAAATTAACCGGGCATGGTGGCGGGTGCCAGCTACTCGGGAGGCTGAGGCAGGAGAATGGCGTGAACCTGGGAGGCGGAGCTTGCAGTGAGCAGAGATCGCGCCACTGCACTCCAGCCTGGGCAAGAGAGCAAGACTCCGTCTCAAAAAGAAAAGAAAAGAAAAGAAATCTTACCTGGTTGTAAGATTTTTTTCTCATTTAGTCAATAAATATTTATGGAATAGGGCAGTTTGGGATCACACACATGAGCTAAGCATGATGTCAGCCTTCATAGCTCCTACAATGTGGTATGGTGATTTTTTTTTCTTTTTGAGATGGGAGTCTCACTGTGTCAACCAGCCTCAAACAGTCCTTCCATCTCAGCCTCCCAAGTACCTGGGACTACAGGTGCATGCCACCATGCCCAGCTACTTTTTTGTATTTTTGATAGAAACAGGGTTTTGCCATGTTGGCCAGGCTGATCTCAAATTCCTTTCCTCAAGTGATCCGCCTGCCTTGGCCTCCAAGAGTGCTGGGATTACAGGCATGAGCCACTGCACCCAGCCAATGATTTTAAAACTGGAATACAGAAAGAGAAGAAGAAAGTCATGCTCCATCTTTATTATTTAAAAATCAGAACAGATACACATATTTGTTGTGAGCACTAATTAAAATATCCTTAAAGTTTCCTTACCTTGGAGTGGAATTATTTGCATATGTATACACATGATGCTGACTTTAGAAGAAAAGTTACAAGTTAAAACACGTTTGATTAATAAAAGAAAAAGAAATAAATTATACATAAATTTAGCTTTGTTGCTGAAAATCACCTCTCCAAACATAGAGTTCAGGTTGGGGCAAATAAAAAATTGCATAAAACAAAAAGGCTAAGAAATGGTACAAAAAACTCAGAGAACCACTACTTCACGTTTCCCAATAAAGCATCTTTTATATTTATAAAAGTTAAGCCTGCATATCTCTGCCCCCAATTGCAGCAGAAACACCTGAAAAAGAATGCCAGTCTGGTCTTGCTCTGACAATGGTTTTCTGACTGACCTTGAGCCTGTCACAACCCGTCTGGCCTCAATTTCATCAACTGTAAAATAAGAATAAAACTATTTGATATCTTTAACTCACATACTATTGTGAGAAATAAATACAATCATAGACAAATGTTTTCAGAATGTGAAAATGCTATAGGAACACACTTTTTCTCCAGTGGCTGGCATAAAAGTGTTGGTATGCTATACCACCAAGTCATTAGATATGAGTTAATTTCTGGATTACTGTTTCAGTAAGAATAAGCTCTACACAACTTCAGCAAGTGATGTTGGTATGTCATCCACAAAGTTCTATCACCCTATTCCATAGCATACCCCTGTTGAACTTCCCACATCCCTGTCTTCCCTTAGCTTCCTGTATCCAACCTCAGCGCAATAGCTCAGTTTGACCATTAGATGGTACCAGTTACAAGGCAAACTTAGGTCCCTTCAGAAACTGAGCATTTCTAAAAAGCAAATATTTTTTCAGGTTTGTTTGTAACTTAAACAACAAAAAAATCATTATTTTAAAGGCCATATGCTCACTGTGAAAATATATCAGGTGGTGTATGAAATAATAAGTAAATTATCTGCCGGGCGCGGTGGCTCACGCTTGTGATCCCAGCACTTTGGGAGGCCTAGGCGGGCAGGCAGATCACGAGGTCAGGAGTTGGAGACAAGCCTGGCCAACACAGTGAAACCCTGTCTCTACTAAAAATACAAAAATTAGGCCGGGCGCGGTGGCTCACGCCTGTAATCCCCGCACTTTGGGAGGCCGAGGCGAGCGGATCACGAGGTCAGGAGATCGAGATCATCCTGGCTAACACGACGAAACCCCGTCTACTTAAAAAAAAATACAAAAATTAGCCGAGGGTGGTGGCGGGCGCCTGAAATCCCAGCTACTCAGGAGGCTGAGGCAGGAGAATCGCTTGAACCTGGGAGGCGGAGGTTGCAGTGAGCTGAGATCACGCCACTGCACTCTAAGAGTGAAACCATGTCTCAAAAAAAAAAAAAAGTCAAAAATACTAATAAAAATACTAATCTCGTAGTTAACAGATTGCTGTGACCTAGAGCAAGTAAAGGTGTAATTATCAGCCTATAGGGGTTAGAGTGGCAAGAAGATGCCTGAGGGTGAGCCTACAGCCTAAAAGATAATAGAATACAAAGGCTGAAGACCTACAGGCAGGGATTCTTTGTCATTCATTCTTTCAGCAAACTTATTCTAATATGTATCCCTCACTATTCAATGCCCAGGAGGGCACAGGGAAAATAAGACGAAGTCCTGCCCTCACTGGCTAACATTCTAAGCACAGGTGCTGCACAAGAGGTGTTATGTTTTTTGGGGGAGCCAGACACAGGCCTAAGCACTTTATGTACCTTGTCTCATTTAATCCTCACATCAGCACCACGAGGTGACAGAATTATCATTTTGCAGTTAAATAAATTGATATTTCTTCATGGCCAGGTGCAGTGGCTCACGCCTGTAATCCCAGCACTTTGGGAGGCTGAGGCGGGTGGATCACCTGAAGTCGGAGTTCGAGACCAGCCTGACCAACATGGAGAAACCCCATCTCTACTAAAAATACAAAATTAGCCGGGCATAGTGGCGCATAGCCTGTAATCCCAGCTACTCGGAAGGCTGAGGCAGGAGAATCACTTGAATCCAGGAGGTGGAGGTTGCGGTGAGCCGAGATCGCGCCACTGCACTCCAGCCTGGGCAACAAGAGCAAAACTCCGTCTCAAAAAAAAAAAAAAAAAAAAGAGAGATTTCTTTAAGCTCTTTGCCTAGGGTCACAGGTCTTTCCACAGGACCGTAGACTAGAGTCAGATGTGTTCCTCAATCAATTAGGAAAGGGTGGTGCTGGAATTTGCATCTGAGTATTCCAAGCTTCTATATTCTCATATTCTGGAATGAGGATATTATGAGTCCTGAAACAACTCTAGAAATTCTAGGCTACATAATTATCCCTCCATAACGTGTTCTCTGCCAGAATAATAATGAAAAAAAAGTACTGTGGTGGCCAGACCCCAAGATGATTGGCGAAGTGAAAGTTGCCCAGTTCCAAAATGGCCACCACCGCACTTTCCTGGCGTCGGAGCGACTACGTAGTGACAGAAGGACCATCAGCAGGTGGGTGCTCACAGGGACTGTGCCAGTTGCCAAACTGGCCACCTGGGCCTTTCTTCTCCTGAGCAACAGCCAAGCAACATTATAGGCTTCAGGCCTACCTAGCCCAGGTTGGGTTAAAGCAGATAAACGAAGCGGACAGCGGAGGAAAAGCACGTAACCAAGTGCAGTGGGTCTGAAGCGAAAGGCAAGAAAAGCTCTGCCCTTAGGAACGGGGTGTCACTGCGCGGCTCGCAGGCACCTCTCTTTGACCTATTTATAATCTGCGCCTTATTCTCCGCCCCCAAAGGCTGCTGGCAACCAATTCTCGGTGGCGAAGTCGTGACGTCAGCTGTTGCGGGTCAGATTGGGAGAGCTTCCTGGTCCTTACCTAGCAAGATTCTGCCGCTAGGTGGCGAAAAGCGAAGGGGCCAAAGAAATGGAAAGAAGGCGAGGAAAAGCGGGAGAAGATGGGGAAGGAAAATGTATATTCTTGTATCATCCTACAGCTAGGCAAAAATATTAGGATAATGTGGCCTAACCTCCAGTTCTATGTTGGCTGGAAAATCCAGGAATGGGAAGCTCACTCCCGTAGTTCCCACTCATTCCCACCACGGTTGGACAGCTCTGAAGGAGGGAAAATTCTTTCTTTTGAGCTGAAATCTGCCTTCAGAGTCTTGCACCCAACTGTTCTACCCCACGGGGACCTACAGAACAGCCCAAAGCCTCTTACGCAGGACAACCCATAGCAGTTTGATTAAAATCAGCGCAAACCCATTCCCATTTGGGGAGGGGGGAGGGGGAGGGGCAAGCCTCAGTGCCTGACTCACTTGACTCACAAGAAGCTGAATGTTTTTCCTTTTGAAAGATAAAAATATTGGTGAATCTCAGACTAACAATAGGGAATACATAAAAATGGAAAAAATGTTGATAGATAAAATTTAAACCTTTGGTAGAACATAATTAGTTTTTTGTTCTCTACATTTTTCCATATCGTTTCTAATTTTTCTACACTGTATGTGTTACTTAAAGAAATAAACCAGTAGGCCAGGCGCGGTGGCTCACGCCTGTAATCCCAGCACTTTGGGAGGCCGAGGCGGGCGGATCACGAGGTCAGGAGATCGAGACCATCCTGGCTAATACGGTGAAACCCCGTCTCTACTAAAAAAATACAAAAAATTAGCCAGGCATGGTGACGCACCCCTGTAATCCCAGCTACTCAGGAGGCTGAGGCAGGAGAATGGCGTGAACCCGGGAGGCGGAGCTTGCAGTGAGCCGAGATCGTGTCACTGCACTCCAGACTGGGCGACAGAGCAAGACTCTGTCTCAAAAAAAAAAAAAAAAAGAAAAAGAAATAAACCAGTATGGCCGGGCGCGGTGGCTCATGCCTGCAATCCCAGCACTTTGGGAGGACGAGGCGGGTGGATCACGAGGTCAGGAAATCGAGCCCATCCTGACCAATATGGTGAAACCTCGTCTCTACTAAAATACAAAAAATTAGCCGGGCGTGGTGGCGGGTGCCTGTAGTCCCAGCTACAAAGGAGGGTGAGGCAGGAGAATCCCTTGAACCCGGGAGGTGGAGGTTGCAGTGAGCCAAGATCGTGCCATTGCACTCCAGCCTGGGCAACAAGAGCGAAACTCCGTCTCAAAAAAAAAAAAAGAAAGAAAAGAAAAAGAAATAAAGCAGTATGAAAGAGCAGCCCCTGGCTGCATTCACCACAGCACCCATGCTCACACATGCTACAGGCGCTCACTTGCTGGGAGCTGCCTCACATTGATTCGGATCAGTGTTCTCATTTCTCCGACCTACCTAGGAAGCATCTGGCTAAATTGATGTAAATTAGACATTTTATAGTCTATCGGTCATTGAGCCTCAGTGGAATATCTAGACCAATTTAAACACACAAATATTATGGGAAATAGGGCCACAAAAGTAGAAAAGAAAACGTGAATTCCTCTTTATATTTATGCCACTAGAGGGAGTTCCAGAAGAAAATCACTGCATGTAAGGGCTAATGACTGTATTTACTGAGTGGTTACTGTGTACCATTCACAGTTCACAGGGACTCATTCATGTCATTCTCATGATAACCCTGATGAAGTGGATGATATTATTCCCTCACTCACTAAGGAGAAAGCCAGGGTACAGTGAAGTATACAACTTTGTGCAGGGCAATTTATCAATATTTATTGAAATTACCAAAAAACATGCTCTCTGAACAAACTATTCTACCAGTGTAGAAAGCAGAGTAAACTTCATGGGTGAGTGACCAGGGCAGTCACACAAGGGCCCCATGCTTAGAAGGGATACTGTGTTTGGGTTCTAAAGCTCTGTGGTTCCTGTCTTGAAATTCTTAATAATTTTATCTTTCAATTTGTGTCTTATAATGAAGTCCGATGAGAAAGCAGAACATGGGCTAGAGACTTTTGGAGCCTGGCTCAAGCGAGGTCCTGCTCCCCATGCCTCCCAGCCTCCCCAGGACTGGTTTTCAGCTGCCGGCTCCACCACCTTCTGTGCAGGCTCGCTCCCAGCAGGGGCCTGGGAACAGTGGAAAGGAGGGGAGCGGTCAGGCATACACACCTCCCTTGCCAAATGGAAGGCATGGCCCTAGGCACTTGTGAAGATCTGCACTTCCCCCTAGGTACTCCTGTGCCTGGAGTGTGACATTAAATTAAAAAAAAAAAGGCCGGGCGCGGTGGCTCACGCCTGTAATCCCACCATTATGGGAGGCCAAGGCAGGCGGATCACGAGGTCAGGCGATCGAGACCATCCTGGCTAACACGGTGAAACCCCGTCTCCACTAAAAATACAAAAAAATTATCTGGGCATGGTGGCGAGCGCCTGTAGTCCCAGCTACTTGGGAGGCTGAGACAGGAGAATGGCTTGAACCCGGGAGGCGGAGGTTGCAGTGAACCGAGATTGCGCCACTGCACTCCAGCCTGGGCGACAGAGCGAGACTCCGTCTCAAAAAAAAAAAAAAAAAGAAAAGAAAAAAACCCCACATAATAGGTTGACAGTGGAACCACAGAAAAAAGGAAAAGGTTGGGTTTTTTTTCTGCTTTTTATTTTCTATTTTATTATTTTTTAATAGATTTATTTAACTAGAGATGGGGTCTCACTATGTTGTAAAGGCTGGACTCGAGACCCTGGGCCCGAGCGATCCTCCAACCTGGTCCTCCCAAAGTGATGGGATTACAGGCGTGAGCCACTGCACCTGGTCTTTTCCTGCTATTAAACAAGGAGCTCCATAGTTTCATTTTGCCCCTCAAAATATGTAGCTGGCCTTAGTAGACTGATATTCATTGCCAAATTATATGTAAGAGCAAAAAGGTTGAAAATGATGGCCTGACATTGATCAATTTGTGCCTTTAGGTAACATATAACTGTAATATAACTGCAATACAACTAGAATATAACTCATAAAGGCAAGAATCTTGTCTGCCTTGCTGAAAGTTTTATAATCAGGGCCTAATATAAAGTATGACACATAGCACTTGCTTTTAAATATGTATTGATTTAAATTAATTGAGTACATTTTTGCTTCATCCTAGTAAAAATAGGTATTTAAAAAACTGAAACAGTCTAAATGTCTTGGGATGCTACTTAAATAACTATATTATATTCATCCAATAAAATATTGTAAGCTGTTTAAAAATAACAAGGATGTTCTTTAGGTACTGATAAGGAAAGAGCTTCAAGATAAATTGTTACCATTTATGTAAAACAGGTGGGAGAAGGGAGAGGGAGGGATGTGTGAGCGCTACTTGCAGTACTCACAGGCAGTGACTTTCGTGGAGCGCCCTCTAGTGGTATATATATACAAACGGAAGGATTTAGAGAAAATACAGATCGGCTTTAGCTGGCTGAGATTTATTTTCAAAGCATGTTACTTTATAAGAATCAATTTTTATTTAAAAAATTTTTTTGAGATAGGGTCTCACTCTGTCGCACAGGTTGGAGTGCAGCAGCACGATCAGTGCTCACTGCAGCCTCTCTCTCTTGGGCTCAACAGGTGCATGTCACCACGTCCAGCTAACAATCAATTTTCAAAAGTACAAAAAAGCCATATTATGTATTAATGTGGAATTATGAATTAAGTAGACAACAAGAATCAAAACAGGGTGTCTATTATCACTTCTGATAACATAAATAATGTAAAGATACATATTTTACAGATTATCTGTAAAAGCTTATACAGTACTGTTGCTGGGTATTTATGTAGGAAAGCTACCATTTATTGAATGCTTACTATTTCACATATGGACAGCATAGAGCATGTTAAAAAATTACCACACACATTTACTGTATTCAATGTGTCACTCTGAATATATTACTGTGTACATGGTCTGTCATTGGACATGGTGAGAGATGCAGATTAAGCTGAAATTACTGAGGACAGCAACACTGGAAGAAAATTGAGCTGGGTGTAGTGGCTCAGCCTGTAATTCCAACATTTCAGAAGGCTGAGGCAGGAGGATCACTTGAGTCCAGGAGTTTGAGACCAAGGGAAAGAAAAGAAAAGAAGCTTTCATTTAGCCAGGCATGCTGGCACATACCTGTAGTTTCAGCTACTCAGGAAGTTGAGGCATAAGGTTCACTTAAACTTGAGAGGTAAAGGCTGCAGTGAGCCCTGATCACGCCACTGCTCTCCAGCCTGTGACAGAGAGAGACCCTGTCTCAAAAACGAGAAAGAAAGAAAAAAAGAGGCAACTCAAGAACTCAGGAATACTTGCAGGATCTCATAACATATGCTATACAAAATCAATTAAAATAATATTTAAATGCTGAAAGAAATGAGCAGCTCCCAGGGTGATACAGGGTGGTTTCACTTCTTGGACACATCTACACTGAGCTCTATTCCTGGCAATACCTGATGTTCCCATACCCCAGATTTCTTTATTTTATTTTGAGACGGAGTTTTGCTCTTCTTGCCCAGGCTGGAGTGCAATGGCGGGATCTTGGCTCACCGCAATCTCCGCCTCCTGGGTTCAAGGGATTACCCTGCCTCAGCCTCCCGAGTAGCTGGGATTACAGGCGCACGCCACCATGCCCAGCTAATTTTTGTATTTTTAGTAGAGGCAGGGTTTCTCCATGTTGGTCAGGCTGGTCTTGAACTCCCAACCTCAGGTAATCTGCCCGCTTCGGCCTCCCAAAGTGCTGGGATTACAGGCGTGAGCGGGCCCAGCCCCTATACCCCAGATTTCTGCAAGTGGCAACACCACTGGCTTCATTTTGCTGGTGGCCCCTCTGGCCTTCCCTTGTATATATCACCTTTGCCCAAAGACCATGTCAGCCAAGGGACTGCTCTCACAGCTCCAGGAATCCTCCCCTTTCAGGAAATTTGAGGCAGTTGAGGGCATGAAAGTAAATAAGCTGAGCTCATCAGAGGCCTTGTATTGTGGTGGTTAAAAGAGCCAGTTCTAGGACTAGAAAGCCTGGCTTGAAATCCCAGCTCTGCCACTCCCTAGTGGTGTGACTTTAGCAAGTTCCTTTACCTCTTTTGTACCTCCCTTTTCTCACCTGTAAGATATGGGTGATAATAGTTTAATATTTGTTTTGTTGTTGTGAGGATTAAAGGTGTTAATGCAAGTAAACCACTTAGAACCACAGCACATAGAATATCTCAGTAAGGTGGTTAGTTTTTTTTATTGTTGTTTTCAGAGATGCTGTGATTTCTCCAAAGTGGCTGTGATGGCTCGGCAGGCTCCTGACCCTCTCTGCTCCCACATGCCTCCACCCTCATCCTGATCTCCCATCCAGCTTTTGACAGCTTGCTTGGTGCTGGACAATTGCACACATCTTACCACCCCCAAATCCTGCCCAGAAGCATCTTGTGCATAACTCTCCTACCTGAATATGCAACAGGGAGAAAGAGCGTCCCAGGACATTTTAGGTTTTTGAAGAAAAAAAAACCCCTTTGGTAAAAAGCCAGAGATCCACAGCGGCCACTTTTTCCATGGGATTGACCCCTGCAATCTTGACTTTCAACCACACAGCACCAGAGTAGCCAAACATTGCTTGTGTCCAAACGCTGGCTGCCTTGAAGGGTGAAAGAATAAGCAGTTCCCAAACTCAGCTGACCTTAATGTCCTTCTAGCTCCTTACGCCCATCTCGGACAAAAGCAGAAATGTATGTCTCAGTTGTGTTTCTACCCCTTGCTGCCCAATATAAATTTTTGTGTTGCCCAATATAATTTTTTGTGACGATGGAAATGTTCTGTATTTGTGTTGTCTGATGAGATAACCACTAACTGTAGTGCTATTGAGCATTTGAAACATGGCTAGTGTAATCAATGAACCAAATTTTTAATTTTATTTAATTGTAATTAATTTTAAGTGGCCACATGCAGGGAGTGACTGCTGCATTGGACAGCACGGCTCTAAATTGAGCCTTTTTTCCTTATTTGGTGAGGCATACTTGCCTTAAGATTGGGAAGTCTATTTTTGGAACCTGCTACCAATGCTGGTCTCACACTTGCAATTCTCAGCTGAGCCAAGAGGTGAGAGAAAGGTCATTTTCCATTCCAGATCTCACTCTCCCCTGTGACACTGAGGAAACTGGCAAGTGATGTGAAGGCTGGAGAGCGTGTCCTGTATGCTGGCTCTGTCCCTTCTGCCTGTGTTGACTGACATAGTTAGTTGCTGCCCTTGCTGGTCTCCCTTCCTCCAACCTTGCCTCTCTGAGCACACCTGACATTCATCTCATGACTTCCCTAAAAACATTCTTTGGGAACAAGAAACTAACAAATCCCAAGTGACCTATCACATATACAAACATACAGGGCAGAGTTTGGATTCGCGGTAGAAGAAAGGGAGGTTAGACATTAAGAAGAATGGTCTGGTGATGACAGTTGTGAGATAATAGAAACAGGAAAAAGAAATCTAAGTTTTCTTTCTTTTTTTAAGAACCAATAATAATTTCTCTCTTTTGACTAGTCAGTAGGGCTGGGGTGGATTGGAGGAAGCTTACATATTCCATGAACAAGCCTCTTCCTAAGGTCCTGTAAGTGATCCTGCCCCACTGATTAGCCCCTAGAAGACCCTTCAAAGGTTGGATCTCCAGGAGGGAGTGGGGGAGGAAAGCCCTGTACCAGGCAGCCTCTGCTCCATTGCTCTGGGGGGGTGGGGAAGGCAAACCCTGGTCATCCCCTCAGTCTGTAGCCCTTTTGTGTGAGTGCCTGGCAAGGGTGACGTGGGGCTGTTTCTGCGGGCACAGCTGCAGCAATTACCGGAGTGGAGGCAGGGCCCAGGCAGCACTGCCCTCCAAGATCTTCCCTTGGGCTTTTCAGCAGTAAGGGGACATGCACCCCAAGGGCCTCCACTTGGCCTGACCTTGCTGCGGGGGCTCTCTGTCCCCAGGAACAGTAGAGATGGCAAGCTTATCGAGACCCTCTCTGCCCAGCTGCCTCTGCTCCTTCCTCCTCCTCCTCCTCCTCCAAGTGTCTTCCAGCTATGCAGGTAAGACATGTTTTTTTTCCTGCCCTGGGGAGACCCTGAAAACAGAAAGGCTAGTTTCCTGGGGCTTAGCTCCTTCAAACATCCTCAAGTTGCTATATTATCTTTCTAAAACATAGACCTACTGACATGCCTCCCTTCCTCAGAAACCTTCCGTGGGTGGTTCTTACAGCCTTCAAGATGGAGTCCAGACTCTTTTTTTTTTTTGAGACAGAGTCTCCCTCTGTTGCTCAGGCTGGAGTGCAGTGGCATGATCTCGGCTCACTGCAACCTCAGCCTCCCTGGTTCAAGCGATTCTCCTGACTTGGCCTCCCAAGTAGCGGAGACTACAGGCGCCTGCCACCACACCCAGCTAAATTTTTTCTTTTCTTTTTTTTTTTTTTTTTTTTGTATTTTAGTACAGACGGGGTTTCACATGTTGGCCAGGATGGTCTCGATCTCTTGACCTGCTGATCCGCCCGCCTCGGCTTCCCAAAGTACTGGGATTATGGGCGTGAGCCACTGCACTAGGCCTAATTTTTTTATTTTTAGTAGAGATGGGGTTTCACCATGTTGGCCAGGCTGGTCTGGAACCCCTGACCTCAAGTGGTCTGCCCTCCTCAGCCTCCCAAAGTGCTGAGATTACAGGCATGAGCCATTGCGTCTGACCCAGACTCCTTAATGTGACTAACTCAAGGCTTTCCTTGAACTACTTCTTACTTGTCTTTCCAGCTTTGTCTTTTCACCTCTCAAATTGAGATAAAATAATAACAACCTCTTGGAGTTCTCATCAGGATTACATGAAATGAGATATGTAACATGCTTAGCAGTGCCTGTCCATAGTAAATCTCAATAAATGTTTGTGGAATTATAATATCTTGTCATGTTTGAGACTTTGCTCTGCATAATCAGGCACCAGTAGGTTTTTATAAAGGAACCCGGCTGTCACGTGCAGAGGAGAAATAAACAGAAAGTTTCCCATCCTCAGGGAGCCACCTGACTGACAGAGGCACAGTGCATCCACTCTCCAGGTCTAGGGGAGAAAGCAGCCTTATTTCTTAGTAGCTCAGAATCTGACTTGAGAAACACATCCACATAGAAAAAAACAAGGAACTTTTTCGGGTCAGGGTCCGGGAGCCACAGTGAGGTGGAAGATACAGGGGAAGGAAGAGGGAAATAGAGCCATCCCCAGGGTGGAAGATCTCAGAAGAGAATTTGGGAAACAAGGTATGAACAAGGACTGAATAGTGAGAAGTGATGGAGAGACAGTTAAAGTAGATGGAGTGACAAAAGCAAAACCTCTAAGGGTAGAATAGGCAGCAATTTGGCCAAGTCCTAACAGGGAGGCCCATAGGAGGATTCAACCTCAAGATGCTGTGCCACATTCCAAGAGGGAACCTAAAGGCTGGGCTGAAGAGTCAGAGATGGCTACAGCTGGCAAAAAGATGGGCAGATGCTGAGAGGAGATGATTGCTAAAATGTTCTGTCCAGGACATTCACAGTATCTCTATAACCAGAGTCTTTTTTGTCGTTGTTGTTCTCAAGAAGGAAACTTGAGGCCGGGTGTGGTGGTTTATGCCCATAATCCCAGCGCTTTGGGGCCAAGGCAGGCGGATCACCTGAGGTCAGGAGTTCGAGACCAGCCTGGCCAACAGTGTGAAACCTCATCTTTACTAAAAATACAAAAATTAGCTGGATGCGGCGGTAGGTGCCTGTAATGCCAGCTACTCGGGAGGCTGAGGCAGGAGAATCACTTGAACCTGGGAGGCGGAGGTTGCAGGGAGGCGGAGGTTGCAGTGAGCCAAGATTGCACCACTGCACTCCAGCCTGGGCGACAGAGAGTAAGACTGTCTCAAAAAATAAATGAATAAATAAAAAGGAAGAAGAAGAAGAAGAACAATTGCAATCCTCCCTGGCTCTAGAATGTCATTTAAAAGTCGAGTGTCTTCTTCCTTCCCTGTTTTGAAGCAGCCCTTCTCATGACAGGCTTGCTTGCCAAGGTTCCCTCTGACCTTAAATCTCTTCCTTTTGGTGTCTTGGACAGGGCAGTTCAGAGTGATAGGACCAAGACACCCTATCCGGGCTCTGGTCGGGGATGAAGTGGAATTGCCATGTCGCATATCTCCTGGGAAGAACGCTACAGGCATGGAGGTGGGGTGGTACCGCCCCCCCTTCTCTAGGGTGGTTCATCTCTACAGAAATGGCAAGGACCAAGATGGAGACCAGGCACCTGAATATCGGGGCCGGACAGAGCTGCTGAAAGATGCTATTGGTGAGGGAAAGGTGACTCTCAGGATCCGGAATGTAAGGTTCTCAGATGAAGGAGGTTTCACCTGCTTCTTCCGAGATCATTCTTACCAAGAGGAGGCAGCAATGGAATTGAAAGTAGAAGGTGAGTAGTGCCATATAATATTAGGTATTAACTGTTGGGTGGCCAAGAACAATTATTCTCTCAACTGAGATGAGATCCCTCAACCCAAACATCTCAGTCCTGGGAATGATTTCCATAAAAATGTACACATCAATAAACAGAAACTCATGCTTAGGGATGTCTGTTGCATCATTATTCAGAGTAGCAAGGAAATTGGGATCAAAATCAATGCCTTTGAGTAGGTAAGTGACAGAATGAACAATGGTAGCCATACTGTGAATATTATGCAGGCATTAAAAAGATTATTTTAGCACTAGGCCAGATGGTTTGGAGGCCTTCTATAAGGTATTATTGAGTGATAAGAGCAAGCTGCTGTAGGATACAAAAACAAAAACAAAACCCTAGGGCATGGTGGTTTGCCTCGCAGCTACTCAGGAGGCTGAGACGGGAGGCTGGCTTGAGCCCAGGGGTTTGCAGTTACAGTGAGCTATGATTGCACCACTGCACTCCAACCCGGGTGACAGAGCAAAGACCTTCACCCCCACTCCCTACCCGTCTCTAAAAAAAACAAAAACAAAAACAAAAAAACCCTTGGGCCCAGCGCCGTGGCTCACGCCTGTAATCCCAGCACTGTGGGAGGCCGAGGTGGGCAGATCACAAGGTCAGGAGATCGAGACCATCCTGGCTAAAACGGTGAAACCCCGTCTCTACTAAAAATACAAAAAAAAAAAAAAAATTAGCCAGGCATGGTAGCAGGCGCCTGTAGTCCCAGCTACTCGGGAGGCTGAGGCAGGAGAATGGCGTGAACCCAGAAGCGGAGGTTGCAGTGAGCCAAAATCCTTCCACTGCACTCCAGCATGGGGGACACAGCGAGACTCCGTCTCAAAAAAAAAAAAAAAACCCTGTATTTGTGAGCGCACACACACACACACACACACACACTTGTGCTTGGTCCTAGTGAATAAGCAAGTAAATCAAATGTCTAAATATAATTATAGAAAGGAGATGTCACCTTTTGGCTGTACCTCCACTATTTCATTCTGCAGAATTGCAGAATTTCTTTTTTTTTTCCTTTCTTTCTTTTCTTTTTTTTTTTGACACAGAGTCTCGCTCTGTCACCCAGGCTGGAGTGCAATGGCGCCCTCCGCCTCCTGGGTTCAAGTGATTCTCCTGCCTCAGCCTCCCGAGTAGCTGGGATTACAGGTGCCCACCACCACACCCAGCTAATTTTTGTATTTTTAGTAGAGACAGGGTTTCACCAGGTTGTCAAGGTTGGTCTCAAACTCCTGACCTCAGGTGATCCACTCGCCTCAGCCTCCCAAAGTGCTGGGATTACAGGCATGAGCCATGGTGCCCGGCCTCAGAATTTCATTTTCAACATGTTTTGCATGATGGGTGATTTTGGAGAATATTTTTTGCTCTATCGCAGGATGATTAAGATGTGGACAAGGTGAAGCGGATGGAGGGGGAGCTTTGAAAGTTACTTGCTATTTAATTGAGGAACTAAACTGCTTTGAGAGCCTGGGGGTCAGATCCTCTGCCTTTTCCTCCTCCCCACCTGCAGTGCAAACATCAGACAATTGATCACTATTGTATCTTGGAGGTGGGAGTGACCATTGCAGTGCTGGGACCAGAAGATGGCATTGTATGTGGAACAACAAAGCACTATTTCTAGAGACTGCCTGCAGGGATATGGAAATAGCTTTATGTGTCTCAGAATGTTCTTCATACAGCTGTTTTTATTGGGGAAATTCTACTTGCCGAAAAGTTTGATAGTGAGACCCTCTCCAGTTTGCAGATTTTTCTCCTTCCTGCTCAACAACTTCCTAGCTCAGTAACTGCCTCTCCCAACAAACTCCCTCAGTTTCACCACACCAAAAAAGGAAGACAAGCCGGTTGCGGTGGCTCACACCTATAATCCCAAAACTTTGGGAGGCCGAGGCGGGTGGATCACCTGAGGTCGGGAGTTCGAGACTAGCCTGACCAACATGGAGAAACCCTGTCTCTACTAAAAACACAAAATTAGCCTGGCGTGGTGGCGCATTCCTGTAATCCCAGCTGGGAGGCTGAGGCAGGAGAATCGCTTGAACCCCGGAGGCGGAGGTTGCAGTGAGCCAAGATCGTGCCATTACACTCCAGTCTGGGCAAGAAAAGTGGAACTCCATCTCAAAAAAAAAAAAAAAAAAAAAACAAGGAAGACAAAAAGAAAAGCAGCTAAAGACTTTGCCTCAGGGGAGAAAGTTCTCTTTTGGGTTGCTATCCACATTCCAACCTCCTGTTCCCACCTCTTCGTCTGCATGCCTAAGAAACTGTTTTACAAGTAAATAAGGGACGCTTTGTCTAGGCTTTGGAGCCAGGAAGTTGAGACAAATTTAGGAATGAGATGAAGTAATGGTATTATTGCAAGTCTCAGGTGTAACTACCTCTGCTCTTTCTCTGAAGAGTTTCTAATTTCTCTTGTTTACTTATTTTTTTCTTGTCATTTTTGTGATTTTATTACTAGTTGTCTCTAATCCTTTCTTTAAATTCTTCATTATGAAACATAAAAACAAATGCCAGGCGCGGCAGCTCACGCCTGTAATCCCAGCACTTTGGGAGGCCGAAGCGGGCAGATCACCCGAGGTCAGGAGTTCGAGACCAGCCTGATCAACATGGAGAAACCCCGTCTCTACTAAAAAATACAAAATTAGCTAGGCGTGGTGGCACATGCCAGTAATCCCAGCTACTTGAGAGACTGAGGCAGGAGAATCGCTTGAACCGGGAGGCAGAGGTTGCGGTGAGCCAAGATCGCGCCATTGCACTCCAGCCTGGGCAACAAGAGCAAAACTCTGTCTCAAAAAAAAAAAAACCACATACAAACCAGAGATAATATTATAATGAGCCTCCAAGTGCCTACCACCTTGCTGCAGCACTTGTCAATCCAGGGACCACCCACCTCACCGGCTCCCCACTCATTACCACCCTCCCCTACTCAATTACTGAGGTAAATCCTAGGCAGCATGATCATTTCTTTTTTTTCTTTTTATTTATTTTGAGACAGGATCTGTCTCTGTCACCCAGGCTGGAGTGTAGTGGCATATCTCTGCTCACTGCAGCCTCTGCCTCCCGGGCAGAAGCCATCCTCCCACCTCAGCCTACATAGTAGCTGGGACCACAGGCACACACCACCACACACTGCTAATGTTTTGTATTTTTTGTAGAGACTGGGTTTTACCATGTTGATCAGGCTGGTCTCAAACTCCTAGGCTCAAGCAATCCTCCCACCTCGGCCTCCCAAAGTGCTAGAATTACAGGCGCGAGCCACTGCACCCAGCGAAGAACACTTTTTAAAAAATAAATAGGCCGGGCGCGGTGGCTCACACCTGTAATCCCAGTACTTTGGGAGCCCAAGGAGGGCGAATCATGAGGTCAAGAGATTGAGACCATCCTAGCTAACATGGTGAAACCCCATTTCTACTACAAATACAAAAACAAAATTAGCCTGGCGTGGTGGCAGGCGCCTGTAGTCCCAGCTACTTGGGAGCTGAGGCAGGAGAATGGAGTGAACCCGGGAGGCGGAGCTTGCAGTGAGCTGAGATCATGCCACTGCACTCCAGCCTGGGGCAACAGAGTGAGACTCAAAAAAAAAAAAAAAAAAGCCCCCCCTCCCCACACACAATAATATAAATAAATAAATAACCACAATACTATTATCACATCTTACAAACTCAACAAAAATTTCTTAATATCATCAAATACCCAGTTTGTGTTCAAATTTTCCTGATTGTTTCATAAATATACTCTTACAGTTGGTTTCTTTTAGCGAGATTCAAATGAGACCCACCTGTTGACCTTTGCCCTTAGGGTTTCCCAGGGTCTGAATTTTGTTGACGACATTCCCATGTTGCTATGTAATACGGTCCTCCATGCCCTGTGTTTTTCTGTAAACTGATAGATGTGGAGGTGCAATGACATTTGTGTTTGATTTACTTTGGCAAATATAGTTCATCAGTGATACTCTATACTTCTTGTTGCTTTACATCCGGAGGCTGATAATGTCTGCTTTTCTCTCTTTTCTAATTATTTGTGAAAGGAAAAATGTGGGGGGTTGGGAGAAAAAAACCCTTAAGTACATACTCGCTAAATCACATTGCTACAGGTAACTTCCATTAAGAACTTGAAAGTAAAGGTAGCTGCATTTTCCCCTAGGGAACACAATGATAGACAGGAGCCTTAGTCTACAGCTTGAAGGATTGTAATTATACCTAAGCAACCCTCCTGGACCAGTTTAATGTTATTAGCTGTGATGTATCCCTACCTTTGATGTCATTATCCTTACTTAGCTCCCTTAAAGCAGAGATCAAGATGAAAAGGGCTTCAGCTGCAGCATGGCACATGGAGATTAGAGTGGGGCTTTTGGATGCTGAGGAGCAGACCTAGAATGGGAAATAGATGGGAGCCACAGAAGTGAAGGTCCCCCTCCCTCATTGCTCAACCTACTCCACATCTCCAGGTCTGCACATCTGTTCAGTTACTGAATCCTGTGTAAGCTACCTTCTTTTTCTTTTTTCTTTTATTTATTTATTTATTTTTTTTTTGAGATGGAGTTTTGCTCTTGTTACCCAGGCTGGAGTGCAATGGTGCAATCTCGGCTCACTGCACCCTCCAACTCCCAGGTTCATGCAATTCTCCTCCCTCAGCCTTCCAAGTAGCTGGGATTACAGGCTGCACCACCATGTCTGGCTAATTTTTGTATTATCAGTAGAGAGAGGGTTTCACCATGTTGGCCAAGCCGGTCTCGAACTCCTGACCTCAAGTGATCCACCCACCTTGGCCTCCCAAAATGCTGGGATTACAGGTGTGAGCCACCATGCCCGCTGTAAACTACCTTCTTAAAAGCTCTAGAAGAGGGCTCTTAACCTTTTGTTGTGTGTCATGCACCTTCCGCAAGCTGATGAAGTTGATAGACCCATCTCAGAATTTTTTTTTTTTTTTGAGACAGTGTCTCACTCTGTCACCCAGGATTGGTTGCAGTGGCACGATCATGGCTCATTGCAGCCTCCACCTCCCAGGCTCAAGTGATCCTCCTGACTCAGCCTCTTGAATAGCTGAGACCACAGGCTTGTGTCACCATGCCCAGGTAATTTTTAATTTTTTTTCGTAGAGGCAGGGTCTCACATTATGTTGCCCAGTCTGGCCTCGAGAACTCCTGGGCTCAAGCAATCTTCCTGCCTTGGCCTCCCAAAGTGGTGGGATTACAGGGGAGAGCCACCACACCTAGCCAGAAGAATGTTTTAAATACACCAAATAAAACATTTATACCAAAATACAGTTATCAAAATATTAAATTAACAAGAGTTAGGGTGACCCTATTAATTAGTGTAATTTCAAAATAGTAATGAACATAAGTGATAGTTTGAGATTTCTGTGACTTTTCTAATGTGACGTGAAAATATTTGTGATTTTTCTTTTTCTTTTTTTTTTTTGAGATGGAGTTTCGCTCTTGTTGCCCAGGCTGGAGTGCAATGGCAAGATCTCGGCTCACCTCAACCTCCGCCTCCTGGGTTCAAGCGATTCTCCTGCCTCAGCCTCTTGAGTAGCTGGGATTACAGGAATGTGCCACCACGTCCAGCTAATTTTGTATTTTTAGTAGAAACAGGGTTTCTCCATGTTGGTCAGGCTGGTCTTGAACTCCCAACCTCAGGCGATCCGCCCGCCTCGGCCTCCCAAAGTGCTGGGATTACAGGTGTGAGCCACCGCACCTGGCCAATATTTGTGATTTTTATTGACGACAAAGTCAAAGGTTCTCTTCATATTATTGTGGTGTATCGCCTACAAGCATAATTAAAATAAACACTAAATTTCAGTTTAAAGTTTACTGAAAATAAATATGTATTTTTTATTCCCTATTTAAGCTTTGAATCCCCTGACTTCCTATACCATTACCACTGTCCTAGTTCAGGTTCATGTTGTTTTTTACTTTAATTGTTATCACAGTCTCTTAACATTTCTCCCTATGTTCTCCAGTCCTGTAGGTGCTAAATCTGACGTGGTCACTTCTCAGCTTGGAATCCTTCAGTGCACCACCACAGCCTTGAACTACATATTTGAAATACATATTTATTTTCAGTAAACTTTAAACTGAAATTTAGTGTTTATTTTAATTATGCTTGTAGGCGATACACCACAATAATATGAAGAGAACCTTTGACTTTGTCGTCAATAAAAAGTCCCTTGAGGGACTTCAGATGTAAGTCCCTTAGCTGCTCGTTAAAACTCCCCCAGCCTGACCCAATACACAATCTTGACTTTAAACCACTTGTCATTCTAAATCACTAGCATTTCCTGGAAAAAAAAGCCATTTTTCCTTCAGGGCTAAGCTCAGGGACCAATTCTGTGTCACCTTCTTTGAATCCTGATGATATTCACTTCTTTATTTGACCTGATTTATTGGGCCCCAGACACCATGCTGAGTGTTGGGGATTCAGCTCTGGACAATGTCAAATGTCAGTCCTGCCTTTCAGATCCTTTCTACTGGGTGAGCCCTGGAGTGCTGGTTCTCCTCGCGGTGCTGCCTGTGCTCCTCCTGCAGATCACTGTTGGCCTCGTCTTCCTCTGCCTGCAGTACAGACTGAGAGGTACAGGGCAGAGGGTGGGTGGATCAGGATCCTTTCTTTAAATGAGCTGGCTTCTTGGAGCTACACCACTTAACATGTATTTGTGAGTGACTTCTGGGTTCAGAAGTTCTTCTCACTATTGAGTGATAAAGAAAAAAAATAACTCCATGATGAAAGAGTTTTACATCTTACGGAATGCTTTCATATGAATAATCGGACCTAGCATTTCCCTATGAGCTAACTATGCCATATAGTAACCCCATTTTACAGAGGATACAACTGAGGCCAGGAGTAGTTCAGTGACTTACTCAAACCGATATAACTTATAAGTGGTAGAGCTGAGGCCTCTGTATCATACCTAGCAGCTCCATGCAACTTGGGAGAGTGTGAGCTTCGAAGTCAGACAGGTCTAGGCTATTAGGAGTTTTGAATAAAGATACTGAAGTGAAAGTCTCTACCACACAGTAGGCGTTCGAAAATTGTTTCCTCTTTCTCCATTCAACACTGAGGACTCAGGTTCAGCTGCTGATGAAGCTCCTCTTTTTTGCCTAGAGCTTTCATTCTGAGCCTTCTCCTCCTACCAAGTGTCTCCCCAATGCCAGAGCAGGAAGAGTCTTCACTCCTCCCCATGCCCCACCTCCCATTTGTTACTAAGAGGAGAGGAGAAAGTAGCAAGGAGGGTATGGGGAATGTTCTGGGGGAATGGGTGTTGGTGCGATCAACAACAAAGTCCTTTCTCTCACCTTGAATTCATCCCAGATGCCTGCTTGTTTACTTCTTCCACACAAAAAAAGGCCTTCAGCCCTCATGGCTGAGCAGAAAGAATCTGAATGTTAGAGTCAGGCAGCCTGGGTTTGAATTCCATCTCAGGTACTGAACTCTATAGCAAAATTCTTAGATTCTCCAAGCTTCAGTTGCCTTGTCTGTCAAATAGAGAAAACATCCTTCGTCCTAAATTGTAGGGAGGATTAAAGTCATGCAAAGTGCCTACTACAAATCCAGTCACAAAGTAGCTAGCTACTCACTAAATGTTCAGCTCCTCCCTCCTCATTCAGATGGGAAGTGGCTTTAGATAAACAAAAGTGGCAACGCAGTGGGCTGGAGCAGCTCTGTGAACTGAGAATCCAAGAAAAGGGGCGAAGAGCAGCTGGGATGTATTGGATGCTTGTGCTGGCTTGGAGCATTGCTCACATTCTTTATTCGCTATTGTATCTAGACTATAGCTAGAGAAAGAGCCGCAACCATTGGCTTTAAATCCAGTGCTCTTCCTACTCTCCTGAGGTTGTTTCCAGGCTGCAGAGAAATAGCCTGCACAAGGGGCCCAGGCGCTGGGTGTGGGAGGGTCCCCACCGAGAGCCAGAACATGCAGGAACTAAAATGTTGCCTTTTTCTATTTTAGGAAAACTTCGAGCAGAGATAGGTGAGTTCCAGTCATCGTTTCTCCCAATTCTTGCCTTTTGGTTTTTTGGCATAACGGAAATGGTCCCGTTCTTGGACCGTCTCTCCCTCTCAATACCCTGTTTTCCCCTCAGTTTCCCTTTCTCTACAGTGGGTGTGTCGTGCCTAGAACAAGTTTTAAGTAATTAAATAACAAAGACTCAGGATAAAAGATCCTTTTTGAGTGCCCTACTAAATCCATTTCCATTTGTTTCTCTTTCAGAGAATCTCCACCGGACTTTTGGTAAGTTCCGGCATGTCTAGGCCCTCCCAGGTCAACTTGGTATTTCACTCTAGTTCCAGTCACCTGGGGGAACAAGGACCCCTGGCTCCTGGTTGAGTCCCTTCCTCTCTTCTCTTTTCTTTCTTTAAATAAGAAGTCATTTGCATTTAGGATTGGTAAAATCATAATAAAAATACTCATGTACTGTTTTTATGTGCCAGGCACTATTCTAACTACTTTACAAAAACGTTATCTTATTCTGTTTAACTCCTTATGCACATGATCTCTCTTTTCAGGAATGGCAAAACAGAGGTAAATAGATCGTTTACACGTAAACCTGATGTCTGGTTGGGGAGGTGAAACAAACAGAAACAAGACACAACTGTATCACCTGTACTTATATTTCTGCTTTACAAACTCAGGATGTTTCCATGAGTACAGAACATGACTAATCAGAGAAGACCTCATAGAGGAATAGAAAAGCCACCAAGCCCCACTAGGAATTGACCCCTCAAGGACATGGTTTCTAGCCTTTTTGTTCACTGCAGATTGCCCAATGCCTAAAGATAATGGCAACAGAAGAGCACCCAAATATTTGTTAGATAAATGTTGCAGACACTAGAAGGTGTCATTAGGGCACAGATGGTACCTTCTCTGAGCAAACTTCCTTCACAGCTCCTCCTCCCGAGGCTGTAGGTGACTCTACTCTTGTCACCTGGCACACAGAGGTCTATCGTACGATTTAGGAAATTAGACCAGTGTGTGGACCACACACACACACATCTTTACACACCCAAAGAGGAGGAATAGTATCTTTGTTTTGGAGGACTTGACTATGAAAGGTCTTAACTCCTTTTTGTACCATGAATCTCTCTGGCACTCCAGTGAAGTCTAAAGGACCCCTTTGCAGAATGTTTTTAAATATACACATAAAATAGAACACATAGGATTGCAAAAACAATCATTGTACTAAAATACAGTTATCAACCGATAATCACATTTGTGATATAGTAACATAAATGTTTCTTTTTTTTTTTTTTTGAGGCAGAGTTTTGCTCTTGTCACCCAGGCTGGAGTGCAATGGCGCGATCTAGGCTCACTGAAACCTCTGCCTCCCGGGTTCAAGCGATTCTCAGCCTCCCGAGTAGCTGGGATTACAGGTGCCCGCCACCACACCCAGCTAATTTTTGTATTTTTAGTAGAGACTAGGTTTCACCAGGTTGGCCAGGCTGGCCTCGAACTCCTGACCTCAGGTGATCCACCTGCCTTGGCCTCCCAAAGTGCTGGGATTACGGGCATGAGCCACCGTGCCCGGCCATAAATATTTCTTTAGCCAAAGTAATACATTAAGTAATGTAGCAGCAAGTCTAATAACCTGTAATTTCTTTCTTTCTTTCTTTCTTTCTTTTTTTTTGAGATGAAGTTTTTTTGAGATGGAGTGCAATGGCACAATCTCGGCTCACTGCAACCTCCACCTCCTGGGTTCAAGCGATTCTCCTGCCTCAGCCTCCCAAGTTGCTGGAACTACAGGCGCATGCCACCATGCCCAGCTAATTTTTGTATTTTTAGTAGAGACGGGGTTTCACCATGTTGGCCAGGCTGGTCTTGAACCCCTGACCTCAGGTGATCTGCCTGCCTTGGCCTTCCAAAGTGCTGGGATTACAGGCATGAGCCACCAGGCCCAGCCCAATAACCTTTAATTTCAACATACTAATAAACATAAACAGTATTTCAAGATTTCTGCAATAACTCTAATGGGAATGAAAACATCTGTGGCTTCCATTGGTAATTAAGTCACAGGTACTGCTCATATTGTGGTTAGTTGTAAAATGTTTTGGTTTGTTTTGTTTTTTCCAAGACTTGGGGGAATGGGTGTTGGTGGGATCAACAAGAGTCTTGCTCTGTGGCCCAGGCTGGAGTGCAGGGGCAGGATCTTGGCTCACTGCAACCTCCGCCTCCCAGGTTCAAGCGATTCTCCTGCCTCAGCCTCCTGAGTAGCTGGCATTACAGGCATGTGCCACCACGCCCAGCTAATTTTTACATTTTTAGTAGAGATGGGGTTTCACCATGTTGGCCTGGCTGGTCTTGAACTCTTGGCCTCATGATCCACCCGTCTCGGACTCCCAGAGTGTTGGGATTACAGGCATGAGCCACCACACCTGGCAGTTGTTACATTTTTAATGAAAGAAAATGTTAAATCCAGTTATTGAAAATAAGGAGGCAGTACTTTTCTCATCCAAGTTCATGGACTTTCTGAATTTTGTCCCCAGAGTCCTTTGGTGTTCTAGGACCCCAGGTTAAGGAACCAAAAAAGACAGGTGGGTGGGGCATGAGGGGGAACACATGTTAACCCTGTTTGTTCTGGTGAACAATTCAGATCCCCACTTTCTGAGGGTGCCCTGCTGGAAGATAACCCTGTTTGTAATTGTGCCGGTTCTTGGACCCTTGGTTGCCTTGATCATCTGCTACAACTGGCTACATCGAAGACTAGCAGGTGCAGTGGCTGGGCAGCAGGCAAGACCACCAAATAGTGGGGGACCAAGTCAGCTCTGAATGGGAAGCCAAAAGAGAATAGAACCAGGACTCAAGATTAGGGGAGCTGGGATTTCCTTATTCCTCTGTCCCCATGCCCAACCCCAGGCTCTTCTGAGAAACTGTGAAGAGAACCACTTACTGGATCTGTGGGATCCCCCAGTGGAAAGGGCAGTGTGGGTCACTCCAAATGTCCATAGGGAGGATGTGGGGAAGGTGCTGTTCATCTTCCACTAATCACATATTTGTTTCTTTTTGTTTTCAGGGCAATTCCTTGAAGAGCTACGTAAGTTCTCTTCTCTCTGTTATAAGCAGAGAATAAAAAGCCAGGAAAGGGAGACAGAAGCAACAAGAGGAAGAGGCGGGCTATTGAGGGATCACATTCCCAGAGGAAAGGAGGAGCTGGAGAGCCTGGGTGGAGGGAAGACTCCTCCTGGGAGGTAGAGGGCAAAGAAGCCAGCTGTTAGAGACACATTTACAGGTGGCAGAGAAGCTGGAGGCACTCCTATCTGCCACCTGATCCATTCCTCCTTCACTGCCCCTAAGCAGGAATCCAACCCTAGCTGGTCTCATTGCCCATTCCACAGCAACTGCCCAGTGCCTCACCTCTCAGATCAACCATTGAGGCAGGAATGGAGACAAGATGACCCCAAGGGCTTTTCTTCTCCCTAGTTCAATGGTTTTATGATACAAACTACTGACATACGTTTTTCAAGTTATTTTCTCCTTCTTCTAGGAAATCCCTTCTGAGTGATGTCACATCTTGGCAGGGGTGGAGGAGAGCCTGGTTGCCCAGGGATTTGTCCTTGGGGACATCTCATCCATCAAGTTGCACACTCACTGGCATCTTTGCTATGGGGACATTCCAATTTGCACTTTCAGGAACACTCTGAATTCCAAGTAGAATTGATTTCCCTTCTTCTGTCATCTACCTTTTCTCTTCATTTTCCCATTTTTATTACCCTTCTTTCCATTTCTCTCTCCAGTCTTCCACCTGGAAGCCCTCTCTGGCTAAGGACAGGCAGGTGCCCCTCTCTCCATCAGAGGACACCTGTACTGGAGAGCAACACAGGATGGTCTCTGCCATGAACTGGAGGCCAGGAATCTCCTCACTGAAAATTACAGTATGGTAACTTTGCAAATGGTGGTTGTTTCTTCCAAGACTCCAGCCCTGATTGCGCAAAACTGAAAGGCATGTGAAGGGAAGGAAGAGGAAGAGTGCAAAACATTGAAGAGAGAGCTGAGTGAGCTGAAGAGTGAGGATATGAGTAGCCCCAACCCAAACCTGGAGATGGGGAGAAACCTACAGAATACTAGCCAGAGCTCCTCCTTGTCTTGGCAGCCTACTAGGGACCTGGGGAAGCAAAAACGAAAGCTGGGCAACATGCCTGCTTTAGAATGTTTTCCTTCTACTTACACATCTTCCACAGGTCTCAGAATCTTTCCTTCCTCTCATCCTTTTCTCCTATCTTCATATCTATCAGAGTATCCACTGTTTATTCAACAACTACTACTTGATGGTCAGACACAAACAAACAAGCTAGGTGCTAATTAATAAAGATACGAGTTTTGGCCGGGTGCGGTGGCTCACGCCTGTAATCCCAGCACTTTGGGAGGCCGAGGCGGGCGAATCACGAGGTCAGGAGTTCGAGACCAGCCTGGCCAACATGGTGAAACCCCATCTCTACTAAAAATACAAACAATTAACTGAGCATAGTGGTGGGCACCTATAATACCAGCTACTCCGGAGGCTGAGGCAGGAGAATCGCTTGAACCCAGGAGGCAGAGGTTGCAGTGAGCTGAGATCGCGCCACTGCACTCTAGCCAGAGTGACAGAGTAAGACTCTGTCTCAAAAATAAATAAATAAATAAATAAATAAATAAATAAATAAATAAATAAAAAATAATAATACAAGTTTTCATAAGCACACTTCTAACCCCTTGTCTTTTATGTATTTCCTTCCTTATCCACGCACCTGTCTCCCTCTACTCCAGCCTCATTACCCCAGAGGTCAGTCCTCAGGAAAACTAAACACAAAGAAAGAGCTCAGTCAGAAAGGCCATTTATTTATGTTTCAAGATGCTCACTGCCTCCTTTGTTTTGTCTCCTTTGCAGGCCTTCTCTCTTAGGCCTCTTCTCCTGGGGGTATGGATCCTGGGGGGAGATTGATCACCTCCATGCTTCCATTCCTCCCCAGCCATAGTGGGGACATCATGAGAGAAGCCAAGCCACTGGCCCAGGATCACCCGGCATTTATGGTGGCTGCTCTGGCACAGGTCCTTGCCTTTATAGCCCCTCCAGTGATCCATAAGGCCCTCTTTCTCCCCAAAGGAGAGGTCACAGATAGGGCAAAGGTAGCTCTTCTGCTTCCAGTGGGTCTGCTGGTGTCTGACCAGCCTGGAAAATGAGCTGAAAGACTTGCTGCAATGGAAGCAGTAGTTGGGCGGCTCTGTGAGGTGGGCCTTCTGGTGTCTGGAGAGATAGGATTTCTTGCTAAAAGTCAAAGAACAATGGGGGCAACAGAAGACATTGAGTCTTGAGGGCTTCACTGGATGAGAGTTGGATCTGGCATCCTGACAGAGGGTTCCAGTGATGGGTGCCTGGGTCCTGGTCACAGGTGCTTGGTTCTTAAGTACAGATGCCTGGTTCTGGGCCATAGGACCCTCAGTTCTAAATATGGGTTCCTGGGACCTGGCCACTGGTGCATGGTTCACATCCAAAAGCCCCTGGATGGACCTCTGGCTTCTGGCGATGGGTGTCTGGAATTCAGCCTGGGTGCCTGGAATCCTCAAAGTACACTCCTGGTTTCCATCCACTGGCTCCTGGTTTTGGTGTATCTTCTGGTGGCGTTTGAGCTCAGACTGGTCCCGGAAGCTCTTCCCACACACAGAGCATGAATGGGGCCGGTAACCCAGATGGACGCGGCGGTGACGACTTAGTCCAGAAGCATCACAGTAGGTCTTGTCACAGAGCGTGCAACAGAAGGGCCTCTCCCCAAGATGCATGCGTCTGTGATAGCTGAGGGACTTGGGGCTCCGAAACAACTTCCCACACTGACTGCAGCTGTTAGTCAGCTTGGGATTGTGAACAAACTGGTGGCTATAGAGGTAGGAGCGCCTGCTGAAACATTTGCCACAGGTGTAGCAAAAAAAGGGTGGCCCAGCCTGGGATGCTTGAAGCACCCGGGTCCTGTCCATAGTCCCAGCTGGGGCAGATAGGGGGCACTGGCCGGCCCCTCTGCATGCAAGGAAGACCTTGTCATCACTAGTCCCCTCATCTCTCAGACTGGGATGTTGTTCTCGAAGCTCTTTCTTCTTGCCTTCTACAGTGAATGAGGAAGAATAACACAAAATTCACTGTAAGAACTCCAACAGAGGCTTGGCATGGTGGCTCACACCTGTAATCCCAGCACTTTGGGAGGCCGAGGCCAGCGGATCACCTGAGGTTAGGAGTTCGAAACCAGCCTGACCAACATGGTGAAACCCTGTCTCTACTACAAATACAAAAATTAGCTGGGCGTCATGGCATCTGCCTGTAATCTCAGCTACTAGGGAGACTGAGGCAGGACAATCACTCGAACCCGGGAGGCGGAGGTTGCAGTGAGCCAAGATGGTGCCACTGCACTCCTGCCTGGGCAACTAGAGTGAAACTCTGTCTCAAAAAAAAAAAAAGAAAGAAAGAAAAAGAAGAAGAAGAAGGAGAAGGAGAAGAAGGAGAAGGAGAAGAGAAGGAGAAGAAGAAGAAGAAGGAAGAAGAAGAAGAAGAAAAGAAAAGAAGAAGAAGAAGAAGACGAAGACGAAGAAGAAGAAGAAGAGGAAGAAGAAGAACTCCAACACAGCACTCCATTCAGCCTAACACACTTCTTGTCTCTGCCCTTGCTCTCCCACCCAACACATTCATCCTTACCCTTGGGCCTCATAGGCTAGAAATAAGAAGAAAAAAAGAAAAAATTGGCTTTTCAAATTAGAAGCAAATAAAAAGTTAACTGGAATCTTTCAACACTGTCAGAAATGTAAATTTTAACTTACAACAACACTTCTTGAAATCTATCTTATCTCATTCTCAATATTGCTCAAACTCCCATAGACAATCCACAGACACCCACATAATAATGCATCATGAACACTGGGCCACTTGAGGGTGAAAAGAGGTGTTATTAATAATCAAGCTGGGATGAGAAGTATAAACCAGGACTGTCCTGGAAAACCAAAAAGTGTATCAGCCTGGCTTGATATCTCTCTCAACTATTTACTACCAGGGACAAGCCTCCCTTACTCCAACCCAGCATGAAACCTATCTCCTTTGCTTCTCTTTTCTCTTGGAAAGAACATTTTAATCAGAGCACTATCATGGACATAAGCAACTTTCATGTCATCTCTCAATCTCTAGAAACTGAAGACATCTACTTCTCCTGAAAGACTTAGATCTTCAGCCAGCCAGGCACGGTGGCTCATGCCTGTAATCCCAGCACTTTGGGAGGCCGAGGTGGATGGATAACCTGAGGTCAAGACATCAAGACCATCCTGGCCAACATGGTGAAACCCTGTCTCTACTAAAAATACAAAAATTATCTGGACACGGTGGCACATGCCTGTAGTCCCAGCTACTCGAGAGGCTGAGGCAGGAGAATCGCTTGAACCCGGGAAGTG
Organism: Homo sapiens; assembly: GCF_000001405.40. NCBI lineage: Eukaryota > Metazoa > Chordata > Mammalia > Primates > Hominidae > Homo > Homo sapiens. Next base: position 940,200 of record NT_167246.2, read on the forward strand.
GAGGTTGCAGTAAGCCAAGATTGTGCCACTGCACTCCAGCCTGGCAACAGAGCGAGACTGTGTCTCAAAAAAAAAAAAAAAAAAAAAGAGAGAGAGAGAGAGAGACTTGGATCTTCAACTTGAAGTCAAGGGACTTGAGCCTATGATATTAAGCTCTCTTTCAACTCCAAGTCTGACCAGGCTGGACAGAGGTACACTAGGAGAGCATCTATAGAGCATTCATCCTCTTCATCAGCTCTCCATCCTTTCAGGGGTTATCCTGGGCCCTTTTCCCCTTCCTCCCTGCTTGGCAATTCTTACCTGAAAGGCCTTCTGTGTTTGGGAGATGGACAAACTCTCTCCACTGTTCCTCTTCTTGCTCAAGCTTGGTGATTAGCTCTGGCTTATGCAGAAAGATTCTGGCTGATGTGTGGGAATGAGAAAGAGTTGAGTTGGTCCCAGGTATGGCCCCTTCACATCTGATGGGGACAACAGGCTACCTCCTGTAGCCTTTGTTTAAGAACCATAACCTGGGACATGTAGATGCGGAAAGGAGACATTAAAAGGCCAGCTGCTAGCAAAGTACCTGGTTCTCAGGAGTGACTTAGTAAATATTTGTTTGATGAATGGAAAAATTTGCATATTTTGAGAACACTGTCATCATGTTACAAGTGTTATCTTTGCCTTCATGCAGGCTATCATTTCTTCTCTTTACCACTGAGCTTAGTGACTCAGATCTTTCACACCTGGAAAGCATAGAACCAGGGGTCAGTGAAACTAATTGTAAGCTGATCTACCTGTCCAGGGAAACCAGATGTTCCAGGGCCCTTAGGACAGGGGGCTTGCTGAGGGAAGCCCAGCCTCTTACCCACAGATGTTAGATTCTTAAAGGTTTCCGACATAACATCCTGGTAAAGGACCCTCTGGCTGGCATCTAGACAGTCCCACTCTTCCTGGGTGAAATTCACTGCCACATCCTCAAAGGTGACTGGCTTCTGGAAGAACAGGAGAGACTCAAGAAGTTTATATAAATATATATGTGTGTGTGTGTGTGTGTGTGTACAAGATTAACATCCAGTCTCAAGATTCAGAGAATTAAAACCTAAGAGAAAGATAAAACCATGGAAGGAAGAGAGAAATATTAAAAGACAGACACAAGGCCAGCAACTGTGAAGTATAGAAAGGAAAGGAGGCCGGACGCGGTGGCTCACGCCTGTAATCCCAGCACTTTGGGAGGCTGAGGCAGGCAGATCACGAGGTCGGGAGTTCGAGACCAGCCTGACCAATATGGTGAAACCTGGTCTCTGCTAAAAACACAAAAATTAGCTGGGCATGGTGGCGCATGCCTGTAATCCCAGCTACTCAGGAGGCTGAGGCAGGAGAATTGCTTGAGCCCGGGAGGCAGAGGTAGCAGTGAGCCAAGATCGCGCCACCGCACTCCAGCCTGGGTGACAGAGCGAGACTCCGTCTCAAAAAAAAAAAAAAAGAAAAAAAAAAAAAGGAAAGGAAAGATGAAGAGAAAGGGAGAAAGATAAGATGTGGGGGAGAGGAAAGAGGATATGCAGATATGCAGAATATAAACAGGAAAGCAAAGCGAAGGAAAAAATGCTGCCACTCTAACAAATTTCAGGAAGTACTCCATGAAGGATGCCAGGATGGTGCGGGAGATGGAGAAAGGTCTTGCAGCTCCTTTTTCTGGATGTCGTTCAGTCTGGAACAATCTGAGATTTCATTTGACCTGCAGGCAGGAGTATGTATGAAAGAGCTCCTGGAGTCCAGGACCTGGACCCCACCTCTCTCTAGCTTAGTCTCCTCACCTTCTTCACCCGTGCCTCCCTCCAGCAATCTCTCTTCATGGCTTCCTGCAGGGTGGCAGCTACCTCGCCCACCCATGGGAGCGTCTTCTGTACAGGTTCGATTGGCTTCAGCTGTTCAAACATCTTCTCTTCTGTGGTGTCTCTTTCTAGCTTTATCCACTCCTGGCCTGGTGCCCAGGCCTGACTGGATTCCTTCCTGGGGCTATCTACCTCCCAGTAACTGGGCAGATGGAGAGGCCCAGCAAAGGCCCCAGGGTTTGATGTGGCTTCCTGTGACAAATGTATCTGCTCCAAGAGGCTGTCTTCCTTTTTTGTTCTGCTGTCCAAATTCTCCTCTTCCACAATTGAGAACAATTTTGCTTCCCTCAAAGCTGGGCCACCGAGTTCAGGGCCCTGGTCACCCTTGGCTCACCAGCTGCCATTGTTTAGTAACAACACCAGCCTGGGCTAGGTGTCTGCCGTCTGTTCTACCCTGCTTCTAGAAACCTGAGGTCAGAGAAAAACAAAACATATCAGCAAGAGGGAGGGTAAGAAACAGCTTCCTTATTTGGTCAGGGAATGCCAGCAGTTACTAAACCCCTACAGTGTGCCACTGGATGCTCTCAGCAATGAGGTAACAATTACTGGCCCTGTCTTAAGGACCTAATGCAGAGATGCTAAATAATTTTCCAAGGACAAGTGGACATTCTTGATCTACAAAAGTTAATGTTTAAACCTAATGTTAATGTTAGACTCAGTACCATTGGAAATCATGTAGCTGGGGTAACCAGGCTAGGATCTGTCACAGATCACCTCGAGTGAGTCTCTTTATTCTTTCTGACTTGGTTTCATCAGAAATGTGAGAATAAAGGAGACACTCTCTAAGATCTCTTCCATGACCAAAATTATACACACACACACACACACACAATTCTGTGATCTGGATTTTCAATACATGTAGTAGTTCCCCTTTATCATGGTTTTGCTTTCCAATGCTTCAGTTACCCATGGTCAACCATGGTTCAAAAATATTAAATGAAAAATTCCGGAGGACAGGCACAGTGGCTCACACCTGTAATCCCAGCATTTTGGGAGGCTGAGGTAGGCAGATCATCTGAGGTCAGGAGTTCGAGATCAGCCTGGTCAACATGGTGAAACCCTGTCTCTACTAAAAATACAAAAAGAAAATAGCTGGGCATAGTGGCACACATCTGTAATCCCAGCAACTCAGGAGGCTGAGGCAGGAGAATCACTTGAACCCTGGAGGTGGACGTTGCCATGAGCCAAGACTGCGCCACTGCACTCCAGCCTGGGACATAGAGCGAGACTCCGTCTCAAAAAAAAATCCAGAGATAAACAATTCCTAAGTTTTAAATTGCTTGACATTCTGAGTAGTGTGATGAAATCTTGTACCTTTTCTCTCTGGCCTGCCCAGGATGTGAATCATCCCTTTGACTAGCATATCCACACTGCAGACAATACCTGCCCATTAGTTCCTTAGTAGCTAGCCATCTCAGTTACCAGGTTGACTACTGTAGTATAGCAGTTGCCTGTGCTCAAGAATGCCTTATTTTACTTAATAATGACCCAAAAGCACAAGAGTAGAGACGCTGGAAATTCAGATATGCAAAGAGAAGCCATAAAATAAAAAGGTAAAAATTCTTGTCTTAAGGAAAGAAAAAATAATCATATGCTGAGGTTGCTAAGATTTACAATATAAATTATTTTGAGAGAGATACCACATTCATACAACTTTTATTACAATATATTGCTGTAATTGTTCTATCTTATTACTAGTTATTGTTGTCAATCTCTTACCATGCCTAATTTGTAAATTAAACTTTATCATTATTATGTATGTATAGAAAAAGAAAACCATAGTGTATACAGGGTTTGGTACTATTCATGGTTTCAAAGTATCCACTGGGGTGGGGCGCGGTGGATCACTTCAGGGCAGGAATTTGAGACCAGCCTGGCCAACATGGTGAAACCCCGTCTCTACTGAAAATACAAAAATTAGCTGGGCGTGGTGGCACGCTGTAGTCCCAGCTGCTCAGGATGCTGAGGCAGAATTACTTGAACCCGTGAGGTGAAGGTTGCAGTGAGCCAAGACTGTGCCACTGTACTCCAGCCTGGGTGACAGAGTGAGATTCTGCCTCAAACAACAACAAAAACAAAGTATCCACTAGAGCTCTTGGAACATATCACCTGTGGATAAGGGGAACCACTGTATATACAGATCTTTGTGAAGAATACTGCTAACAACCCAAGAGCAATCACTTATTCAGGGCTCACAATGAGCCCAGCACTGGAGTTCCCTGCTCATCCTTGGAAATTTCCTGCTCAGATGCAAACATAGCTGAACTCTCACCTTTTCCTGCTGACAGCCACTCACCCACATCTCCCTTACTAGAGATAGAAAGAAAAGAATAAAGACCAAAAAACCCTGTTGACTATTTTTTCCTTTCACTTTTTGAGAAGTGTTAATAGAACTGAAAATACCAGCAAGGAAAAACGCCCTCGAGGAATAGAGTTAATTGGATCTCCAAAATGTTGTCATGAAAGGTGCATTCCTGGGATATGAATTTGATTTCCTTCCTTTCTTCCTCTCTCTTTCTTTCCTCTCTCTCCCTTTCCTTTCCTGTCTTTCAAAACCATTCGCACTCCTTTTATGAGGCATGCAGATCTTGGATTATTCTTCCACTTTCCAGCCAACTGCACTTCAAAACAGCCTTAATAAGGCTGGGCACGGTGGCTCAGCCTGTAATCCCAACACTTGGGGAGGCCGAGGCGGGCGGATCACCTGAGGTCAGGAGTTTGAGACCAGCCTGACCAACATGGACCTCGTCTCTACTAAAAATACAAAATTATCCCGGCGTGGTGGCGCATGCCTGTAATCGTAGCTACTAGGGAGGCTGAGGCAGGAGAATCGCTTGAACCCGGGAGGCAGAGGTTGCGGTGAGCGGAGATCGCGCCATTGCACTCCAGCCAGGGAAATGAGAGTGAAACTCCGTCTCAAAAACAAACAAACAAACAAACAAACAAAAAAAACGCCTTAGTAACAGTGCCCTCAAGAACCTGGCCTTCCAGTTCTCTGGCAGAGAAGACCTACTGCTGCCGCTAGTCCTCAAGATGGCATTTGCTGGAGGCGGTAGGCAGAGGCCCTAAGTGTGGATTCTAACCCCCGTGGGGACTGAATCTCTGCGGCTGTTGCTTGCCCAGGCACGTTTGCCTCCCATGAACTTCCTTCATCCACAGGGCCCCAAACCTCATGCCGGCGGGAGGAGGAAGGAGACTGGGCATAACTCATCAGACTTTCGACTGTAAGAGCTGGAGGCCGCCTGCGGGCTTATCTGTACCCGGGCCTGTCCCCACCCTTCCAGAATGTAAATCCTCTGAGGGAATGTGTCGTCGCCATCTTTCAGTCCTTTGAGTGCACCCAGTCTCTCTCCAACCCAAAACCCTTTATCCACAGCAATTCTGAGAATGATGAGAATCCCCCTCACCCCTCACACCGCAAACAGTTGCAATGCTTAGTGGGATTCACCCTTGTCGTCACCAACCCTGCTACTCCAGCCACGTGAGTTTTCCGCCTGTCAGCCAAGCAAAATGGCCTTCCTGCAGTCGCACGGCCCTTTGGTCTCTGCTCAGGGCTTCGGGGACCCTTTCCAGCCATTGCCCTGCACCTACCCACCAGATCGCCGCCCTGGTGGGCGCTCCTGGCCCTGTCCTCCGCGCTTAGTTTGTCATTGGGCGCCCAGATCCGGAACCCCAGCCTCGAAGCTTCCGGTGGCCGGGAACAAAGCCGGTTTTGCTCACTGTTGCCTGGCAAAGCAGGCGCTTGTTAGCACCCACTGAATGCGCTTATGTGCTCAGAAACGGTCCCATTGGTTGGGACTACCTTCCCCGATGCCCATCCGCCCAGAATCTTCCTTCTGGGATGCCGACTTTTTCAACACGTGCCAGGAGCCCTTCCTCGGCCCGGAATCCCCAGAGTGCCCACAGTGGACAGGGCACCTGGATACACCCCAGACTAACCCACGTTTCCCCGGAGGACCCCAGAGGTTGGAAGCCCCTCCAAGATTGGGGCGCAGTGCTCCCCTGGCCTGCGGAAGAGTCAGAGGAGTGGGGACAACATCCAACATCAGCCTCTACTACCGCTAGCGCGACTCCCCGCCGCCGCTCTACTCACCTGACGCGCGCAGTGGACCGCGATTTAGGGGCACAGGGTCTCCCGGGGACCAGCGGGTGGAGCGCTCCGGCCGAGCACCCGCAGTCCCGGCGCCGCGGCCCCGCCCCGGCCCCGCCCTCTTCCGCTCCCTCCCAGTCATCAGGCCACCGAGAATGTGTGCCCCTTGACCCAGATGAGAGGGTGAGCCCGCCAAGGTCAAGCTTCCCATCCTAAGAATCATAGACAGCCCGGCCATGCACCACCACTTCGAGCCTCCAACCAACTGATAACTGCTGGTCCCAAGTAGCGCTAGGATTTTCGCTTTCCCAGTCTTAATTGACTCTAAAAGAAGAAGAAAAAAAAGCCTGGGCGCGGTTGCTCACACCTGTAATTCCGGCACTTTGGGAGGTCGAGGCTGGTGAATTACCTGAAGTCAGGAGTTCAAGACCACCCTGGCCAACATGGCGAAACCTCGTCTCTACTAAAAGTACAAAAATTAGCCAGGCGTGGTGGCGGGCGCCTGTAACCCCAGCTACTCAGGAGGCTGAGGCAGGAGAATCGCTTGAATCCGGGAGGTGGAGGTTGCAGTGAGCCCAGATCACGCCACTGCACTCCAGCCTGGGCAAAAAGAGTGAAACTCCATCTCAAAAAAAAAAAAAAAAAAAAAAAGGAAAGTATTTACGAAAAAAAAAAAAAAAAGACCAAAGTATTATGATTAAAACACGCGGCCGAGAGCGGTGGCTCACACCTGTAATCCCAGCACTTTGGGAGGCTGAGGGGGCGGATCACCTAAGGTCAGAAGTTCGACCTCAGCTTGGCCAATATGGCGAAACCTTGTCCCTATTAAAAATACAAAAGTTAGCCGGTGGTGGTGACGCACACCTGTAATCCCAGCTACTTGGGAGACATTGCCGTTACTGGGCAAGTGTTCTTTCAAGAGCATCTTATCTGAATTACTATAGTACTAAAGAATGTCTAGGCTAGGCCCCCGTGGCTCACTCCTGGAATGCTAACACTTTGGGAAGCTGAGGAGGGAGGATTGCTGGAGGCCAGGAGTTCAAGACCAACCTGGGCAACATAGCAAGACCCTTTCTCTAGAAAAAATGAAAACAACTTGGCCAGGTGTGGTGGTACATGCCTTTAGTCCTAGGTGCTTAGGAGGTTGAGGTGGGAGGATTGCTTGAGCCCAGGAGTTTGAGGTTACAGTGAGCTATGATTGCACCACTGCATTCCAGCCTTGGCAATGGAGTGAGGCCCTATTTCTAAACAGAACAAAAAAAAAGAATGCCTGCTGATAAACCTTGTGACAGGACATTCATGAAGGATGAAGAAAAGATTTCTTTTATTTTTTTATTTTTATTTTTTTGAGACAGAGTCTCGCTCTGTTGCCCTGGCTGGAGTGCAGTGGCGCCATCTCAGCTCACTGCAACCTCCAACTCCTGAGTAGCTGGGATTACAGGTGCGTGCCACCATACCCGGTTAATTTTTTTTTTTTTTTTTTTTTTTAGTAGACACAGGGTTTCACCATGTTGGTCAGGCTGGTCTCAAACTCCTGACCTCATGATCTGCCTGCCTCAGCCTCCCAAAGTGCTGGGATTACAGGCGTGAGCCACCGCGCCCGGCTAGAAAAGATTTCTTTCTTTTTTCTTTTTTTTTTTAAATTATACTGTAAGTTTTAGGGTACATATGCACAACATGCCGGTTAGTTACATATGTATACATGTGCCATGTTGGTGTGCTGCACCCATAACTCATCATTTAACATTAGATATATCTCCTAATGCTATCCCTCCCCACTCCCTAGAAAAGATTTCTTGTGGAATTTTTAAAAAGTCCTTTGAAACAATTCTTTTCTTTTCTTTTTTTTTTTTTTTTTCGATACAGAGTTTCGCTCTTGTTGCCCAGGCTAGAGTGCAATGGCATGATCTCGGCTCACTGCAACCTCCACCTCCCGGGTTCAAGCGATTCTCCTGCCTCAGCCTCCCAAGTAGCTGGGATTACAGGCATGCACCACCATGCCTGGCAAATTTTGTATTTTTAGTAGAGATGGGGTTTCTCCATGTTGGTCAGGCTGTTCTCGAACTCCCGACCTCAGGTGATCCACCCACCTCGGCCTCCCAAAGTGCTGGGATTACAGGCATGAGCTACCACGCCCAACTTAACAATTCTTACTTCAAACATGTAAGCATGACGTTCCTCTCCTTCATGCCTTCCTGGCCATTTTTTTTTTTTTTTTTTTTTTTTTGAGACAGAGTCTTGCTTCTTCACCTAGGCTAGCGTGCAATGGTGTGATCTTGGCTCACTGCAACCTCCACCTCCCAGGTTCAAGCAATTCTCGTGCCTCAGCCTCCCCAGTAGCTGGGATTACAGCCACATGCCAGCACGTCCGACTAATTTTTGTACTTTTAGTAGAGATGGGGGTTTCACTATGTAGGCCAGGCTGGTCTCGAACTCCTGACCTCAGGTGATCCGCTCGCCTCGGCCTCCCAAAGTGCTGGGACTACAAGCATAAGCCACCGTGCCTGGCCTGGCCCTATTTTATCTGGGTCTGACAAAAGTTATTTCATCCTAGTATCTGCAATTTTTCCGCAGAAAATTACAGAGACGCACAGTGAATGTGAAAGGAGGGAAATTAACAATAGCTATTGGCAGAGCCAAACAAATCATTACACTTTAGCTGGATCATCTGGGAGTTGAGACGTTGAGGGTATAAGGAGGTAGCATGTCAATGCTTGTTAAGAAAGAATGGCAACAACTGTGCTGCCTTACAGATCAGCACCTTCTGCAGTCTGCGAGCCCAACCTTAGATCCATTTGTAGGCAACAGTAAAAGGTCTCATATTTTCATCGCAGTGAGCCCTGACTGCCATTAGGAAGATTTGGTCCTCTAGGTAAGATTTCCCTGAGACAAAGTACTATGGGAAATCAAGTGCATATTCAGCCTCTTAGTACTCTGGGTTGGTGTTACCGTACTGACGAAGGCGATCCATTGATGAAAAACAAACTGACCTAAAGAAATGTAAATAAATGCTTGCAGTCAGCCCTGTTCCTCTGAAAAATTCCCCTAGCCCTTATGTTGAAACCTGATGAGAACTTTAAAAATGTTAACTTGGTAATGGACGGAATCCTCCTCATTCAAGGTTACCCCTGTGCAAGTCAAGCTCAAGTCAGCCTGAAGGTGCAAACCCCATGGACTCAGCCAGAGCCTATGGCTGTGGGTGCTAGATCCAAGGCCAAAATTGATGGCATCAGCCATCAGGATGTTTCTGCCCAATATAAAGTATTGGGTGGGCTGAGAACACTGAAAGCTTGCCATGCAGAAAGAAACTGAAAGTAAATGCGTGACTTTAATGGAACAGAACTTGTTTCTCCCTCCATGCTCCCGATCCCTTTAGATCCCTTTATCTCACCTCAGCCACTTTAAGACAAAAGGTGATTAGAGGTGTAGAGAAGTTCTAATGGGATACATTCATTTGCAGTAGTCCCCCAAGGTACTGTGATAGGCAGAATTCTAAAGATGCTTTCCCCCTCAAGATTGCTTCCCCTGGTTATTCAGTCAAATACTAATCAAAGTACAGATGCTCTTCAATTTAAAATGGGGTTATGTTTCAATAAAACCATTGTAACTGAAAAATATTTTCAAGTGGAAAATGCATTTAATGCACCTAACCTACTGAATATATTAGCTCAGCCTAGCCTACCTTAAATGTGCTCAGAACACATTTGCCTACAGTTGGGCAAAATCACTTAACACAAATCCCATTGTATGATAAAGTGTTGACTATCTCATGTAACTGGTTGCATACAGTACAGTATAGAGTACAGTATCAGTTGTTACCATCATAATTGTGTGGCTGATGGGAGCTGCAGCTCACTACTGCTGTCCAGCACCGTCACAGAGTATCATACTCTCTAACCCAGGAAAATATCAAAATTCAAAGTACAGTTTATACTGAATGTGTGTTGCTTTCACATCATCATAAAGTTGAAAAACTGTAAGTTGAGCCATCGTAAATCAGGGACCATCTGCACCACTATGTAGGGATTATGCTGTTGTAATTGAAGTCCCAAGACAATTGACCATAAAACAGGTTATCTGGTTGGGCCTGATCTAACCACATGAACTCCTTAAGGGGCAGAAAAAACAAAGATCAAAGAGAAGTTGGGAAGATTCAAAGCAAAAGAAGTATTCAGTGTACCATGGCTGTGTTTCAAGATGGAGGTGGCCATGAGCAAAAGAATGCAGGTAACTTCCAGAAGCTGAGAGCAACCCTTGGTTGACAGCTAGCAAGGAAACAGGAACCTAATTCCTACAATCACTTCTTCTCCCCTTGTCTTCTTCCCTTTCTTCGTGTGTAAGCGCATTATACTGTCTCTGTAAGCACAAAAATTGCCTAAAATTTAAGTGTAGTTTTCTGATCGCTTGTAAAACTGACACAGCTGTAATTATCATCCATGTGAAAAACACCATCCCAGTTAGAAACCTGTGAGCCTCTCCCCAAGCAGAACCCATTGATCCTACACAGGTGTCATCAGAGCTGATTCCTTTCTATGCCCCTTTATCTCTAATGTCCCTATTCTGTTCCTGTTTTCACTTCACCAGCAGCTTCTCCAACTCCCTAGGCCAATGCCCTGAGAATTTCCCTTCCTCTCCCCCATCCTAGGGATGGAGAGTAGGGGTTGGTCCCCAGGATAAGCCACATTTATCCCTGGAAGCAGCAGCAGAAGTGACAGTATGTTTGTGGGGTCCACTTGTAACCTGGGAACCACTTGTTTTGGCCTGGAAACCTCGCTCTGTCCCGAGGTCAGAATCCACGGTCACTAGGTGGAGAGGAAACATCTATGTCAGCGTGGATTTGGGAAACACTTCAGATTCCGAGCCTAACACGGGACTGGGGCGCCCCCTTGGGTACGTTGTCCTGTCCAGTTGCTGAAAGCCAAAGGTGACAATGGGGAGGTCTCAACCTGAGGAGGAGGCCAAAAGAGTCTGGTCTTCTGTTCTCAGCCCGGTGACCACACACAAGTGCCGATGTTCTGCTCTCTTGGATTCTGATTGAGCAGCCTGGGAGAGGACTGGGCTGCAGTCTAAACTGGACAGATATGGCTGGTGTGGAGGCTGGCTGTCAATGAGGGAGTGAAGGTAAGCCGCTCGAAAAGTAGATAATTTTTACTTCCACTTTCTTTTTCTTTCCTGAGCACTAGTTATAAAAATATCCTTTTAAAATCTAAAATATTGGCCAGGCACGGTGGCTCACACTTGTAATCCCAGCACTTTGGGAGGCCGAGGCAGATGGATTACCTGAGGTGGGGGGTTTGAGACCAGCCTGACCAATATGGAGAAATCCTCTCTCTACTAAAAATACAAAATTAGCCGGGCATGGTGGTGCATTCCTGTAATCCCAGCTACTCAGGAGGCTGAGGCAGGAGAATCTCTTGAGCCTGGGAGGTGGAGGTTGCGGTGAGCCAAGATCGCGCCATTGCACTCCAGCCTGGGCAACAAGAGCAAAACTCCGTCTCAAAAATCAAATCAAATCAAATCAAATCTACAATATTTTTGGATTTACAGAAAAGTTGCAAAGATAGTACATAGTTCTCGTATGTTCCACATTCAGTTTCCCCTATTATTAATGTCTTATTTTATTATACATTTGTGACAGGTTATGAAACAATATTGATACATTGTTACTAACTCCTATTTTATTTGGATTTTATTCTTTTCCCTAACATCACTTTTATGTTCCAGGATCCCATCCAGGATACATTACATTTAGTCCCCTTTATATCTCCTTAGCCTCCTCTGGTCTGTGACAATTTCTCAGACCTCGTTTTTGATAATTTGGTATTTCTTGAGGAGTACTAGTGAGGCATATTGTAAAATGTCCCTTAATTTGAGTGTGGTTGACAGGGCTATAGGTTTGGGGGAAGAAGAGCACAGAGATGAAATGCAATACTCTCAATACAACATACCAAGAGTGTATATTACCCAGTTGATTTATCAAATGATTATGTTAACCTCCATCACTTGGCTAGGGCAGTGTTTCCCAGTCTATAATATATGATTTTTAATAGCAGCCCAAAAAGACTAAAACACTTGCCCTTGCATGAAGAACCCTGTCTGACTTCCGGGAGCCCAAGGAGACGCAGGGGAGGTCCACAGCGAGAAGAAAAGGGGGCTCAGGTCGTCTGTCCTCAGGTCTATGGCCACTTGGGGGTGGCACCTCTCTGGTGTCTCAGACACAAATTGAGCAATCAGAAAAGGCTGGGATGTCTGTGGTCTGAGTTGGGCAGAGGTGACTGACCCTGGAACCTGACATCAATAGGGGGATGAAGACAATTTCTGAGCAGCCCCAGTAGTCAGAGGACAAGAGAACTCTGGAGCCCCACACTGTCTCTGAGGTTCCAATCTTTTCTCCCTCTTCCCAGCCCCTTGATAGGAAACCCTGGGAAAACTAAAAAGTATACTGTTTTTTCTTTAACTCCCTATTCCTTTCCTCTTCTGAGGGTTGTTGTTGTTGTTTTTTTTTAATAAACTTATTAATTTTAGAATACTTTTAGATTACACAAAAGTTGAAAAGATAATACATAGTTCTCACATATGTCACACTCAGCTCCCCATTGTTAACATATTTTTTTTTTTTTTGAGGGAGTCTCACTCTGTCGCCCAGGCTGAAGTGCAGTGGCACAATTTCGGCTCACTGCAACCTCTGCCTCCGGGTTTCAAGCCATTCTCCTGCCTCAGCCTCCTGAGTAGCTAGGATTACAGGTGCGCGCCACCATGCCCAGCTAGTTTTTGTAGTTTTAGTAAAGACAGGGTTCCACCACATTGGCCAGGCTGGTCTCGAACTCCTGACCTCAGGTGATCTACCCGCTCAGCTTCCCAAAGTGCTGGCATTACAGGTGTGTGCCACTGCCCCCAGCCCCATTGTTAACATCTTATATCACTATTATACATTTTTCACAACCAGTGAGACAATATTAATATAGTATCACTAAACTTTATTTCGATTTCATTAGCTCTTTCTGTTTTGAAACAAAGTCTTGCTCTGTCACCCAGGCCGGAGTGCAATGGCATGATGTCCACTCACTGCAACCTCCACCTCCCGAGTTCAAATGATTTTCATGCCTCAGCCTCCTGAATAGCTGTGACTACAGACACATGCCACCGTGCCTGGCTGATTTCTGTATTTTTAGTAGAGACAGGATTTCACCATGTTGGTCAGGCTGGTCTCTTACTCCTGACCTAAAGTGATCCACCCGCCTTGGCCTCCCAAAGTGCTAGGATTACAGGTGTGAGCCACCATGCCCAGCCAGGTTTCATTAGTTCTTTTAACTTCCTTTTTCTGTCACAGGATTTCATCGAGGATATCACATTGTATTTAGTCCTAATCATGTCTCCTTAAGGCTCCTCCAGGTTGACTTTGTTTTCAATGACTGTCTTAGTATGTTGAGTATTACTATAACAGAATAACTTGAAACTGGGTAGTTTATAAAGAGAAGATGTTTATTTAGCTCATGATTTTGCAGGCTGGGAAGTTCAACAGGATAGTGCTGGATCTGGCAAACTTCTGGTGAAGGCCAAATGTTAGGTCAAAACATTTTGGAGAAGGGGAAAAGTGAGTGGCATGTGCAAAAACATCACATGGGGAGACAGGGAAGCAAGAGAGAGTCTAGGAAACCAAACTTGCTTTTATAACAACCTGCTTTTTGGTAACTAACCTAGCCCCAACAGAGTAATAAATTACTCGCTCATGTGGGAGGACATTAATCTATTCATGAAGGATCTGCTCCTGATGACCCAAACGCCTCCCACTAAGCCCCACCTCCAACACCACCACCACATTGAGAACTTTTTTTTTTTTGCCTGAGGTTGGGAGTTTGAGACCAGCCTCACCAACATGGATAAACCCTGTCTCTACTAAAAATAGAAAATTAGCCAGGTGTGATGGCACATGCCTGTAATCCCAGTTATTCAGGAGGCTGAGGCAGGAGAATTGCTTGAACCCGGGAGGTGGAAGTTGCAGTGAGCCAAGATCATGCCATTGCACTCCAGCCTGGGCAACAAGAGTGAAACTCTGTCTCAAAGAAAAAAAAAAAAGAGTAAACAAAATTTAATTTTCCTAATGGAAAAAATTATGGTGCATTCTATAACAATAGAGGACTCACAGAAAACTTTGCAGGTAGATATATCAATAGAGCAATGAAAACAAAGGTATGTAAGTAGTAAATAGAAACTTCAGAGTAAATAGGTAAGAATTCCACAAAACTCAATGTACTGAAGGTTCATTTTACTCTCTAAAGGAGGAAGAACAGTCGTCTTGATGGGTGTGTTTAAGGGGCAATGATTGTGATGGAGTCTCAAATATTTCCTGACAGATTTTCTGATGTGTAACAATTTTCCTGAAAATGCAAATGATTCAGATCTTTTCTTTATCTTTCATTGTTTATTAATATCATATAAACACCAGCCTGACAAAAATGGTGAAACCCCATCTGTACTAAAAATACAAAAATTGGCCGGGCGTGGTGGCACGTGCCTGTAATCCCAGCTACTCAGGAGGCTGAGGCAGGAGAATCCCGTGAACCAGGGAGGCAGAAGTTTGCAGTGAGCCGAGATCGCGCCATTACACTCCAGCCTGGGCGACAGAGTGAGACTCTGTCCGCCCCGCGCCCCCCTCCCCCCACAAAAAATAAACAGCAGAACACCTTAACTATGAAGAGAATACAATATCATTCATTTGCTCTCTTTTTTTCTAGTATCATTTATCACACACACACACCCTCACACCTTTTGCTCAATAGGTAAACATCTCTTTCACTTCTGTATCACTTTCTTTCTTTCTTTCTTTCTTTTTTTTTTTGAGACGGAGTCTCGCCCTTTAAGTGCAGTTGCGCTGTCTCTGCTCACTGCAAGCTCCGCCTCCCGGGTTCACGCCATTCTCCTGCCTCAGCCTCCCGAGTAGCTGGGACTACAGGCGCCCGCCACCGTGCCGGGCTAATTCTTTGTATTTTTAGTAGAGACTGAGTTTCACCTGTTAGCCAGGATGGTCTCGATCTCCTGACCTCGTGATCCGCCCTCCTCGGCTTCCCAAAGTGCTAGGATTACAGGCGTGAGCCACCGCGCCTGGCCTCTGTACCATTTTCTCCACTTTGAGGCAGAGTCTCTCTCTGTCGCCCAGGCTGGAGTGCAGTGGCGGGATCTCGGCTCACTGCAAGCTCCACCTCCCGGGTTCACGCCATTCGTCTGCCTCAGCCTCCAGAGTAGCTGGGACTACAGGTGCCCGCCACCACGCCCGGCTAATTTTTTTGTATTTTTAGTAGAGACGAGGTTTCACCTCGTTAGCCAGGATGGTCTCGATCTCCTGACCTAGTGATCCGCCCGCCTCGGCCTCCCAAAGTGCTGGGATGATAGGCGTGAGCCACCGCGCCCGGCCTTTTTAAGACAGAGTTTCGCTCTTGTTGCCCAGGCTGGAGTGCAATGGCCCGATCTTGGCCCACCACAACCTCTGCCTCCTGGGTTCAAGTCAAGCGATTCTCCTGCCTCAGCCTTCCGAGTAGCTGGGATTACAGGCATGCACCACCACGCCTGCCTAATTTGTATTTTCAGTAGAGAGGGGGTTTCTCCATGTTGGTCAGGCTGGTCTCAAACTCCCAACCTCAGGTGATCCGCCGGCCTTGGCCTCCCAATTTCCTGGGATTACAGGCGTGAGCCACCGCACCCAGCCTGGTTTAATACTTTTTATTTAGTGGCACAATGCCCAGGAATGAATTAAAGTCATTAAATGAGGACTAGGTTGCTATGCACTTGGCTGTTTCTGGACTTCCTGTGCTGTTCCATTGGTTGGTCTATTCATTCACCAGTGCCACACTGTTCTAGTGACAGGGAATTTGTAAAATATTTAACTATTAGGCATAACTAGACACCCAATTCTCAATTTGTTTTTTTCCCCCAAGGGATTTTCTAATTATTCTTATTTATTTTCTCATGTGAACTTTATAATCTACTTGTCTAGCTTGAGAAAAAAAGTAGTTGTTGGCATTTTGATTAGGAGGTATTACATTTGAAAATTTACTCTGCAAATGTGCTGTATAGTCTTCCTATTTGAGAATGTTCTTCTGTACTACACAGCCATAAAAAGGAATGAATTAACAGCATTTTCAGTGACCTGGATGAGATTGGAGACTGTTATTCTAAGTGAAATAACTCAGGAATGGGAAACCAAACATTGTATGTTCTCACTGATATGTAGAAGCTGAGTTATGAAGACACAAAGGCATATGAATGATGCAATGGACTTTGGGGACTTGAGAGGAAGAGTAGGAGGGGGCAAGGGACAGAAGACTACAAGGTGCAGTGTATACTGCTCGGGTGATAAGTGCATCGAAATCTCACAAATCACCACTAAAGAACTTACTCGTGTAACCGAATACCACCTGTACCCCAAGAACTTATGGAAAAGAAAAAAAAGTTCTTCATTTTTTTTTTTTTTTTTTTTGAAATGGACTCTCATTCTGTCACCCAGGCTGGAGTGCAGAGGTGTGACCTTGGCTCACCACAACCTCCACTTCCCAGGTTCAAGCCATTCTCCTGCCTCAGCCTCCCAGGTAGTTGGGATTATAGGCTCACACCACCACACCCGGCTAATTTTTGTATTTTTAGTAGAAGCAGGGTTTCACCACTTGGCCAGGCTGGTCTCAAACTCCTGATCTCAGGTGATCCTCCAACCTCAGCCTGCCAAAGTGCTGAGATTACAGGCGTGAGACACCGCACCCGGCCCGATTTGTTCATATCTAATTTTTAAATTTCAGATGTGTTTTAATGTTTTCATTTAAAGTTTGCACACTTCTTAGTAATTTTTTTCATTAAAAACCTTTTTGTTTCTATTATATATGAGGTTATCGCCTCACAAAAATTTTAACTTTTTATTGTTTATATGAACAAAGGCAATTGTTTAATGTTTGGGAATTTATATGCTACTATATGCTATTTCTTTTCTTTTCTTTTCCTTTACTTTTTTGTTTTTTTTGAGAGGGAATTTCACTCTTGTCGCCCAGGCTGGAGTGCAATGGCGCGATCTGGGCTCACTGCAACCTCTGCCTCCTGGGTTCAAGCGATTCTCCTGCCTCAGCCTCCCAAGTAGCTGGGATTTATAGGCACGCACCACCATACCCGGCTAATTTTGTATTTTTAATAGAGGCAGGTTTTCACCACGTTGGCCAGGCTGGTCTTGAATTCCTGATCTCAGGTGATCTGCCTGCCTCAGCCTCCCAAAGCGCTGGGATTAGTCGTGAGCCACCTCGCCCGGCCTAGTCCCTTCTTTCAAATTTCATCACCACTCTTTGCTTGTTTTTCTTTTTTTCTTTTCTTTTCTTTTTTTTTTTTTTGAGACAGAATCTCGCTCTGTCAGCCAGGCTGGAGTGCAGTGGCACGATCTCGGCTCACTGCAAGCTCCGCCTCCCAGGTTGAAGCGATTCTCCTGCCTCAGCCTCCTGAGCAGCTGGGACTACAGGTGCGTGCCACCATGCCCAGCTAATTTTTGTATTTTTAATAGAGGTGGAGTTTCTCCATACTGGCCAGGCTGGTCTCTAACTCCTGATCTCGTGATCCGCCCACCTCAGCCTCCCAAAGAGCTAGGATTACAGGTGTGAGTCACCGCGTCCGGCCGCAATTTTTTTTTTTTTTTTTTTTTTGAGAAGGAGTCTGGCTCTTGTTGCCCAGGCTAGAGTGCAATGGCGCCATATTGTAGCAGGACGAGCCGCAGACAAAACTCCTCAGACACCGAGTTAAAGAAGGAATGGGTTTATTCGGCCGGGGGCATCGGCAAGACTCCTGTCTCAGGAGCCGAGCTCCCCCAGTGAGCAATTTCTGTCCCTTTTAAGGGATCACAACTCTAAGGGGGTGCGCTTGAGAGGGCCGTGATCGATTGAGCAAGCAGGGGTTATGTGACTAGGGGCTGCATGTCCCAGTAATTAGATCGGAACAAACAGGATAGGGATTTTCACAGTGCTTTTTTTTTTTTTTTTTTTTTTTTTTTTTGAGACGGAGTCTCGCTCCGTTGTCCAGGCTGGCGTGCAGTGGCGCGATCTCGGCTCACTGCAAGCTCCACCTCCCGGGTTCTCGCCATTCTCCTTCCTGCCTCAGCTTCCGGAGTAGCTGGGACTACAGGCGCCTGCAACCACGCCCGGCTAATTTTTTGTATTTTTAGTAGAGACGGGGTTTCACTGTGTTACCCAGGACAGTATCGATCTCCTGACCTCGTGATCCACCCACCTTAGCCTCCCAAAGTACTGGGATTACAGGCGTGACCCACCGTGCCCGGCCTGAAAAATCCACTGTTAGGCTGATGGAATTTCCTATATAGGTTTTTAGGACACTTTTTCTCTTCTCTTGCTCATTTTAAGATTTTTTTTCCTTTACATTGAGTTTAGATTGTCTGATGACTATTTGTCTTGGTGAAGTCCATCTTGCAATGTATTTTCCAGGAGTTCTCTAAGTATCTTCTATCTGGATTTTAAATCTCTAGCCAGGGTTAGGGAAGTTTTCCTCAATTATTTCCTCAAGTAGATTTTCCACACTTTTTACACTTCATTCTCCCTTAGGAATACCTATGATTCATGGGTTCAGATGTTTTACATAACCCCATACTTCCTGAAGGCTTTGTTCATATTTTAATTCTCTTTTCTTTCTTTTTGTCTGACTGGGTTAATTTGAAAGACCTGTCTTCAAGCTCTGAAATTCTTTCTTCTGCTTGGTCTAGTCTATTGTTAAAGCTTTCAGCTGCATTTGGAACTACTTTGATGAATTTTTTATTTCCAGGTGGTTTAATTTTTTTTTTTTTTTTTCTTTTGAGAAGGAGTCTCACTCTGTCGCCCAGGCTGGAGTGCAGTGGCGCAATCTCGGCTCACTGCAAGCTCCGCCTCCCGGGTTCAGACCATTCTCCTGCCTCAGCCTCCTGAGTAGCTGGGACTACAGGCGCCTGCAACCAGGCCCGGCTAATTTTTTGTATTTTGAGTAGAGACGAGGTTTCACTGTGTTAGCCAGGATGGTCTAGATCTCCTGGCCTCGTGATCTGCCCGCCTCAGCCTCCCAAAATGCTGGGATTACAGGCGTGAGCCACCGCGCCCAGCCCAGGTGGTTTACTTTTTTAAAAATATTTATCTCTTGGTAAATTTTTTATTCATATGCTGAATTGATTTTTTACATTTCTTTGTGTTGTTTTCAACTTTCTCTTGGATTTCATTGAGCTTCTTTATAATCATTATTTTGAATTATTTATTTGGTATTTCAAAGATTTTATTTTTGTTAGGATCTATTGCTAGAAAGTTAGTGTAATGTTTTGGGGATGTCATAACACTCTATTTTTTCAGAGTATGTTTTCAAAACATTCTACTGTTTTCAACAGAGAAACAAAGGACTTACTTAAAAAATAGAAAACATAGAGAGTTCCAGAATCATTTCTTTGGTTCCTTCTCATCTGTAGAAACTTTCTCTTCTTATTTTTGAATTTATTTCATTTGGGCAGGATTTTTTTTCCCTTTACAATGTGACTATAATGTATGTTGTTTAAGGTCCTTTGCATTTGGTTGTGAATGCTTTCAGTGGCAAAGACTCTGTAGTTGTCCCCTGGTTATAGATAGCCTTTGTATGGTGGCTTTCTCAAATGCCAGTTGTGGTGGTGATGTACTGGGAGTGTGAACAGGCTCACAGCCTCCTGCAGGGCCAGGATGGCAGAGGTTTAAGAAGTTTATCTCATTTCCTCTTTTGGAAGAGATGAGAAGTTTATTTCCACTCATGTGCCCTTTTGTCAACTGATTTGTATTGAGGTGCGTGGTTCAGCCTCCAGAACAGTAGGTGGGCTTATGCCTAAAAGCCTATGTGGCAGAAGCACGTGAGTATATGCTTCATCATTGTATACCTAGAAAAGTTCTCTGTTGCCTCAGGAAATGTGCTGGTAAGTGGAATGTACAGCAGCCTGGGCTCCCTGCTCAGCACCAGAGAGGGGGACATAGCTGAGTAGAGCTGGATCCCCAAGCCTGCCCCACAATGGTGAGCACAGGCAGCAGCTTTCAGGCAGGAGTGGTGGCATGGGAAACTTCTGGTGAAACGTGCCTAGGTCTCCACAGATGAGGAGAGGGCTGCCCCAGCTTCATGACCTGGCCAGGCAGGAATGCCATCCATTTCCCTGTCATTCCCTAGTCCTGGCATCGGGGAAACTCAAATTGACCAGACACTACTCTCTATCTCCAACTGCAATGTAGTTGAGACTCATTAAAGATGTCTTCTCCTCAGCTCACCATTTAAATGTCTTTGGTGCAGAGCATCCTCCCTCAACCCCAAACACATAGCTTTTCTTTTTCTTTTTTTTTTTTGAGATGGAGTTTTGCTCTTGTTGCCCAGGCTGGAGTGCAATGGCGTGATCTCAGCTCACCGCAACCTCCACCTCCCAGGTTCAAGCAATTCTCCTGCCTCAGCCTCTCGAGTACCTGGGATTACAGGCATGCGCCACCACGCCTGGCTAATTGTTTTTGTAGTTTTAGTAGAGACAGGGTTTCTCCATGTTGGTCAGGCTGGTCTTGAACTCCTGACCTCAGATGATCCGCCCACCTCGGCCTCCCAAAGTGCTGGGATTACAGGCGTGAGCCACCGCGCCTGGCCTGCACATAGCTTTTCAGCTTTCCTGCTCTCCACTGCAGGAATGCTAGCACTCCCTGTAGAGAGGGGAAAGGGCCCTGTCTTTCACACAAGCCTGGCCCAAATGGCCACACTGCCAGTGGAAACACAGTCACCCCTGATAGCCCTAGAAAGGCTCTTCTCTGGCACACGTGCCAATTTCCCATGGGAGTGGCCATGCTGTGTTTGAAGCAGTGGTGGATGGGGGAAGGGCAGGAGAATTTCCCCTTTCCATGCCTGATTCTAAGCACTGGGGCTGCTTGGCTGCTGGGATGGAACTACACTCCTTCAGCGCAGAGCTGAACACAGTGTCCACGACTCTGCTGGAAGTGGTGCAGTCACTCAGCCCACAAACAAGGAGCTCTTGGACACAGATGAGTACATGGCCTGGCCTCCTTTGTCCCAACTGGTACTTTTTTTGTGTACTGCAGTCTCCCTTTCCTTAGGAGCAGCAATCCCTGATGGCTAGACCACTGGGAACCCTGCAGCTCCACTGGGTCCAGCCAGCCCTGTGTGGCTGCCACAATCCAAGTGGGCACTGGGGGCATGGCTGCAGGAGCTTCTGTGATGTGAATATACAAAGGTTGGGGTTCCCTGGGAAGGACACAGTCCCCTGATGGCTACACTCTTAATATGGCACCCTGCCAACACTGCCCGAGTCTGGAGGAGGGACAGGTGACCCAGCGCAAGTTGGTTGTCTGGTGTGATGCCCTCCAGAAGTTCCCAAATCGCCATGCACATCAGTGTTTGGCTTTGTGAGGGCAGAAGGGCTCTCCGACAGTTCAGATACTGGTGGTCTTCCTTAGGGATGACGGGAGTCAAAACACTCCTATCTTACCTGTCAATGAAATACCAAGTCTCTCAAGGTTCCTAGCTGATTTCTGCCAGCTTCTTACTTTCTTCTTTTTTTCTGTCTCAGCTTTTCCCCATGAGTTCTGAAACATTCTGACGTGATTCTGACAGCTATTTCCACACTCAGGCTGGGCCCTGGAGGAGTGCCCTCTGCTGGTTCTCTGAGACCTGTGGCTGGGATCATCTCTGATAAGGTTTGGGTGTTTGTCCCCTCCAAATCTCATGTTGAAAGATCCCCAGTGTTGGAGCTGGGGCCTAGTGGGAGGCGTTTGGGTCATGGAAGCGTTTCTCTCATGAGTGGCTTAGTACCCTGCCCATGGTAATGAGTGAGCTTTCACTCTATTCGTTCACACGAGAGCTGATTATTTAAAAGAGCCTAGCAGCTCTCTTGCTCCTTCTCTCTCCATGTGACACACCTTCTCTTCCTTTGCCTTCTGCCACAAGTAAAAGCTTCCTGAGACTTCACCAGAATCCTAGTGGAGCTGGCCCCATGATTGTACAGCCTGCAGAACTGTGAGCCAAATAAATCTCTTTTCTTTATAAATTACTTAAACCCAGGTATTCCTTTACAACAACGCAAATGGACTAATACAGTCTCCCTCTGCTGCCTCCAAGGTCACTCCTTGATCTTCACTGCTTTAGGCAGCCTTTTACCCTACTTTGTAGTTGGAGCTTCAGGGGCTTAACATCTTAAAAGTTTTATTTTTTTTTTTAATTTATGCTTTTTAAAAAAATTTTTTTGAGATGGAGTTTTGCTCTTGTTGCCCAGGCTGGAGTGCAATGGTGTGATCTCGGCTCACCGCAACCTCTGCCTCCTGGGTTCAAGCGATTCTCCTGCCTCAGCCTCCCAAGTAGGTGGGATTACAGGCGCACGACACCATGCTCGGCTAATTTTTGTTGTTTTAGTAGAAACAGGGTTTCACCATGTTGGTCAGGCTGGTCTCGAACTCCCGACCTCACGATCCGCCCGCCTTGGCCTCCCAAAATGCTGGGATTACAGGCATGAACCACCGCACCCAGCCAAACGATTTTTTAAAAATAATTACTATGTATAAAATAACAAATAGGTAATTTGGGTAATTTTATTTTGAACTCTTTGGCTACATATTTTATGTACATATTGTCTCAGCAATCAGGAATTAAAATTTATAAACACTATTAACAAGCAATACTCTCTGATTTGAAGGAGAATCTAATTTGGAAGTCAGTCACATGATGATTGTGTTTTTAAGTTTTTTTTTCCATGCATTTGTTATTTTATGAATTGGTCTGAATGATGAGGCCAGGCAAGTGTATACATCTTTTCACTGGTAGAAAAATCTGTAGCAAAGCCTGTGCCCTTTTTACAACAATGACTTTTTTTTTTTTTTTTTTTGAGATGAAGTCTCACTCTTGTGGCCCAGGCTGGAGTGCAATGGTGCTATCTGGGCTCACT
Source organism: Homo sapiens (assembly GCF_000001405.40). NCBI lineage: Eukaryota > Metazoa > Chordata > Mammalia > Primates > Hominidae > Homo > Homo sapiens. The sequence continues at coordinate 963,100 of NT_167246.2, forward strand.
GCAACCTCCATCTCCTGCCTCAACCTCCCGAGTAGCTGGGATTACAGGCGCCCATCAACACGCCTGGCTAATTTTTGTATTTTTGGTAGAGGCGGGGTTTCACCATGTTGGCCAGGCTGGTCTTGAACCCCTGACCTCAGGTGATCCACCCGCCTCGGCCTCCCAAAGTGCTGGGATTACAGGCATGAGCAACCACACCCAGCCTGGATTTTGACAAATGTATAGAATCATATATCCACTACCCTAGTACCATCTACAACAGTTCCTTCATCCTAAAAATTTCCCTTTGAATGTTCTTTATCCCTTCTCCCTCCAACCTTTGATAACCATTAACCTGTTTTCTGTCCCCATAGATCTGCTTTTTCCAGAATGGTATATGAATTGAGTCAGATAAAATGAAGCCTTTTGTGTCTGACATTTTTTTCACCTAGTAAAACGCATTTAAGATTAATTGATGTATGGATTAATAGCTTATTTACATATATATATATATATATATATATATATTTTTTTTTTTTTTTTTTTTTTGAGACAGAGTTTTGCCCTTGTTGCCCAGGCTGGAGTGCAATGGCGCGATATTAGCTCGCTGCAACCTCCGCCTCCCAGGTTCAAATGATTCTTCTGCCTCAGCTTCCTGAGTAGCTGGGATTACAGGCATGCGCCACCACTCCCGGCTAATTTTGTATTTTTAGTAGAGACGGGGTTTCTTCATGTTGGCCAGGCTGGTCTCGAACTCCTGACCTCAGGTGATCCACATGCCTCGGCCTCCCAGAGTGCTGGGATTACAGGTGTGAGCCACTGCGCCTGGCCAATTTTTTTTTTATTTTTAAATAAACATAGACAGCATATCGGTATGTTGCCCAGACTGGTCTTGAACCCTGGCCACAAGCGATCCTTCCACCTTGGCCTCCCAAAATGAGCCACTGCACCAGGGCAACAGCTTTTTTTTTTTTTTTTTTTTTTTAGACAGATCCTTGCTCTGTTGCCCAGACTAGAGTGCAATGATGCAGTCTTGGCTCACTCCAACCTCTGCCTCCCAGGTTCAAGTGATTCTCCTGCCTCAGCCTCCCGAGGAGCTGGGACTACAGTTGCTCGCCACCACGCCTGGCTAATTTTTTCTTTTTGTATTTTTACTAGAGACGGAGTTTTGCCATGTTGCCCAGGCTGGTCTCAAACTCCTGACCTCAGGTGATCCACCTGCCTCAGCCTCCCAAAGTGCTGGGATTACAGGTGTAAGCCACCTCTTCTGGCCTGACAATAGCTCATTTCTTATGATCCATATGGTTATACCACAGTTTGCTTAGTCTTGCATGGCTGAAAGATATCTTGGTTGTTTACAGTTTTTAGTGAACATATGTAAAGCTGCTATAAATATTCATGTACAGGTTTTTGTGTGGATATCAACCTTGAATTAACTTGGGTAAATACCTAAGAGCATGATTGATGGTAAGTCTCTCCTTAACTTTATAAGAAACTTCTAAACTGTCTTTCAAAGTGGCTTTACCATTTTCCATTCCCATTAGCAGTGAGTGGGAATTCTTGTTGCTCTGTATATTTTCAGCATTTTTTATTGTAAGTTTAAAAAATTTTAGCTACTCTAATAGTGTAGCAGTACTTTGTTTTGGTGTTCTGTTTTGTTTTGTTTTTTGAGACAGAGTCTCACTCTGTTGCCCAGGCTGGAGTAAAGTGGTGCGATCACAGCTCACTTCAGCCTCCACCTCCCAGGTTCAAGCAATCCTCCCGTCTCACTCTCCCAAGTATCTGGAATCACTGGTGCATGCCACCACACCTGGTTAATGTTTGTTTGTTTGTTTGTTTGTTTGTAGAGACATTGTCTCGCCATGTTACCCAGGCTGGTCTTGAGCTCCTGGGCTCAAGTGATCCTTCTGCCTTAGCCTACCAAAGTGTTGGCATTGAAGGCATGAGCCACTGCACCCTATTGGCATTTCCCTAATGACAGATGATCTTAAGCATATTTTCAAGTATTATTTACCACCCATATATCTTCTTTGGTGGTGTCTGTTGAGATCTTTCACCCACTTCTAAAATCAAGATTTTTTTTCCCAATTATTGTGTTTTAATTTTGTTCACATATTATCTTTACAAGTCCTTTGTCACATCTATAACTTCCAGTTTTTTGACAAGTATTTTCTTCCAGTCTGTGCCTTGTCTTCTTTTCATTCACTTACCAGTGTTTTTGTAAGGCAAAAACTATTAATTATGATAAAGTGTAATTGATTTGTTTTCTCTTTCATGGATTGTATTTTTGGTGTTTTATCTAAAAACTCAAACTCAAGGTTAAGATTTTCTCCTTTATATTCTTCCAGAAGTTTTATGGCTGTGCATATTATTTTTAAGTCTATGATACATTTTGAGTTACTTTTTTATAGGTGTGAAGTATTGTCAAGTTTTTTTTTTGTTTTTTTTTTCTTTGAGATTGAGTCTTACTCTGTGGCCCAGGCTGGAGTGCAATGGCGTGATCTCTGCTCACTGCAACCTCTGCCTCCCAGGTTCAAGTGATTCTTCTACCTCAGCCTCCCGAGTAGCTGGGATTACAGGCATGAGCCACCACACCAGCTAATTTTTGTAACTTTAGTAGAGGCAGGGTTTCACCATGTTGGCCAAGCCAGTCTCAAACTCCTGACCTCAAGTGATCCACCTGCCCCAGCCTCCCAAAGTAGATGGATGCCAATTGTTTCAGCATCATTATTGAAAGGAGATTCCCTTCTTCATTGGATGACCTTTGTACTTGTATTCAAAATCAAGTGACTCTATTTTTGTCCTTCCATTTCTGGCCTCTCCATTCTGTTCTGTTGATCTATGTGTCTGTCCTTTTGCCAATACCACACTCTCTTGATCACTGTCCTTTGCAGAAAGACTGGAAATAGTATCTAATAATTTTGAAAGGTATGTTTTCATCATCATTCAGTTGAAAATATTATCTAACTTCCCTTATGTTTTCTTCTTTGATCCGTAGGTTATTTAGAAGGAAGATTTAAAATTTTCAATACTTTTTTGCCCCTAGACAACTTATTATTGATTTCCAATAAAATCTATTTTGGTCAGAGTACATATTCTGTATGATTTCAGTCCTTTGAAATATGTTGTTACTTGTTTTATGTCTCAACATATGACCTGTGCTAGTGAATGTACCATATTCACTTTACAAAATATATATTCTGGAGCTGTTGAACACAGTGACTGTAAATGTCAGATCAAGACGGTTGATAGTGTTGTTCATTTGTATTTTTAAAAAACTAAGAAAAAGCTGGGCGCGGTGGCTCACGCCTGTAATCCCAGCACTTTGGGAGGCCAAGACGTGTGGATCACCTCAGGTCGGGAGTTCGAGACCAGCCTAACCAACGTGGAGAAACCACGTCTCTACTAAAAATACAAAATTAGCTGGGCGTGGTGGCGCATGCCTGTAATCCCAGCTACTCGAGAGGCTGAGGCAGGATAATCGCTTGAACCCAGGAGGCAGAGGTTGCAGTGAGCGGAGATTGTGCCATTGCACACCAGCCTGGGCAACAAGAGTGAAACTCCACCTCAAAAAAAAATTAATAAAAAAAAAACTAAGAAAAAATAGAGCATCTTTAACTTCCCACCATATATTTGGCATTTCCAGTGTTGGTCACTCCTATCTGAAGACTCAAGTTACCATCTGGTATGATTTCTTTCAACCTGGGAAACTCCTTCAGTATTTTTCTTGTAGTAGAGTTATGTTTGCAACAAATTATCCTAGTTTTATTTTATCTGGAGACACCTTTTCATTTTTCTTCCCTGAAAATATTTTTACTGGATGTGCAATTCTGAGTTAGGTTGTTTTCTTACAGCACTCAAAAAAATGCCATTTCATTGTCTTCTGACAACCATAGTTTCTGATGACAAATTATGAACACATGGACTGGTCATTCTCATAATTGTTCTCATGTATGTAACGTGTCATTTTTCTCTGATTATTCTCACGATTTTCTGTGACCATAGGCTGCTCAGGGCTGGACTTGGATATGGCCATAAAGTGGTACTGTAGGAAGTGCAGTATCCTGGAATTAATTCCGGACCTTGGAATTAACAGGGCTGGGCCCCTTAGCACCTGCCCTTAGCTCTCCTTTCCCCAGGTCCCTAGAAACCCCCTCCTGATCTACACACACACACACACACATGCACACACAACTTCTAACAGGGCCCTTCTCGTTTTTCTCTCCCCCCTGGTTCCTTCCACTCTCCCCCTTCTCTTATGATCCATTTCATCTCCCTTCTGCTCTCTGGACCAAGGCCCCAGGCCCGGACTCCAGGGTTGGAGCTCACAGGCTGATTCCTGGGATGAGCAGCCTCCACCTGCAGGAGCAGCAGCAGGAACAAGGGAGGGGACAGGAGGGCAAGGCCCCATTTTGGAGGCTGAGGGACTAGGTCATGTGGTAGCAATGGTCTGGGGGTGGATGAGCCCCAGATATGATCCCACTGTTTTGGCCTGGAGGTATCTCTTCCCTAAAGCCAAAATCCAGAGTCACTCAGTGGTGGGAGGAAACGTCAGTGTCAACATGGATTTTGGGAAGCTGGATGGACTCAGAGCCTGACTTGAGATCGGGAACCCCCTTGTATGCAGAGCCCTGTCCAGGTGCTGGGAGCAGGAGAGCCTGGGAGGTCCTGGCTAGGGAGAAAGGGGAGCGGGGTCTCTGTCCTCGGCCCTGTGGCCACACGGGGGCGCCGCTGCGCTGCTCTCGGATTCTGAGTGCTCTCCTGGACGGGGCTGCGGGCTGAATGGACAGACGGGGCTGAACCTGAGGTCATCCACGCTGAGACGGAGGTTCCTCCTGAGCACCTCTGGAATCCACAGGACTCAGGTTAGATTTGTTTGTCTTGCAACGTGAGGCAATTGTGGTGTAGCAAGATCTGGCTCTAGAATTCTTATGGCAAAATAGCTGTCATAGAATCCAACTAGAATGAGAGTCCAGGGCCTGGGTTGACTGCCCTGGGCACACCTGACTCTTGATGGGGTTGCCAAAATGTAGCTTGGCATTTACAAAAATTCTTTCCAAAGATTGCATCAAAGTCCAAAAGAATTATGTACAATTTCATTTCTGATGTCTCTGGCTGTGCTTTCGAAAGGGCAGGAAGAGCCATGGAAAGAGGCTGAAAGGCCCCTCTGGGAATTCTCAAATCTCTTTTCATAGCAGTAACTTGGACCTAGACAGCAAAGCCTGAAAGACACAGGTAGAAGGATCGCGAGGCGCAGCCCTCCCTTCTGATCAGCACGGGCATGGCTGTCTGGGCGCTTTTGCCCCTCTGTGTTCAGCAGGATGGACTCTGCAGTGAGGCGCAGCTCCTGTCTCCCCACTGCCCCACATCAGAAGCATGTTTCCTTATCTTGTTTTCCACACACTCCTTTTCTTTTTCTGTCTTGTGACCACGAATAGAATAGACAGGCAAGGTCCTGTAAGACCAGGTAAAAGATGTTACTGATGCACTTTGGAAGGCTGAGGTGGGCGAATCACAAGGTCAGGAGTTTGAGACCAGCCTGGCCAACATTGTGAAACCCCATCTCTACAAAAAAAATCAAAATAAAAATACAAAATTTAGCCGGGCGTGGTGGCATGTGCCTATAATCCCAGCTACTCAGGAGGCTGAGGCAGGATAATCGCTTGAACCCGGGAGGTGGAGGCTACAGTGAGCAGAGATTGTGACATTGCACTCCAGCCTGGGCGACAGAGTGAGACTCTGTCTCAAAGAAAAAAAAAAAAAGTTAGTGAAATCATGATTGTGAAGGAACAATGGCAAATGGAGAGAAAGAGCAGAGAGACAGACAGAGATAGATACACACGTACACACACACATAGAGAAAATGAATATCCATCCATCCATCCATCCATCCATCTATCCATCCATCCATCCATCTACCCATCCACCCATCCACCCATCCACCTTTCTATCTCCTTGCAAGGTAGGTTCATCAACACTTTTACATTTATGCCCCAGCAAAAATCTTTTTTTGGCTCACACCTGCCCTCCTTCATCCAGCCAACTGACATATTTGCTGAGGTCTTGCCACGTGCCGCACTGGGTGCTGAGCATTGGAGTCTAAACAGGAACAGACCCCTGGGATGCACTCCCGTGGGGCCCTTCACTGTCCCGTCCCTGGCTGTGAGACATCCTCATCTCCCTGAGGCTCTTGTTTCTGGTCACTGGGAAAAGTCCCTGGCCCACCTCTCTATTGATACCTGGGAGACTCTATCGCTACTTTGAATAAAGCACTGATTTTCAGCATTTATTCTGTATCCACACTTACTAATGCCCTTTCAACGATTTTCTCATTTAGAAGTTGTTACAAACGGGAGGGGTTATAACCTTAGGCACGTTGTTTAAGAGAATTGTAAAAATAAGGAAACATGATGGCAATGGGGTTTTCTGCTTTCTCCCAGAACACTTCATATTCATTTTCTCACCTGTGTTTGGTTGGTTGCAAGGTGGCTTCCACACCCCCAAGTTTATTTCAAGTAGCAGAAACACTTGCTTAGAAAACAAGTACTTTGGGAAATGCAGGGTCTCAGCCTCTGTCCTCAGGACTCCACACATCAGAAAGACATGTGCGTCTCCTGCCACAATCCTGGAGGTGCCCGTGGACTGCAGGTTCGCTCCTCACTGACTTTACTCATGTCCTACTGGAAAAGGATGGAGCTGCTAGAAATGTCCCAATGGCTTGGAACACTCAATTTCTCTGTGTGCACTGCAAGCAAACTGACAGTTTGACTTTTCAATTCTATTCAACACCTGAAAATAAACTGAATTTTCAGTATATTTCCTTCCAGAGAGTAAACTGAAAAGGGAACCTTTCTAAATTCAGTTATGATTTCCTGAAACATCGAAGAAGGCAAATGTGGGGGCCCTTAAAGACAAGAGAATTCTCTGACCTCAAATTTCATGTGGCAGCTGTAAGGTGGAGCTGGCAGCATCTGTCCCCACCTCTGGGTACACAGCAGAATGTGCCAGCTTTAGGGACCCCGGAGGACACAGCCGCACAGTGTCCGGGGGCATCCAGCAAACCCTCAGGAAGGACTCGATCCACGCAGGAGCCTCCTTAAGCAACTTCTCCCTGAAGAAACCCTGAAGTCTTAGAAATCCATAAAGAAAAAAGATATTCATGTCTCTGATAAAGAAAAGAAATGTCAGCAATCCAGCACCGAGAAGGGAAGCTACGAGACCACATTTTCTGCATGTGGAGAAGACACGTCTAATGGAGAGGTGGGAACTTGTCTCAAAAGTGTTGGGCCGCAGTGAGAGGGTGTGGTCGTCACTGCCACCACCCGCTGCTCACTCAGTGACCCCTCCCCATTGTAACTAACGGGCCAGTGAAGAGAAACACTTTTCGTCTGCTTGTACTGAAATAAGGCTATTACAATAAATCATCTCTGTGGTTGATTTTTCATTTAAGGATGGGATAACTGGGGAAATTGGTGCCTGCAGTGCAGGTTTTAAAGAAGTTCCTAGAAGCCCTTCTGAGGCCATCTCCAGGAGGCTGCCCCAGCGGGTATGAGGCCTTGCGCTTCTGCCATCCTGTGTGTCCCTGTGATGGAATTTTGGCCCAGCTAGGGATGGCAAGAGGCCAGGTCATCGCAGGTGGTCTGCAGGCCTGGTGAGGAAGGACAATGACAGACGGGGAGGCAGAAAGGCACACATATGACCAGACCTCCCCCTGGGTCCTGCTCCCATTCCTCTGTCCATCACTCTTGCTCTGTCTGCCCTAGGGGAAATTTCCTGAAGGAAACAGGAAAAGGAACCTCTATTCCTGGCTGCATATCTTTTATGTAGGCCTTTCCTGTTATTCAAGCATATCCCCAGCAGATGGCAGAGAAGACATTTCAATTTCGTGCCTCTGCTTTTCCTCCCCCTCCTCCAACCGGAAAGTCAGGACCAAGGGAATGGATGAAGGCATTAAAGGTATAAATGAGAATGGGTGATAATTTCCCTTTCTCTGAGCTGGGGAGTCCCATTGCAAGGGTGGGAATAGAAATGTCCAGTGTAACCATTCAGAGATGACAGATACTGCCCTGAAAACAGCCACAAAATCAAACCATGATGTGCCTCCCTGGGCTCCTTGGCTCTGGGCTGCTGCTTTCTTTTATTGAGAATCTAAGAGGTGCTGAGCATTCAGTTAAAACGGGACTCAAGAGTTCCTGCATTGTCCTCTGCCTTAATTGCATTTGAAAATATATTTTGTCAGTTCAATCCTTCTCCTGCCCGTCTCTGTTTCTCTTTTTAAAGAAGCTGAACATTGGCACCTTCAAAAGAAAATTGCTAACATGTGAAATAATATATTGTCTAGGATTTAGTTGAAAATAACCTGGTGTTGGGCTATGGTTGAGGATGTAGATAAATCAAGAGTGGGTGTTACTGAGTGAAGGGTACAGTGAAGGTTACTTTACTCTTCTGTCTACTTTTGTGTTTGCTTAAAATATTTGTACAAGTTTAAAAAAATAAGAACCAGGGTTACCAGGGGGCATGGCATATGCTGAATAATCATGAGATACCGGTTATAATTTCAAACAAATCTCCAATAAAAATAGATAATTTGAAGTCAAACCACAGGGACAAAATGTTTTTAGATGTCTCCAAATTCCTCACTTCCCTCCTCTAAATTCAGGTGGGTCACTTCATACTTTCTCCCAACCGCAGGTTCCCAATAGGCAGGTCCTAGAGCCCAACCTTGGTGGGGCAGGGAGTAGGGATTTAAAAACTGCATGATGATCAACAGCAGGAAAGAGGATTGGGGCTGAGAGGGGAGGAGAGGCAGGCAGGAGACCCCTGGGGAGTTGCTGCCCCAAGGAACTCCTTCTTCACCCTCTGAGAGAAAGTGTCACAGGACCACAGACCCTTGGTCTTCATAGGTCCCATAACCTCCCCCGAATTGTATGTAAAATTGTGTGGGAATGCAGGTGAGTGCATTTCAGCTGGGGCTGGCTTTGACAAGGCTGTGGCCTTCAGTAGATATCAAAGTAGTCATCTAGGTCTCGTGTAGATGATGGAAAACTCGATGGGAGGGAGACACGGTGCCTTGACCCAGAGTCAATGCCAATAAACTTGGCTAGGACATAGTACCCAGTCATTTAATCAAAACCTAATCTAGATGTTGCTGTGAAGATATTTAGTACATGTGGTTAACATTTACAATCAGTTGACTTTATGAAAAGGAAATTACCCTCAATAATGTAGATGGACCTCATCCAATCAGTAGAAGGCTTTAAGAGCAGAAACTACAGTTTCCCAGAAAAGAAGAAATTCTGTCTTAAGACTACCATATCAACTTCTGTCTGCATTTTCAGCCTGCTGGCGTATCCTACAGATTTCACACTTGCCACCGTAATAATTGCATGAGTCAGTTTCATAACACGAATAACACACACACACACACACACACACACACACACACACACACCTTATTGGTTCTGTTTCTCTGATGAATCCAGAATAATACAGATTTTGGTACTTAGAGTGATTCTAGAGGAAGAGAATCCTTTTAAAACGTTTATAGCCAACAATAAAAAACTTTATTAAAAATGTTGAAAAGCATAAAACGGTAATTATAAATTAGCAAACACCCAACAAGAAAAGCACTTATTTTCTTTTCCTTATACAGTACAAGAAAGAGTAATTGGGATCTCATTCACTTTCAGCCACCATTTGCCCTAGATGTCCTTCACTCAAAACAAGTTTTTAGCTTGTGTTTTTGGAGTGGAAACTCACATGGCTACTAAGAAACAACTCTAAAAATGTAACTTAGACACTCAAAATTCCATGTGCCATGTTAACATGTAATGATGGTTCATATTACAGCATCTCACAATGGGTAAGCATTATTTCCAAAGTAAAATTAAGTCACATTTGTGGTTGCTAGTGAATGCGGCAGAAATGGACCCTGAAGATTCAGGCATTGTTCTGCTCTGGAGTAGGACATCTGTGGCTCCAGCAAACTGTACAAAGGCTTTTTTTTTTTTAATGTATCTTCCGTGATACTTCAACTATTTCACCTTATTAATCATTTTCTTGCAAACAAAACTGAAAATATCAGTTCATAATGTGTTTCCATACACCTTGCCCTTATTCAAATGGTTATGAACAAGTGGTCTTCCATTTTCTATTGCCGCTGTAATTATTTGTTCCTGATCTGGCAACACCTTCTTCAGCTCCTTTCTCTGGCCACCGAGATTAACAGTCCAACAAGCGGTCTTTTGATTCACTAAGTGGCTTAATAGGACAACGTTGATTTGAGCCAATACTTCTGGCATGTTCATTTCAATTTGTAACTTTTTTCTGAATTCATCCCCACAAGGTGAGCTGGAAAACTGCAACCATAACCAAAGCTAGAAAATACTGGAAGTAGCCAATATTTCTCTTCATCACCAAAGACTGGTCTCTAATTTTTACTATTGTTCTATTTTTTCCAGCCAGCCAACAGTAGTAGCTGAAAAGCGAGAGCACACTGATGAAGAACACTGCGGGCACAAAGAAAAGGAAAAGTATGTGGAGCTTTGCTGTGTATCTCTCAGTTCATTCTACTCACTAGAACGTGGCGTTCTCAGGAATTGACGTCCTCCAGGCCCCCAGATGAGGGTAGTGAGCACCCTGAGAGCCAGCTGGACTCCCCTCTTGGTGTGTTACTGCACAGCCACAGCCTCTGGGTAGGGAGTTGTCCTGCACTTCTGGAATCATCTTTTTGGTCATGGTGGCTACTGCTGTACTGTCCTTCTGAGGTCAGTGAGATAGGATGTTCACAGCCTCCCTTGAAAGGAAACAAGAGACTTGTCAGGTTGATGGAGAGAACAAGCTGTTCGACAGTGCGCAAACCATATCCTGGGCTTGTGGTTAGAACATCCTGCAGCAAAGAGGTAGAAGAGCCAAGGGAGGCATCCCCACATCTGAGGAAGCCCAGAAACCCATGAATAGCGTCCTTGGGCTGACCTATGCTCATTACAATAGTAGCAAACACAACTCCGAGAGGGAAGTTAAGATGCTAATGAGACGTAAGATGTGTGTGCTGATATGTACAACCATAGTGCATGCACGTTCAAGAGACCACAGAACATGCTTAAAACAATACCCCTTCCCACCTATTCATGAATAATCATGTAAGACTCCCGTGAGGGGAGGGTACTGTCTCTCTTTTGAGCAGCTGCTCTGATCAGCTGTCAGAGTGTACTTTCACTTTGCAATAAATTCTCTTGCTGACTTTTACTTTGGACTTGCTCTCAAATTCTTTTGTGTGGCAAAGTCAAGAACCTGAACCGGCCCATTGGCTACATTTCCTTCCTTTTTTCTTTCTTTCTGTATCTTGTTGCTAGGGATAACTTTGCCCCTGCTGGCAGCATGCCCCTGAGGATGGCACCCTGTGGCTGGCGTCTTCCTTGGCTTGGCCTCGGGTCACTAAGCATAGCCCATGGTAGGAGGTTCTGAGAATGAGTGGCACTGCCTTGTGCAACAGTCCCCATGGGAGTGGCCCACAGGTGCTTGCATCTGTGGCATTTTCACAACTGTTTAAAAAGACTCAAGAATGTACTGTGGGAGGAGAGCAGGTCTGGAGACTCACCTGTGTCCCCCCACCTGCTCATCTGCATGGCCGTGTGCCTGACATGGTCAGAAATGAGAAATGCTGCTGCCCCTTTGCAAAGCACTACTTAGTTTTTCTCTTCTTGAAGGTGGTGGCACGATGCCCAGGTTGAGATGGACGCAGGAGTCAGCATCCTAAAGTAAAAGGAGAGACTTTAACAGAAATACCTGAGCTTTTCAATGAGAATGAACAGGGCCTTTTACCCTCTGGCAACTGTGTATTTCCCATTGACATGTTTCTTGTCCTCAGAATGGTTTTCCCTTTTTGCAGGTGGTTTATTGAAAAAGGAAAGGACAGAAAAGAAAAAGCAGGAGAAGGTGTATGGGAAGCTGGGACCCTGGCCCTGTGCAGGGGAGATACAAGGTGCTTCTGGGGAGGCTGCCGCCATCTGGGGCACTGGCACATGGGGCATGGCAGGGCTCGCCTTCCTGATGATGCCGCCTATCCCAGTTGCCCACCGGAAGTTGCAGTGCCCAGATTAGTTTTGTATTGATGGAAATTTAAAAAAAATTATATTACATAATTTTATGCTTTTTGAAAATAGCTAATAAACTTTTATGGCTAAGTTGTTAGTAATGGTAATCTCTCTAATCTGCTTAAAGACGGTCAAATCTGCAGGGTTCCCATCTCCACTGGACACCTGTGCTTCCTGTGGGGTCTATTTTCCGGTGGCTTTCCCTGTTGGTTGCCCCTGTGACTGCTGACATCCTGCCTTCTGGTGGAAACCACACTCTTCCTTGCCCAGTGAGGGTTGGAAAATTGGATGACTAAACTCGACGAAGATAGCAAATAACATTTGTTCTGCGTGGGTGCCATCATCACCTGCACTTGAAAGCAAGGCTGAGGTGCAGAAGACACAAAATGTGGCCATGTCCCTTGGCTGGCAAGTGGCCTAGGGGCAATGTGAGCCTGAGTGTATGACACTGTGACACAGGACAGGGTGCGTCACAGTGTTGCCCATTGTGACTGCAGGGCCAAAAGGAACCAGGGCTGAGAGGAACCTGGAGACATGCTAGGGTGGGGCCAAACGAGGGCTTGGAGAGAGCCTCCACCCACCCTCACAGGGCCTGGTGGAGACAGACCGAGGAGGGGCACCTGCCCCTCTCCCCTTGCAGAGTGGAATGATAGCTGATGACATCATTTTGAAAGTCACAGTACTACAGAGATGTTTGGACACTCATCAGAGGCAGACCTGCTGTGGGAAAGTCAAGGCCTTGGTGCGGAAACCTAAGATTCTGCAAACTGGAACAGGGTTATCCTATGGGTGCCCTTTAGAACTCTCTGGGCATGCAGAGGAGGCTCGCCCTTCTCTAGTAATGGTTCCCACTTCCTACACTGGAAGTTGCTGCAGAAACCTCACCCCTATGATGCAGTGGGAATTCCACTCAGGAGCTTTGCAGTAACAGCCGTTATGTCCCCGTAGGAGCCTGAGGAGCAGTTCTGGGATTGGAATTTAAGGGTGTTTGATCAAAGGGCCAGAATCAAGCTGGATAAATTAAAAAAAACACCTTTGGCTTGGGAGCACTTTCTCAGGGTATGGGTTTATCAAGGACCTCAGGGCATGGGGCAAACCCACTGCTGGGGTGGACCCATGTAGACTGGAAAAAATGATGTCCAACTCTCAGTAAGTTAGACATGAGTTAGTTGTCCTGGAACATGTAGAGGATGGATAATGAGGCTGAGGGAAGTGGGTGTGTGGGATGGAGACATCATGTGAACCAGAATGCCCACTAGGGCCATGCTCCACAGAGGACCCATAGGGCACACCTTCCACCAGAGCCTCAGGAATGTGCTGGTGAGAGGGACTTGCATTGCTAAGAAGCGTCGGGGTGGTGTCCTCTGCAGGCTGGGTGTGATGGCAGGAAGGAGGTCCTATAGTTGGGCTCATTGATATTCCTGAGGAAAGTGTGGCCTTGAAAAGGCAGAGAACTAAATGGTGACAGTGGCCTGCAAAAGCCAGAGGGCACGGTTAACTTGACAATCTCAGAGGAGCAGCTGAGGCAGCTTGATCTGCAGGGAGTTGTGGGGAAGGTTAATAGAGGGTGGTGTCAGAAAAGACAGCAGCCAACAAGGGCACTGCTTGACATCTATGATAAGAAAGCAAGAATTGATGAGCAGGGGGCTGAGGGTGTTTAACTCAATACAAAGTCATGATCCCATTCTCAATTCCTAAATGTCAACCAAGTTTCAGATTCAGATCCCAGTTACAGAGAAGGAGTCCCTATCCCAGGAGGAAGGACCCTGGAACCTCATGGCAAGTATATGCTGGAACAATTCCCTCTGTCTTTCTGCAAAGGAGCCTACAGTCATTTACTCAGGGGACTGTACACTAGGAAAGGGAAACAGGCAGAATTTGGGGGAGTGTTGACATTGGGTGTGAGCTAATATTGATGCCTACAGGCCTACAGCACCATTATGTCCCCAGCACAGTGGGGCTTACAGAAGCTGGGAATAAATCTGGACACATCACAAAGAGACTACTGGGTCCACAGACCCAGCCCTGTTTATCTCCCCATTCTCCAAGTGTGTAATTGGCATTGATGCCCTGGCAGCTGGAGTAACCCCCACATTGGGTCCCAAGTCTCTGGAATAAGGGCTGTCATTTTCTGAAAGCCAAAGGGAAACCTCTGCAACTGACTTCATCTTGGCCAAATAAAAAATGATATTGAGTCCCAGGGTGAGTCTTATGAAAGGTGCTGTAGGTATTGTAGGTGTAGCACCGCCATTAGGGAGCTGAAGGATGAGGGGTGCTGTTGGAGTTGCCTATTATCTTCATGTAATCCAGCAATCTGTCCCCAAGGAAGCCTGATGGGGCCTAAAGAATGAATAAGATTACTTCAGACTTGAAAAAGTAGGAGTCATAATTGCAGCTGCCATGCTGGCTGGATATCACGGGTAGAGCAGATTGATAAGGCCTCAGGCACAGAGTGTGCAGCTGTGGATTTGGTGAGTGCATTCCTTTCCATTCCAATGAGAAAAACTATACATGAAGTGATTCATGTGGGATCCACAACACATTTATTGATAATTGGCCTCAGGGTTATTGTAACTGACCTGCCCTCTATAGTATAGTCTTAAGAGATCTGAAGAACTTGGGAGGCTGAGGCAGGAGAATGGCGTGAACCCGGGAGGCGGAGCTTGCAGTGAGCCGAGATCCCGCCACTGCACTCCAGCCTGGACGACAGAGCGAGACTCCGTCTCAAAAAAAAAAAAAAAAAAAAAAAAAAAAAAAGAGATCTGAAGAACCTGGCATCCTATAGAATGGTAAACCAGCTTATTTCATCAACAACATCATGTTGACTAGGATGGATGAGTAGGAGGTGGAAAGTATGCTGAAGGCCTTGGCAAAACACGTGCTCTCCAGAAGATGGAAGATAAACCATACAGAGATTCAGGAGTGGCCACTGTGGTGAAGTTTTATTCATCCAGTGGTTGAGGACATCCAGGAGTTTCTCCTCCACAGTAAAAGACAAAGTGTTGCATCTTGCATCCTCACTACAAGGAAGGAAGCACACTGCCTGGTGAGCCTCTTTGAGTTCTGACAATACCACATCCCACATCTATTGTTTTGACCTACACTCTAGGAGAAATAGGAGGGGACTTGCTTCAATTAGGCCTGCTGAGGAAAGGACACTGGCAGATTCAGGCCATGAGGCAGCGCCATCCCTCAGACCCACCTAGAGGTGTCAGTCCTGGGGAAAGATGCAGGATGGAGCTGAAACAAGCACCAGTGGGGGAGTCACATGGACGGCCTGGGATTCTGGAGTAAGGCCATGTCATCCACAGCAGAGACATATGCCCCTGTTAGAAGCAACTTTTGGTATGTTACTGGCCTTGATAAGATAGAATCCTTGCCATGGGACAGCAAACAACCATGTGATTTCAAATGCCCATATGAATTGGCTTCTGTAACTCAGAAAGTCATAGATCGGACAGACCCCAAAGCATCCATCATGAGATAGAAATGGTCCATCTGGATTGAGCATGAATCCTATGTTGACACCTCCAGAAAACATCCAAACCTGAAGTGGCACTAAACAACCAAGCAGACAAATTGAAGTTAGCCAGCCCTCACCATCGGGCAGCCCAGGCCTAGCAGGATGGGTTCATGAATGGAGCAAGCACAGTGGCAGGGATGAGGCTAAATATGGGTCCAGAAGCACTGACTACCACCTACCAAGACAGATCCAGCTGCTGCCACCTCTGAATGTCCAACTCATTAGCATTTGAGGCCAATGATATGCCTCAGTGGGGCTATATTTCTTTAGGTGACTAAAGCAACACTCGCTGCTAAGTGATTAGTTGAGCCACTTCCATTCTGGAAGGGCCAGAGGTTCATCTTTACAGGGTTAGGCACCATTCCATGAGTGGGTTTTCCTGTCCTGCTCTCAGACCCTCAGTCAGCACCACTCTCCAGGGACTGTTGACATTCCTGATTCACAGGCATGGCATTGCTCTTAGCACACTGTCTTCCTGGCGGAACCCACTTGACAGGGAAGCAGGTGCAGCATTTTCATGGCCATGGGATCCACTGGTTCTATCACCATCTGCACCACCCAGGGTCTGCCAGCCACTAAGAATGCTGGACAGGTCTTCTACAGGCACAACTCAGTGCCAGCCTGGAGGAAGCACTCTGAGGAGTGGGTGCTGTCTTTCAGGACATGGTGCATTTATTAAATCAGAGACATCTCTACAGTGCCGTGTTCTCAGTAGGAAGAACATGTGGGTCCAGAAACTAAGGAGTGAAAGTGGGTATGGCTCCATGTCTCATTCCTTAGATTCACCTGCTGTGGGATTTTGCACTTCTCATCTCCCAAACCTGTGCTCTGCAGGGTAGAAGGTCCTGGATTCTAAAGGAAGGTACTCTTAAATCAGGACAAATGAGAGCCTACTGAAGAACACATTACTATTGCCCCCAGAGAGATTTGGACAGTATGTGCCCAGAGACCAGCAAGTGAGGAGTCCCCTCCTCTCCAGGCACAGGTAATAGATCCTAATCTCCAGGAGGAGGTTGGGCTGCTGTCACAATGAGGGCAGGAGGAATGTGTGTGGAACCCAGTGATCCACTTGAGGGGTCTCCTGGTTCCCCTTGTCCCATTGTAAGTGTTAGTGGAATTGTCCAGCAACCAATCCTGAGGGAATTTGATTTCCAAGGGCCCAGAAACCTCAGGAAGGAAAATTTGAACCATGCTCCCAGATAATCTCCCAAGGCCCTGCTCCTGTGCTCTGACATCCTCAGCAGCATTGGTGCAGGCACCCTGCTTTCCATGGGCTGTTCCCAACCAGTGATGGGTGACAAGAGGGACACTAAGGGAGGCCCATGTCTGGAAGACAAGGGCCAACTGTGACGAGAGGACTCCTCTATGGCCTTGCTCAACTCTCCTTAGATTGCCTATGGTCTAGGATGTGTCCAACAAACCTCCTCTCCTGTCCCTCACTTGGGGATCACGCTTGCATCTCAGTCTGCTGTCTCTCCCAAGGTTTCCTGGATCTTTTCCCATATTTTCTGGCAGGTGAGTCCTCTAATAAAATACTGCAACTTTAATCTCATGTCATCTGCTTCTTGGAGAACATGGACCAACAAAATCATTTCCATTTACACACCAGTGACCTCTTACTTTTCCAGTTTGTAAAATCCTTTTTTTTATCCAACTTCTTCCACCTGCCCCAGTTTTGCTAGTATTTGTGTTGTTTTCTTTGAGTAAATTGATGTTCACTGTTTTAAGTCACTAAGTCTTGGGGTAGTTTGTTACACAGCAACAGATAGCTAATAAACCTCTCTTATGTTTCGATTATTCCATAGTGGTTATCTACATCTGATTTATTTCCTTCTATTTTTATAATATTATCCATACATAATGTTTCCCGTTTCTCTCCACCTATTCTCTTCTTGATTTTTCTTTTCCTTCCCACCATTTTTTCCTACTTCTCATGAAATATTCCTAACATATAAAATAACCCTATGTGGTTATGATATAAGGAAGCATTTTCTGAATCTGTATGTTAAAAGTTTAATGCCACAGTGTATGGGATACAAGTAAAGAACAGGAAGTTATTAACAGAGTCTGAGTAAAAAGTGCCTGGTGTAATTCTGCGGCCAAGACAGTGACTTTGAACTCTTACAGGCTGATGCAAAAATAATTGCAGTTTTTGCCATTACAATAATTCTTACCAAGAACTATTCACATTGGACCAAAGCCAATTGTAATGATCCATGTGATGGAGAGAGCCAGAATGCTATGAAAGTGGCCTTGACCAGAAATAGGTCATTTGATCCTTGGCTCATTGACATCTCCATAGATTTTTGGTGTACAATGTTTGGTCTGATGTGCAAGGTAATTCCATCTTGCAAAGGATTCGATGTTACATTCTACCACACACACACCTGAATTAAACTTTTACAGAATTGGAAATGCACATTACTGATCAAAATAAATTAAACAGGAAAAAATTATATAGGAATAACCAGTGATAGAATAGCAAATAGGAATGGAAAACACAATAGGATTGCTTAAAAAATACTGTAGAAGTACAGAATAGCAGTGCTATTTAGAATCATAGTGATGTCCAAATCATGTCTACCACGTCTCATTAAAAACCAGAGCGAAAGATGTCAAGTTTATTATGGAATGCCCACCCAGTAGCCAGTTTTTGGAAAATCTTGTTCCTAAGTTGGAGCTAAGCATTTTGGGCTACTGTATCCAACCAAAGTTACTGACATTATGCTAAGCTAGATGTGTTGGCTGAGGTATGAGATTCACATTTTTTCTACCTTAAAAGCAATCTGATTTGGCAAATATTTTTAAAGATGATACTTGAATGAGAAAATTGGCATTTGGGACATTCTTAAACTAAATTTGAGACATCTTAGGCAAAACAAATACTTATTTTTAAGGCACTATTGTTATGGCACTGAAGTCTTGGAACTATTTGATCTAGTTACTGTAAGTTCTCAGCTGTGTTGCAACTCATTAAAGAGAATATTGTTATTAAAGGTATTTGCAAGAAAAACTTAGAGATACTATAGTATCTCCTTTCTCTGTCTCAAACTTTTTTCCCCTCAATACCCAAGGCTCTGTGATGTCTCAAATTTTAATCATTACTTTAAAAAGAGAAGTTTAAAGCATTAAAGAATTATAATCAGATGAAAGCAGCTTTGGATTTATAAAATTCTGAAACAATAATTTTAATTTTGCTTTTAACATATATGCAAATTCTTTGATACTCTCCACTTTGCAGAGGTGCAGGTTCATTCCCTCCCTGTGAGTGTGGCCTGGACTTAATGATTCACTTCTATCTGATGGAGTGACTGTTGGTGTAGAACAAAAAACTTACCGTAGCTTCTACCTTTGCTCTCTCTGTCTCTGGGATCATGAACTCTGGGGGAAGCCAGCTGCTGTGTCATAAGCAGACCTGTGGAAAGGTCCATGTGGCTAGGACCGAGGCCTCCCGGGACCAGACAACAAGGAACTGAGGCCTTTTCCAATAGCCATGTGAGTGAGCCATTTTTCATGCAAATCCCCAGCCCAGTTGAGCCCTCAGATGATGCAGCCCTGGCTGACAACTGGACTGCAACCTTGTGAGAGGCCCTGAGCCAGAAACACTCAGGGAAACCTCTCCTGGATTCCTGAGCATTGGAAACTGTGGGAGATGATAAATATTTGTTGCTTTGAGCTGTTACATTTTCAGTAATTTGTAATGTAACAGTAAAAAAAAATACAGCTTCACAAGAGAGGATGAATAGTTGCACTTTAATTTTCATTTGCTCTAAATTTATTAGTGTTATTGTTATCATCATTATTATTGAGACAGGGTCTTGCTCTGTCACTCAGGCTGCAGTGCTGTGGCAGGAGGACAGCTCACTGCAGCCTCGACCTCCTAGGCTCATGTGATCTTCCCACCTCAGCTGTCTGAGTAGCTGGGAGTACAGACATGCACCACCATGCCTGGCTAAAATTTTTGTATTTTTGGTAGAGACAAGGGTTTTGCCATGCTGCCTAGGCTGATCTCGAACTCATGAAATCAAGCTCTCTGCCTGACTCCACCTCCAAAAGTGCTGGGATTACAGGCATGAGCCACCACCACACCCAACCTAAATTAATTATAAAATATTAAACATGTCATTTGGTTTTAAGAGGTAAGAGGAATTTCCATGGCTAAATAGGATGTATTTTATTATCATTCACAATTATTGCTTTATTTGAACTTCAATTTCCACCTGTGTCCCAATTAAACTCAAAAGAAAGACCCAAGCCTTGCTAGGCTGATTCTATCATCCCCCCCATGATAGACGTGTAACCTTGGTCATTCACCTGACCCCAGTTATTCAACCAACAATAATGTAAGTCCTGCCTTGAAGGGATTTTTGCATATATAATTAAGGTCCTAAATCAATTGACTTTAAGACAGGGATTATCCCTGGTCGGGCTGTCCTCATCTGGCGAGCCCCTGAAAGGACTGGGTTCTTCCTGATCAGAGAGATTCACAGTGTGAGAGGGATTCAGTGTGAGGGGGTTCCTCCAATGTGGATTCTAAAAATGAAGGGGCTGTGTGGCAAAGAATGCTGGTGGGCACCAGGAATTGAGAGCAGCCTCTCTCTACCTTGACAGTAGGCAAGGAACAGGAACCTTAGTCCTACAACTGGCAGAAACTGAATTCTGTCGCCTCTGTATAAGCCTGAAGGAGGCCCTCAAAATGAAAACACAGTTTTGGGAAACCCTAAACAGAGAACCCTCCAATCATGCTCAGATTTCTGACTAAGGAACTGTAAATAAATAAATAAGTGTTGTTTGGTCAAGCGTGGTAGCTCATGCCTGTAATCCTAAGGTTTGTGGGAATGACACAGGAGGATTACTTGCAGCCAGGAGTGAGACTAGCCTGGGCAATTTGAGGAGACCTTCCTCTCTACAAAAAGGAATTTTTTTTTTTTTAATTTACCTGAGCACGGTGGTACTTGCCTGTAGTCCCAGGTACTCCAGACACTGAGGCAGGGGGACCTCTAGAGGCCAGGAGTTTGAGGTTGCAGGGAACCATGATCATGCAACTGCACTTCACCGTGGATAACAGAGGGAGACCATGTCTCTAAAAATAAATAAATAAATACAATAAATGGGTGTTGTTTAAAGCCAGTGTTTGTGGTAATTTGTTATGCAGTCATACAAAAGTCATACACAGACTCAACAGACACATGGAATGAATTTATAAATTGATAAGCACACTACATGAGTAAAATAAAATATTTCCTTTTTCCAGTATTTTTCATTTTATAATATTCCATGATGCGATTAAATTTTTATACAATCATATTTCATTCAACTAGTCAACAAAAATTAATTTAGTGCCTATGCTGAACCAGGTATGCCCTCATATGCTCAAGTGCCTGACATTCTAGAAGCTTCACAAGACCGAAGTGGAGCCACTGGAGTGTTTTAGGTGAAGAAACGACACACTTTGACTCACAGTAGCAGGACCACTGTGGAGAGAACACTCAGGTGGCAGGTAATGGAACAGTGCTAGAGCCACTATTCAGGAGTGACAGAGTGGTGGGGACTAAGGGAAGAGGAGGGCCTGAGGGATGAGAGGGACGGAGGGAAGGGCTGGAGAAGCAGGAGGTGAGGAGAAGGAGCAGAGGGACAGAATTTGAAAGCAGCAGAATTCTTAGCTTTAAACACATTGTTTTATAAATTTTTAATACATCCATCTACAGAGCCTAGCAGGGTGTTCCTTGCATTTGGCCTTTAACACCTTATGTGGGACTGCCTAAAAATTAATTGCTTTTTCTGCTTTTTTTCAGGTTTAAAAAAATACTAAGTGTTCCAATAAAACATGCACACCACTTAGATGCGGATACTTCCTAAAAACAGGAAGTGCATGAGCACTGGTGAGGGGCATTGTGACTGCGTTGAACACTTGCAACTTTGAGGTGAATGAATGTATTGGCTCCTGGTTGCAATATACAATCACACGTTGTGCTACTTTGTATTGTCAGGAGATGTCCTGGACTCCCACAGAAACTCAGGGCTATGGAATGAAGGTAATTTTAGAATACAACAAGAGTCACAGATACATAGTCTGGGAAAGCAAAACTTAGGAGCTCTGAGAGTTGTACAACTGTAATGCATTTAGACACATTTATATATCAAGGGGCCAAAGTAACAGTTTTTACACATAAGATTCCTGATTGGTCGGGCGCGGTGGCTCATGCCTGTAATCGCAGCACTTTGGGAGGCCGAGGCGGGAGGATCACGAGGTCAGGAGATCGAGACCATCCTGGCTAACACGGTGAAACCCGTCTCTACAAAAAAATTAGCCGGGCGTGGTGGCGGGCATCTGTAGTCTCAGCTACTCGGGAGGCTGAAGCAGAAGAATGGCGTGAACCCGGGACGCAGAGCTTGCAGTGAGCCGAGATCGCGCCACTGCACTCCAGCCTGGGCGGCAGAGAGAGACTCCGTCTCAAAAAAAAAAAAAAAAAAAAAAAGGTTCCTGATAATTCAGGGGTTACCAAGATTCTACTACTCACTGCAGCTAATAAAAAAAAAAAAAGAAAGAAAGAAACTGGTCTCTGTCCTATTTCATATGCTCAGGTACAACTTTTCCAGAGAAGAAGAGGAGGGGGGCGGGGAGGAGCAGGAGGAGGAGGAAAGAAGGAGGAGAAGGAGAAGGAGAAGGAGAAGGAGAAGAAGAGGAAGAGGAAGAAGAAGAAGAAGAAGAAGAAGAAGAAGAAGAAGAAGAAGAAGAGGAAGAGGAAGAGGAAGAGGAAGAGGAAGAAGAAGAAGAAGAAGAAGAAGAAGAAGAAGAAGAAGAAGAAGAAGAAGAAGAAGAAGAAGAAGAAGAAGAAGAAGAAGAAGAAGAAGAAGAGGAAGAAGAAGAAACTGTCTCTAGACCTTCATTCTCAGGACAAGTTCATTGTCTGGCACCAAGCTCCTTGGGGTGAATTTTCTTCCAAAAGAGTCCGGGGAGTCCAGGTATGGAATGGGAGGCAGAAAGTTCAATCAAGGGACTGGGATTTCGGAATGAATAATGAAGGGAGATGGACTGGGTCCATGCCGAAGGTTTCTCCCTGGTTTCTCAGCCCCCGGGCGAAGACTCAGGGAGACATTGAGACACACCCTGCACAGGAGGGGGAGGGGGAGGGGGAGGGCAAAGTCCCAGGGCCCCAGGAGTGGCTCTCAAGGGCTCAGGCCCCGAGGCGGTGTCTGGGGTTGGAAGGCTCAGTATTGAGAATTCCCCATCTCCCCAGAGTTTCTCTTTCTCTCCCAACCCGTGTCAGGTCCTTCATCCTGGATACTCATAACGCGGCCCCATTTCTCACTCCCATTGGGCGTCGCGTTTCTAGAGAAGCCAATCAGTGTCGCCGCAGTTCCCAGGTTCTAAAGTCCCACGCACCCCGCGGGACTCATATTTTTCCCAGACGCGGAGGTTGGGGTCATGGCGCCCCGAAGCCTCCTCCTGCTGCTCTCAGGGGCCCTGGCCCTGACCGATACTTGGGCGGGTGAGTGCGGGGTCCAGAGAGAAACGGCCTCTGTGGGGAGGAGTGAGGGGCCCGCCCGGTGGGGGCGCAGGACTCAGGGAGCCGCGCCCGGAGGAGGGTCTGGCGGGTCTCAGCCCCTCCTCGCCCCCAGGCTCCCACTCCTTGAGGTATTTCAGCACCGCTGTGTCGCGGCCCGGCCGCGGGGAGCCCCGCTACATCGCCGTGGAGTACGTAGACGACACGCAATTCCTGCGGTTCGACAGCGACGCCGCGATTCCGAGGATGGAGCCGCGGGAGCCGTGGGTGGAGCAAGAGGGGCCGCAGTATTGGGAGTGGACCACAGGGTACGCCAAGGCCAACGCACAGACTGACCGAGTGGCCCTGAGGAACCTGCTCCGCCGCTACAACCAGAGCGAGGCTGGTGAGTGAACCCGGCCGGGGGCGCAGGTCACGACCACCCCCCATCCGCCACGGACCGCCCGGGTCCCCCAGAGTCTCCGGATCCGAAATCTACCCCGAGGCAGCGGGACCCGCCCAGACCCTCCACCCGGGAGAGTCCCAGGCGCCTTTACCGAGGTTCATTTTCAGTTTAGGCCAAAATCCCCGCGGGTTGGGCGGGGAGGGGGCGGGGCTAGCTGGGCGGGGCTGACTGCGGGGACCGGCTAGGGTCTCACACCCTCCAGGGAATGAATGGCTGCGACATGGGGCCCGACGGACGCCTCCTCCGCGGGTATCACCAGCACGCGTACGACGGCAAGGATTACATCTCCCTGAACGAGGACCTGCGCTCCTGGACCGCGGCGGACACCGTGGCTCAGATCACCCAGCGCTTCTATGAGGCAGAGGAATATGCAGAGGAGTTCAGGACCTACCTGGAGGGCGAGTGCCTGGAGTTGCTCCGCAGATACTTGGAGAATGGGAAGGAGACGCTACAGCGCGCAGGTACCAGGGGCCATGGGCGCCTTCCCTATCTCCTGTAGATCTCTTGGGATGGCCTCGCACAAGGTTGGGAGGAAAGTGGGCCCAATGCTAGGATATCGCCCTCCCTCTAGTCCTGAGTAGGAAGAATCTTCCTGGCTTTCGAGATCCGGTACCAGAGAGTGACTGTGAGAGTCCGCCCTGCTCTCTGGGACAATTAAGGGATGAAATCTCTGAGGGAATGGAGGGAAGACAGTCCCTGGAATACCGATCCGCGGTCCCCTTTGAGCCCTCCAACAGCCTTGGGCCCCGTGACTTTTCTCTCAAGTTTTGTTCTCTGCCTCACACTCAATGTGTTTGGGGCTCTGATTCCAGTCCCTCGGCCTCCACTTAGGTCAGGGCCAGAAGTCCCTGCTCCCCACTCAGAGACTCGAACTTTCCAAGGAATAGGAGATTTTCCCAGGTGTCTGTGTCCAGGCTGGTGTCTGGGTTCTGTGCTCCCTTCCCCACCCCAGGTGTCCTGTCCATTCTCAGGTTGGTCACATGGGTGCTGCTGGGGTTTCCCATGAGGAGTGCAAAGTGCCTGAATTTTCTGACTCTTCTCAGATCCTCCAAAGGCACACGTTGCCCACCACCCCATCTCTGACCATGAGGCCACCCTGAGGTGCTGGGCCCTGGGCTTCTACCCTGCGGAGATCACGCTGACCTGGCAGCGGGATGGGGAGGAACAGACCCAGGACACAGAGCTTGTGGAGACCAGGCCTGCAGGGGATGGAACCTTCCAGAAGTGGGCCGCTGTGGTGGTGCCTTCTGGAGAGGAACAGAGATACACATGCCATGTGCAGCACGAGGGGCTGCCCCAGCCCCTCATCCTGAGATGGGGTAAGGAGGGAGATGGGTAAAGAGGGGAACGAGGGGTCATGTCTTTTCTCAGGGAAAGCAGGAGCCCTTCTGGAGCTCTTCAGCAGGGTCAGGGCTGAGGCCTGGAGATCAGGGCCCCTCACCTTCCCTTCCTTTCCCAGAGCAGTCTCCCCAGCCCACCATCCCCATCGTGGGCATCGTTGCTGGCCTTGTTGTCCTTGGAGCTGTGGTCACTGGAGCTGTGGTCGCTGCTGTGATGTGGAGGAAGAAGAGCTCAGGTAGGAAGGGGTGAGGAGTGGAGTCTGAGTTTTCTTGTCCCACTGGGGGTTGCAAGCCCCAAGTAGAAGTGTGCCCTGCCTCATTACTGGGAAGCACCATCCACACTCATGGGTCTACCCAGCCTGGGCCCTGTGTGCCAGCACCTACTCATTTGTAAAGCTCCTGTGAAAATGAAGGACAGATTCTTCACTTCGATGATTATGGTGGTGATGGGACCTGATCCCAGCAGTCACAAATCACAGGGGAAGGTCCCTGCTGATGACAGACCTCAGGAGGGCAGTTGGTCCAGGACCCACATCTGCTTTCTTCATATTTCTTGATCCTGCCCTGGATCTACAGTTACACTTTTCTGGAAACTTCTCTGGGATCAAAGACTAGGGGTTTGCTCTAGGACCTTATGGCCCTGCCTCCTTTCTGGCCTCTCACAGGACATTTTCTTCCCATAGATAGAAACAGAGGGAGCTACTCTCAGGCTGCAGGTAAGATGAAGGAGGCTGATCCCTGAGATTGTTGGGATATTGTGGTCAGGAGCCTATGAGGGAGCTCACCCACCCCACAGTTCCTCTAGCCACATCTGTGGGCTCTGACCAGGTCCTATTTTTGTTCTACCCCAATCACTGACAGTGCCCAGGGCTCTGGGGTGTCTCTCACAGCTAATAAAGGTGACACTCCAGGGCAGGGGCCCTGATGTGAGTGGGGTGTTGGGGGGGAACAGAGGGGACTCAGCTGTGCTATTGGGTTTCTTTGACTTGGATGTCTTGAGCATGAAATGGGCTATTTAGAGTGTTACCTCTCACTGTGACTGATACGAATTTGTTCATGAATATTTTCTCTATAGTGTGAGACAGCTTCCTTGTGTGGGACTGAGAAGCAAGATATCAATGTAGCAGAATTGCACTTGTGCCTCACGAACATACATAAATTTTAAAAATAAAGAATAAAAATATATCTTTTTATAGATACAGGTAGATATGTTTTTATAGCATGCACGTAAATGTGTGTGTGTGTGTGTGTGTGTGTGAAGAGAAAGAGTGAATAGAGAGATTAAGATTCTTTTAATGGTGAAAAGATATACATATATTTGGAATTAGCCAGCTTGACTCAGTTTAGGTGATCCCAATTTTGGTGGCAACAACCAAAGCATCGTAGTCAGGAGCCAGTCGAACATATGCCTTCCTCTCTCCATCAGACTGAATCAGAGTGTTGACTTTGGCCACATCAATGTCACAAACTTCTTCACAGCCTGTTTGATCTGGTGCTTGTTGGCTTTAACATCCACAGTGAACACAAGTAGGCTGTTGTTTTCTATCTTCTTCACAGCCTACTCAGTGGTCAGCGGAAACTTGATGATAACATGGTGGTCAAGCTTATTTCTCCTGGGGGTGCTCTTCCAAGGATATTTGGGCTGCCTCCGGAGTCACAGTGTCTTGGGCCGCCGGAAGGTGGGTGACATGTGGATCTTGTTTTTTTTGTGGCTGTGGACATCTTTCAACACTGCCTTCTTGGCCTTGCAAAGCCTTCGCTTTGGCTTCGGCTTTAGGAGGGGCAGGAGCTTCCTTCTTCGTTCTTGGCACCATCTTATGAAAAGGGTCCAGATTAAGATTTTTGACTGAGTCATTCTAAAGTAAGTTGCAAGACCCATGATACTAGACCACTAAATACTTCATCACACACCTCCTAAGAATAAGAACCAACATTATCACACCAAAGAAAATAAATAATTCCATAATATTATTTAAAGTCCTTTTATGTTCAAATATCTCCACTTCTTTCAGTACATTTTTGTACCTATTTTTTATAGCTTGTTTTCTTAAAATGTCCACTCGTTGCCTTTGGTTATGTTTCTTTAATTACCTACAATCTATAACAATCAACCCATCTTTTTTCTTTTAGAATGGCATTACCTGTTTCAGAGATGAGGCCAAATACCTGTGGAATCTTCTCCACACTGAATTTATCATATTAGTTCCCCTGATGCCTTTAACTTTTTTCCTCTAACTGCTATGCCTCCTAAGGACCTATGTAGCTCTGGGTTAAACATTTGGCAGCAATGTTTACAGGAGGAGCTGTGACCGCACATTCATCACATCAGGAGGCACACAAAGCCTAGGGTTACCAGGACTCTTACTGACCCCATACAGCCAAATTTATCCTGACTTCCCAGAGATGCAGAACCATGGGCTGGGTGTTTAGTGGGTATGAGTGTGATATTCTGGCAATAGGAGGTTCTGCCACTCTCCCCATTCCTCACGAGCTTTAGTTCCCCATACCCTGAGGTTCTGAGCTCCAGACCTTCAACCATCAGGCCAGGCCCCTCCAGACCTAGACTCCCTTCCTGTCTTCTCCAGCCCCACTCTGCTTTGTATCTACTTCTGGATCACTTTCCCTCTACAGGCCCAGCTCCTGAGTGTCTCTACCTCTCAAACAAGTATTCTCATCCAGGAGCAATTTTCCCACCAGAGGACATTAGCTATGTCTGGAAAAATGTTTTGTTGCCATGACTGGAGTGAGGAGAAGGTGCTACCAGCATCTTGTGGGGAATGACCAGGGATGCTGAACATCCTGCAGTGCACAAGTCAGCCCAATCACCCACATAACAGATAATTATCCAGCCCCAATACCAAGATTGCCAAGGGT
Organism: Homo sapiens; assembly: GCF_000001405.40. Taxonomy (NCBI): domain Eukaryota; kingdom Metazoa; phylum Chordata; class Mammalia; order Primates; family Hominidae; genus Homo; species Homo sapiens. The sequence goes on from NT_167246.2 coordinate 990,864, forward strand.
AAGGAGGCCTGCCAGGACTTTCTCTCCCTTGAGTACAAGCTTCCTTGAACTGAGGGACACCCTGAAGGAAAAGTGTGGTCCCACCCCAGTCATCTCTCCCTTCCCTGGAGCTCCATCTGTATGCCTGTAGTGCTTAGGCCTGTAACCTGGGGTCCAGGAACCCACCTTCCCATGAGACTGCATGCAGAAGTGATGATATGTGCACACATGACTTCATTACAGGGCATTGGATATTGATATTCATCAGGTCAGCTGGGGCCCAAGACACTACTCTTCTGCCAACAGGCCGCAATCCTCTGCATTAGAGAGAGGGTAAAGATTGAGGGAGGCCCTAACTTCAAACCTTCTATCACTGCTAGTGAAGTGCCAAAAAGAAGTGCAAGGTCATCTGCCCTTGTAGGAACCACACAGGAAGGCAGAGTGTCCACCAATGTCAAATTCCATCAAAGAAATAATATTTTGACAAAAAATGCAAGTCACCTTTCTAAGTCCCAGACAGCAGCTCAAAATAAAAAGCATTAAACCCCTCAAATCTTAGACCAGGTGAAATTATTGAAGCTGCAGTAAGGTCTTGTGGGACCTGCAGTTAGAGAGAAGGGACAACTCAATTTGGGACTGCAGCAGAAACCCCTACATCATGGGGTTCCTGGAAGGGACCCTCTCCCTTCAGCGACGCATTGTGAGGCCATTTCTAGGTAAAAAGGTAGAATTTCCTTGGATTCCTGAGGTTTATTTTACACTTACTGCTTATTCTTTGACTTTATAGAAGCCAACTTCAGTTTGAACATCTTGCAATTAATTTTTTTTGGCTCTAAGTGGAGAATTTGAACTTGTTTCTGAAGAAAACCAGGGGCTCCTTATGTGAGCAAGCAACCCTCCCTGTGGCCCCCTTATGCAATAAACATAAGCCATTGTGAGCCAGCAAAATTTAAAGCAAGGAAAGCAGTAAACCCTCCATTTCAGCATGTTTCAGCCTGTCTAGTGATGTTCTAGTCTTGCCTCACTCTTAACATTTTAAAATTTATAATTTTATTTGATTTTGATTTAATAAGAATTCATATGTATTCATTTCTTTTGGGTTTGTCACCAAAAGCCTCCTCCAATCACCTGTGGAGTAAAGACAAGTAAATAAATGCATGGTGTTCCCATTTATCAGTGCTCACTGCATCTTACAAGTGTATCAGCCCCACTTCAGCTGATAGTACCAGGAAACCTTAATACCCACATACAAAATAATGATGTTGGACAAAATTCATAGCATCACCTTACACCATATTCAAAAATTAACTCAATTAACTCAGAATGGTTCAAGGAACTCAACTTAGGAGTTCAACCTATAAATCTTTTAGAAGAAAACATTGAAGAAAATCTTAGGAACATTGGATGTGGCAATGGCTTCTTGGCTGGTGAGCAAAAGCACAACCAATAAAAGAAAAACAATAAATTAGACTATCAAAATTTAAAAACCTTTTTTATATATCAAGGGACACTATTAAGAGAGTTAAAAGAAAATGCACAGAATGGGAGGAAATATTTGCCAGTTATATACCTGATAAAGAATTAATATCCAGAATACATAAAGAACTATGACTTAACAACAGAAAAACAAACAATCTCATTCAAAAATGAGTGAACAACATGAATAGACAATTCTCCAAAGAAGATATACAAATGGGCAATAGGCACATGAAAATATGCTGAACTTCACTAGTCCAAGTGTTGGCGAAGATGTGGAGAAGTCACAACACTTGTACACTGCTGGTGAGAGTGTACAGTGGTACAGCGACCATGAAAAACAGTATGATGCTTCCTCAAGAAAGTAAAAACACAATTTCCATAGGAGCCAACAATTCCACTTTTGGGCATATACCCAAAAGAATTGAAAGCAGGAACTCACACAGATAATTGTACACTCATGCTCGTAGCAGCACTATTCCCAATGGCCAAAAGGTGGAAGCAACCGAGTGTCCATCGGAGGATGATTAGATAAACGACCCATGGTGCACATAGCATGGAATATTATTCAGCCTTAAAAGTGAATGAAATTCAGGTTGCATGAACCTTGAGAACACTGTAAGTGAAATGAGCCAGAAACAAAAAGACAAATATAATATTTCACTTATGTGATGCAGCTAAAATAGGCAAATTCATAGAAACAGAGAGTAAAATAGAATTTACCAGAAATTGAGGGTAGGGAGAATGGGCAGCTTTGGTTTAATGGGTCCAGTTTCTGTTGGGATGATGAAAATGTTCTGGAAATGCATATTGGTGGTGGTTACACAACATTGTAAATGTGCTTTAGGCCACCGAATTGTACACTGAAAAAGTGGTTAGAAGGTAAATTACATGGTATGTATGTTTTACCACAATATTAACAAGTATATCAACACTAAATCCAATCACTTTTCACTCCTCTCCTGCCACCACCCGAGAGCCACCCTCTCAAGAATTGTAAACCAGAAGGGCTTTCCAGCTGGGCTGCCTGCTGCCTCTCATGCCCACTGTCCATTACTCACACAAAGGCAGAGTGAGCCTCTCAAACGAAAATTAGGACATATCCTATGAACACCTCAGCCCTTTTCTTTCCTAGGCACAATGAAACCTCAGTCTCTCACCGTTTCCTACAAGCCCCTCATCATAGGACCCCTGTGGCCTCATCCCGCCATTCTCAGCCCAGCTCACTCATCTCCACTCACACCAGCCTTTTGTCACTGCTCCATCCTGTCTCTGCTACCTGCCCCTGCTGTGACTCCCACATGCACCTGCTCCCCGGGGGTCCACATGGCTCACTCCTCACACCATTCGAGTCTCTGTTCAAATGTCCCATGGTCAAGTTCTCAGAAATGTCATGCCCAGTTACCTTTTCTGAAATCTATTCCCTGCCATTCCCGCCACTCCCACCAATCTTCTAGCCTAGGTGTATTTTTTATCAGTGGCAATTATCACTGATACTGTGACAGATTCTATTTGTTTATTGTCTGTTGGTGTATCAGGGTTACCAAGACAGAAAGACCCAATAGAGTAGATGGATAGATAGATAGATAGATAGATAGATAGATAGATAGATAGATAGAGAGACAAGAGGGGATTTATTAGTGGAAATGGCTCACATAGTTATGGAGGCTGATAAGATCCATGAGAGGCCACCTGCAAGCTGGAGAACCAAGGAAGACAGCAGCCTGGCTCAGTCCAAGGCCAAAGGCCTGAGGGGCCAGAGGAGGAGGTGGGAGGATAAAGGGTTGACTGGTGCAACACTCAAGAGTCCAAAGACCATACAACCTGGAGTTCTGATGTCCAAGGGCAGGAAAAGTGTCCCAGATTGAGAGAGAGAGAGAGAGAGAAAATTTGACTCCTTTCTGCTTTTTTGTTCTATCTGGGCCCCTAGGTGATTGGATTGTGGCTGCCCACAGCGAGAGAGGATTTTCCCCGCTCAGTCACTCACATGCCAATCCCTTCCAGAAACACCCTCACAGGCACACCCAGAAATAATGTTATACCAGCTATCTAGGCATCCCTTAATCCAGTCAATATGACACCTAAAATTAACCATTACAGTCAGTATCACTGAAATGTATGTTCTTTGATAAAGGGATCTGGTCTGTTTCCTTACCATTGTTTCTCACCATCATAATCAGTAAATAGCTCTCAGTAAGTATTTGTTAAATGAATAAATATGTCAGTACAATCACAGTATGACAGTATAATAAGGCTTTAAAATGTTTAAAGCAGTCTCTTGTTTAATATTTATCACTTGAGTAGTCTATGAATTTATTTATTTTTGGAGACAAATTCTCACTCTGTAGCCTGGTCTGGAGGGCAGTGGCATGATCACAGCTCACTTCAGCCTCAACCTTCCAGGCTCGAACAATCTTCCCACCTCAAACGCTGGGGTACCTAGGACTACAGGCTCATGCCACCATGCCCAGCTAATTTTTTTTTTGTATTTTTTGTAGAGACAGGATTTTGCCATGTTGCCCAGGCTGGTCTTGAACTTCTGGGCTCAGACAATCCACCCTCCTTGGCCTTCCAATGTGTTGAGATTACAGGCTTGAGGCACCGCACCTGGCCTGAGTAGTCTATGAATTTTTAAAATCCCAACCATAGGAGAATCTTTATGTACAAACATGCTTGTCAAAATATTACCTACAAAAAGATAAGATGAAAGCAGATGGATCTAAAAGAACTCAGTTACATCACCTCCTTATCTGAGATGGGATGCAGCTTGTAAAAGTGTGTCAACTTTTTAAATTTAAAAATTTTTTTAGATGGAGTCTCATTCTGTCACCCAGGCTGGAGTACAGTGGCAGTGATCTCGGCTCACTGCAACATCTGCCTCCTGGGTTCAAGCAATTCTCCTGGCTCAGCATCCTGAGTAGCTGGGACTACAGGCACATGCCTAGACTCCTGGCTAATTTTTTGTATTTTTTAGTACAGATGGGGTTTCACCATGTTGGCCAGTCTGGTCTCGAATTCCTGACCTCAAGTGATCCACCCACCTCGGCCTCCCAAAGTGCTGGGATTACAGGCGTGAGCCACCATGCCGGCCAAAAAAGCATGTAAACTTTATACAGAGTTTACAACATGGAAAACTACTTGTATAATAATACATTCAAAAAGCAACATTCAAGATAACCCATAACATATGAATGCAACCTTGTACAATAAAGATACCTATAAAAATATATACATAGAGAACAACAAAATGGGCCAGGCGCCTTGGCTCATTCCTGTAATCCCAGCACTTTGAGAAGCTGAGGCAGGTGGATCACTTGAGGTCGGGAGTTCGAGACCAGACTGGCCAATATGGCAAAACCCTGTCTCTACTAAAAATACAAAAAATTTGCTGGGCCTGGTGGCGCATGTGTGTAATCTCAGCTACTCAGGAGGCTGAGGCATGGAAATCACTTGAACCCGAGAGGCGGAGGTTGCAGTGAGCTGAGGTCGCACCACTGCACTCCAGCCTCAGTGACAAAGTGAAATTGTGTTTCAGAAACAAAAACAAAAACAAAAACAAAAACAAACCACCACCAACAAAATGGAAATCAGCACCACGCAAAGGACAGCTCCAGGGACCAACAGTCACACTGAGTCCAGGAAGGTTCAACAATACAATAGCAGTGATATTTTTGAGGGGAGACCTAGGTGGTATTTCTTCTGTGTATTTTATTTTTTTTTTTAATTCAAGTAGGCATTGATCTGTGTATTTTAAAGTCTTCTGTGATCAAATAGATTTTCACATTTCTAATATTCAAAATAAAGCATTTGAAGTAAAATAACAATGAAAAGTGGCTGAGTGCACACCTGTAGTCCCAGCTACTCAGGAGGCTGAGATGGGAGAACCACTTGAGCCCAGGATTTTGAGGCTGTCGTGTGCTATTATCACACCTGTGAATAGTCACTTCTCTCCAGCTTGGACAACATAGCAAGACCCCATCTAAAATAATAGTAATACAAAGAAGTTCAGATCTCCTTCCAACCTCAGCCTAAAGCAAATTTCTCATTTGAAATCCATAGGGCAGAAATGCCGATTATGGCACCTCCAGAGAGTAGAAAAATATTCTTCCTCCACTCCATGACTCATCCTTTGGTTACAGCATTTAGCTGAGCAATGAAGTCAATGCTAAGAATACCATCAATTTATAAAATACTGATTATCTCATTTATAGACATAAAAATACTATAATTATATATATATATTTATGTAAAATTACCATCACACCTAAGACAGCGAGATGGATTTTTCCCTTCCACAGATGAAAATATGAGTCCCTGAGAACATAAAATCTTCATTTGAGCTCACTGAAAATGTTGGCCTTGAGAATTAGGAGACACTCAGTCTCCTGCAGGCCCCCTGGGCATGAGCCACACCAGTGGAGGCCACACAACAGCAGGAAGAGCAACTGAGAACCCTGGAAGGTTCACACTTGTAGAGGGTGCACATCCAGTGAAATGCAGTTGATGGATGGGCCAAGGTAATAATCCAGCTCCTTCCTTCAGCTGGGGGAGGCAGATGGGTGAGTCAGCTACGCATGAGGTGTATGGTGTTCCTAGAGCTATTGTTAGTTCCTCTGCTGTGAACTCCACCCCGGGCATACAAAAATTATATACTCACTGGTAAGCAGGATCCTTTTTAGGAAAGCAAATGACTTTCCTAACATAAGGTCAAACATTTCCCTCCAAATGAATCATCCTAGTTGGATAATCTCTTCACTCCCACTGAAATTGCCCCAGAGTTGCACGTGAGCATTTGGATCCAAGACAGAAAGTCATTTTGGGGGTTGGGTCTGGCTGATCTGGGAGTGTTGTGAAGAAAGGCTTTCTACTTACAGAAGAACAAGGGTGAGCTCTGAGTAGGAGATGACATCCTGAGGGGGAAAGACAGATGGGCAGATGCTCAAGCAAACTCAGGAGTTTACCATATAAAAGATTTTGGAATCTATTCTTCAGCCTCTTTTTTACTGTGATACAATATACATGAACACAAAATTTACCACTGTACCCATTGTACAATAGGTGTACAATGCAGTGACAATTAGTAGGTTCACAATGTTATGTAGCCATCATCACTCTCTAGTTCCAGAGTATTTCATCACCTCAGGGGAAACTCTGCACCATTAAGCAGTCACCCTCCATTTCCTCCTGCCACCAGACCCTGTCACCACAAGTCTGCTTTCTTTCTCTATAGATTGGTCTCTTCTGAAGATTTCACAAAGATGGGTTCATGAAATATGTATCCTTTTGTGGCTGATTTCCTTCACTTATCATGTTTTTGAGATTCAGCAATGTTGTAGCATGTATCAGTATTTCATTCCTTTTATGGCTAAATCATATTCCATTGTAGAAATACACTACATGTTGTTTATTCATTCATTAGTCAATGGGCATTTTCTTTTAAACCAAATAGGAAAAACAAAGGAAGAATTAAACACCAAAAATATACATGTTACTACTAGCTTTTATAGGACTACTATATATAGTACTATATATATATGCACACACACACACACACACATATAAACACCAAAAATATACATATTACTACTAGCTTTTATAGTATGACTACTATATATAGTACTATATATATAATTTCATAGTAGTACTATATATAGTTATATATATGTGGTACTATGTATAGTCATATATATGTATATATATGTGTGTATATATATATATATATATATTTATATATATATAAAATCCATTATTTCTGAAGGAGAGTTTTTCCAGACACACAATTCCTGCATGACAGTCTTTTTTTTTCTGACCTCTAAATTTGTCAACATTCCAGTGCCTTCTGAACTCTATGGTTTCTGAAGAAAACTGGGCTGCAATCTTATTGAGGATCCATTGAACCTGAAAAGTTCCTTCTCTGTTATTCATTTCAATATGCTCTGTTTGTCATTGGCTTTTGACAGGTTGATTATAATGTTCTCTTGGTGTGGACCTCTTTAAATTTAAATTTTTTTGCTGCTTAAAATTTGTCAAGTTTGTTGGATGAATAATGTTTTTCATCAAATTTGGAAGGTTTGGAGTTATTCTTTAAATAGTCATTCTTCTCCTTTCTCTCTCTCCTTTCTTTGAGGACTCCCAAAGTGCATGTGCTTGATGTTGTCTCACAGATCTTTAAAGTTCTGTTTATTTTTCTTCATAATTTTTTTTCTTTCTGCTACTGAACTAGAGAATTTCAATTGTCTTATCTTCAAGCTTGCTGATTCTCCATTCTGCATGGTGAAATTTGCTCTGGAGCCCCTCTAGTGAATTTTTCATTTCAGTTATTGCACTTTTCAGCTCCAAACTTTTTATCTGGTCTCTTTGTAAAATTTCTACCTTTTTATTGATGTTCTCTATTTGGGGAAACCTGCAACCACCATCTTCTGAAGCTCTGCCCATGTCAAGAGGTCTGTGCATACCTCTCTCTTCCATCCCCCAGTTTTCCAACTTTATTTTGCTCAAGTTCCTGACTGACCAAGCAACCCATGAGCCACTGCCCATGACTCATTCATTCATGCACTACTGGGGCATCATTTCACACCCTCCACCTTGCATGGGCCTTTTTGGGTTTTGATTCCTAGTTCCTGGCTCAACAGCCATTTCCAAAGCTGTTCTTGTGTTAGCTCCCAAGCCTACTGCTCTTGTTGTAGATTCTCCTCTTAATGTCTGAGTCACAGCATTTATTTCATAGATTTTTAATAATTGGACTAATTTTTTCCAATGCAGCATTTCTAAGGACTTTCAGTAATGGAGATTCTATATTAGCTTAGAGAGAATTGTTTCAAAACATCAGTAATGTATACTTGAATGAAGGACAACATGCATGGAGAAAGGTGGACAAACCATAAGTGGGCCGTGGATTTTCACAAAGTGAACACTCAGGTAAATAGCAGCCACATCAAGGAATAGCATTGCCAGCCTCCAGGAAACACCACTGGGTTCTACTTGGTCATAAATCACCCTCCCCAACCCTAGAGCAGACACTTTCTTGATTTCTAATATGATAGATTAGTTCTGTCAGTTCTGGACACAGTCACTGCCATGTCCCAGGTCTTGCTGTGTGTGGTCACTATTCACTCCCGCGGCAGTCAGGTGCTCAGCTTTATAAATAGCTCACACTTCTTGTCTCTCCACTGTTGATAGACATTTGTGTTGTATTCAGAGTCTACAAATCGTGCTGCTATAAATAATATTTTCATATATTTTGGCACACAAATGCATGCATTTCTATTGGTATATAACAAAAAGTGGAATTGCTGGGTCATAGGTGATTAGAAACTTGGTTTAGTCTCTCAAAAAACAAGTTTCTACTGAATAGATAACTGGTGGAAGAGGGTAAATCTTTTATTTTAGAAATTATGCAGCTAGCATATGAAAAGAAATGAAAGACTGAGACTTTTGCAATTTGTAATGAATTAACAGATTTAGCCACTGAACAGCAATGGCAATTAACATCGCAAAAAAGAAATAACTAGTATTGAATTCTTCCTCTTGATGAAAAACATGATATAGTACCATCAATCCTCATGGCAAAAAAAAAAAAAAAAAAAACCCTGAATAGACGCAAACCTCTATAACAAACTACCAATTTACAGAAAATACAGGTCATAGAGATACATTAAACCACACCTTGGGGTGCAATCTGCAAAATGCAAAGGACAGGAAACTACCAGACAATATAAATTTCAAGCAGGAATCTATGGAATAAATGAGGATAAAAATATACTCTTAAAGGTAAAACTAAACTATAATTTTAGATGATAAAAATATAAAATTGTACAAAGAAGTGATGGCCATGTAAGCCAGGATGTGCTTTTATTTGAAGAAGAGAAGAGTTTATCATTGAGCTGGGGCAGTTGATGGGGCTTCTAGGTCAGCTGCCAAACTTCTCCCTCTCTCTGATGGTTAAAGGGTGTTTACTTTTGATTAAAGGGCACTATTTTTAGATCTTTTATCTTTTATGGTACCCGTGGGGTTTTTTATGACAAAAACACTAATAAAGAATAAAATAGTATGTGACATATGGTTCTTGTTCTGCACCAAGCCTCCTTCCCACCCTCCGCTCCAGACACTGAGCACCCAGAACTACTGGCAACCCCAGGATACTTGGCAGGGCTACCTTACATCTGGGTGTGTGTCCAGCTCACATTGCCAGAGGCAATGTCCAGGGTCTATTCTTTGAGGCCTAGATGAACCTGACAGGACACAGCTGAGGGAAAAACCTGGCCCCACTCTGGAGGCTCTGGCCATCGGTGTAGAGGGGACAGGTCCTCACCTCTCCACAGGTGCAGTTACAGTCAGAGCCTCTTCTCTGCATGGGAGTGAGGCTTGGTCCTTCCCCCGAACACGGGGACAGGGATCTCTCCAGAAGTGGAGATGACACCATTCCTCCTCTAACATGGTCCAATCTCGTGCTTGTTCTGCTTTACAGGAAAGTTGACTCATACTGGTGTCCAGTGAAGAAACCCAGGCGCATAAGAGGGACAGTTGGATCTCAGGTTTGTGCTTGATCTGGAAAAGGAAGAGCAGAGACCACTAGGAGGCACCACTGCACTGCTCATGAGCCCAGGAGGTGGATGCCCAGGCTGAGCTCAGGGTGGAGAGATGTCATTGCTCATCCTCCAGGTTCCAGGTGAAAACCCACCTGCCCAGCCCATCTGCTTCTCCCTGGTTCTTCAATTCTAGGGAGGACTGTCTTCTTCTCACCTCCCCGGACGATGCTTCTTGACACAGGAAAGAGGATGTGCTGCTAGGGTCATCATGTCCTGGTTTATTGTGTTGTCAGTAGAATGAAATCAAAATACATACTCCATAAATAATAAAATAACCCATAATAAGTAAACATTTACAATTTACTCACACCATTGAGGTTTCCTCCAGGTGTGAGCACAGCTGCAGACACACCTTGTCGCTTCAGTCAGGACACAGGACAGAGTAAAATGGGAAGAAACCACAGTCACTGCAGAAAGGGCCCCCATGGAAGAGGCCTGGCAGGGAGGCCAGCTGCCCCAGGGCCACCATATTTAGAGATGACTTCCCCTTTCTAGGCAGGACTGGGATTTTAAAATTCTTTTTGTATTCATAGTTGTTCTGAAATTGCAGGATGATGAGACCCAGCACTGGTGAGTTATACTGTCTCTTTCTTCCCTATTAAATTCTGTGCCAAACAGCACCTTCATATATTTATCTCCTCTTCCTGGAGAGAATAAAAACAATGGAAAAATTGAACCATACAAACATACTTTAAATATGTGCTGTCAGAAGTAGCTACTAAAGGATTAATTCCACCAAAGTGAGGGAAGGTTTGAAAAGAAAAACATTGTATACCCATATTCAAAGCAGCATTATTCACGATAGCCAAGACAACACACACCAACACATGAATGAAGAAAATGTGGTATATATCGACAACGGAATATCATTCAGCCTTAAGAAGGAAACCTGGTCACAGGCTGCAACAGGGATGAACCTGAAGGACACTGCTAAGTAAAATAAGCCAATCACAAAGAAAACCCAATACTGCACATTTCCATTTATATGAGGTGTCTAAACTGAAAGTAGACTAATGGCTGCTAGGGGCTCGGTGAGGGGGATGGATGAATGTTTGTTCAATGGGCATAGAGTTTCAGTGTTGCAAGATGAAAAGTTCTAGAGATCTGTTGCACAACTATGTATTTACAGTTAATACTGTACTACTGTATACTTTAAAATAGTTAAGATACCAAATTTTACATAATGTAGTTTTTGGCCCAAGGAAAAGACTAATTAGCCCTGTTACTAATTTAGGGAAAAAGTACATGAATTCATTAAAAATATATTAGTATGCGCTTACCTTAGATACAGAAAACTATGAGACAAAAAGAGAGATCCCTGCTACCCCAGCTATCACCCATGAACCAGGAAAATCAGCACCTCCTGAAACTAGACAGAAAGGCTCACAGGCCCAGCCTTGACATGTTGAATCAGTCTGCATTTTGGCTGGAACCCAGGTGGCTCCACTGCATGTAAAGCACCTTCCCAGATAGTGATGGAGGGAGATCCTAGGACAGTGACTCTGCTCCACGGGGAGAAGCCTCCAATCCAGATGGGAGCAGCCAGAAGGGCCCAGGAGGGACATTTCCAAGAAGATAAAATTAACAGAATGTCCAAAGTGTCCAACGTCTTGAAAGAATCATACAAACAAAAGAGATATCAAACTTAAATTAATGAGAGTTAATAAAATAAACAAAAACAAATACAAGTATTAACTCCAAGAAGAACCAATGTTGTACAGGCAGTGAAAAGTAGTCCAGTTGACATATGAGAGGATTAGTCATGGTAAAAGAAACAAGAGATGGCTGAACTAAACATAATCACTATATAAATATACTGGGAAGAGTGAAAGAGAACAAGTACTCTTAACTGTTGCATCCACCATTGCGCTGTGCAACAATGGGTGCATCTGAAAAAAATCAAGCAATAATAATAAAGAAATGGTAGTTAGAGATACAGAAGTAAAGTCAAAAGAATCAGCTAAAAAACTTGAAAGTGGTTGGCCCCTAGAAAGGCAGAAATTGAGAAGAGGCAGAGAGGACTCTCATTTTTCTCAAGAGATTCTGCACAAATATTTGACTCTTTCAATTATGCACAATTATAAATTTGATTAAAATAAAAACAAAAGCTTCAGTGAATATGCAAGTTTATGTCTAATGACAACCGCATTCAACAATGATATTTAAGGGTTAACTAAAATGTGAAAATACTTAAACATGAAACAGGCATGTATAAATGTGTTTTTGACACCAAACGTGAACACAAATGTGAAATAATACACCTGTAAACACATCTCTGGATAGATAGCCCACGATTGAATTCTCTACCCCACCTCCTTTACTGGTTGACCTGTGAACACAGGCAGGCAGTGGACCAGGACCCAACTAGGTTCCTTCATCCTCTTGCTTCTAGGCAGGGCTTGCATCCACTTTTGCTGCACAGAGGGCTCCCATCCCTGCCTTGGTCCGTTTCACAGGTGATCCCCTAACTCTCCCTGCCACCACTGCCTTACCTGAGTGGAGCTGAGGCTACCCTGACCAAGAAGAGCACCACCCATCTGTGCCCCAAGGCCAGAAAGTTAAAAGGAACCTCACAACAGGGTCAGGAACTATCCCACCTCCCCACTTACCAATCAGTCTGAACTGATAATGGGAGATGCTGATACTTGCTTTACTCATCCTCATTCCCAGTTCATTTATTCTTCATTAATTCAGTCCAATCTCCCCAGTGGTCACTTAACCCCAGAAGCAGACTGATCTCTATTCTTCTTAATCAGGAAAGTCCAAAGCACTCCCTGTCCTCTCCCTCATATCAGACTTCAGCTCTGCATCTGCAAGATGCAGAGGTCCTCTGCAAGGCAGGTGTCTTCCCACAGGGTCAGCCCCTAAACACTGGCTGCAGATGTCCCCCTCCATCCCTTCCCAGCCCTTTCTGTGTTGCTGTGAATCGTCCATCACCGAGAACTGGTGGGGAGATGCGGGGGAGGTGGGGAGATTTCTTTGTGCTGTGTCAAGGCATCAAGACAGACCTCTCCTTCTCTCTTGAACCTCATACTCTATCCCTTCCCAGACACTTGAAATAAAACACAGACCAGAAATGTCTACTTAAAGGGTAAATTTCTATAGTATAAAATTATGAAGACATAGTAGATATGAGGTAATGCATGAGAGTGTGACAGGGTGAGGGGACCTCAAGGTGCCAGGAAAGCTGGTCCTGGGCTCCCCAGAAGGAGCTGTAACCAGGACACTCACTCATAAATCTCATTTATAATAATAATACAATGACTGCATATGTAATATATTAAAATATAATCAAATGATAACAAAAATAATGTGGCACAGCTGCAAACCCCTCATATATACTAACGCTTTTCATCCACCCAACCACAAGAAATAAATGCTGTTAGTTTCCCCATTTCATAGATGAGGAAACTGAGGCACCAAGTGGGAAAGTGCTGGTGAGACCTGGGCAGGGAGTTGAATTCTGGCCATCTGGCTGCAGAGTGTAGCTGCCCTCAGTGGAGCCAGTAGACCCAGGAGTTGACACCAGAGACTGAAATCCCAGCTGTGCACTGCCCTGGTGGTCTCCTGTCCCAACCGGGCGTTGATCCGGGCCTTGCAGGCTCACGTGCTCTGGAGAAAATAGAGAAACCAATAAATGCTCCCCTGGGTGCAGAGTGCTGCTTTTTACTCCCTGAGGATTTCTCCCTCCTCAGTCACTCCAAAATCAGATTTACCCTTTCTCTGAGGGAAGATGATGCTCCCACATTTTTCTCCCTCCTATGGCACTTTTCCCAGCCCCTGCCAGTCCCCTCCCATGACTTCATGAAGATCAGCACTCGCCCTGTGCCCACTATGCACTCTGTAGGGACTGAAAGGGCCGCAGGACTAAATGACAAGACTCCAGAAGAAACTCAGTGCCCTCCCCTCCTCTCAAGCCTGGCCAGCTCGGACACAGTGGGAGGCCTCCCCAGAGAGAGGCCCTGGCTCCACGTACTTCCAGGCCTGGGCTGGGTCACACACAAGGCCTTTCTCTCCCTCTTTCCCCAGGCCCTCCTTTCCTGCAGAAGCACCTGCACACCAGGGCAGGCCCTGCCCACTGTGGGTTCCGCCCTCCACCTACAGCTCAGTGTTCCTCCCCTTCCAGTCCTGAGCAGGCAGCTCCTACCTGGAGAGCCCACCAGGAAGCCCAGCAGGCCTGTCAGGCCCAGGATGGAAACACGTGGCTGCCATGGGGTCTGCACCTGACCTGACCCTGGAGACCCCCTTGCTCAAGAAGGCTCTGCTTCCCTTGACACCCAGGTCCATGACCTGCACTTGGGATGCCCTGCTCCTGCCTGGTCCACTCATCCCTGGAAATCCAGCTCCACCCCAGGGCTGCTGCTTGGTGAGGCTGCAAGGCCTTCCTGTCTGGTTCCTAGCAGGGATTCCACCCAGGCCACTGCCCTCACACCCACAGAGGATCTTCTTCTTCTCCCTATGGAATAAGGGATTTCTTGAGACCCCTCAGCCTGAGGCTGCCTCCGCCCACTCTGCACCTGGGGATTGCCACAGCCACAGCCACCATCTCCCACATGGACCCTTCTAGAGAGAGAGTTTCAAATTTGAATTCCTGTTCCATTCAATATACTTTACAGCATCGGTATTGGAGGAAATCCTATTAAGAATATCCAGCTGAAATTATGAACATCTTTATTGGACATCAACATTGAAAGCAGGAATTTTGAGAAATTAGCATGTGATTTTCACAACCTTTTTCTGGCCAATGCCCCAGTGACCTACAAGGAAACCTTTACTGCCCACAGGGAACCAGAACTGACAATTCCTCTACGGCAGATGCTGCAGGTGAGAGCAGGAGCAACCAGACCTGCACTGCCCCTGCTGTGGGTGCCCCAAAAAACATGGTCCTGGGGACTGTGTTCCTGGGGGCTAGACAAGGTAACACTTGGACATATGATGAAAACAGGGACCACAGCTGCCCTGACAAGGAGCTGGTTCCTGCTTCCCAAATGGCCCAGGGATGTCTGCTTATATACTCCTCCATAACATCTGCACAGAAACTCAGGGAGGCAGGGCCATGTGGTGGGAACCTCCAGTGATGCAGAGGACATGATACCCCCAAGATAGCTCCTGGAGGAGGCCCATGGGGAGCTGCAAAGTGGACAGAGATGGCTGTGTGCACTCAGGACCCCCCCTGTTACAAGGGGACCTCAAAGGGGCTGCACAGGCAGGCCTCCCAGTCTGGGCTTCGTGGGTCTTTTTCTTGGTGTCCTCCTGATGGCTGGAGAAACAGGAGAGAGGGATGCAGAGAGGAAGAGACTAGGGGCACCGCCTCTCCTCGGATTCCTCTCCAGTTTCTAGCTCCTCCCCAGATCACAGCCGCCTTTACTATTTACTCCCACTGAAGCCATGATCATCCAGGCCCTCAGCAATCAGCACGTGATTCTCAACTCACCCCACCTGGACGCACCGTGGTGAGCCCAAGAAACAAGAGAGACCAGGATGGGGACAGAGCAGGTGCCACAGCCCTCCCTGCTGCCCACTCCTCACCTGCAGCAGGAGGAGGCCACCGCTGGACATTTGAGGGCCGTGGCCCAGCCCTGGCTTGGGCAGGACTTAGGGGTGTAGATGGAGATGTGGCTCCCATTCCCCTCCCAAATACCCCAATGTCCATCCCCTGTTCCAGGACCTTGTTACCTACATGTCTATCTGTGCAGGAGCTATGAGGGGACCCTGCTGCCCAGAGAAGAGTCCTTCCATCTCCAGCCACTGCCCCGTTTTCTCACCTGGACTCTGCAGCTGATGTTGTCTTCTTCTTGCACCAAAGGACACAGAGAATACTACTACTACTACTGCTAATAATAATAATGACAGTAGCAATAGCAGCATACAGAATGGCTGCCATTGACTCTGAAGCACCAGGGCCTTCTCTAAAAAAAGGGCCTTGTGACACACTGAGCACGCAAAGCCACAGCCGTCCCTGCTATCCCCACCCTGGCCTGACCTCCCTAGGTCGAAACCCTTGAGAGTTGCCCCTGGCTCACCAGAGGGCACAGGGTGAGTGCTGTGATTCCCTCTGTGTCCCATGTAGCAGGTGAACCTCTGCTCCTCTCCTCGGGGAATCCTGGTGGCCATGCAGGTCTGGTAGGTCCCATTCCCATTGGGCAGGACACCCCTAGACTGCTGGGCATCCTGGCTCAAAGATGCCTCATCCTGATGCCAGGTCAGAGAGATATTCCAGGGATAGAAGATGGAGGCCAGCACATCATGGTGACATTGCCTTCTAAGGCCCCACTGTGCATCTCATTCACTGTGGGGGTCATTGGAGACAAAAGGGCAGAGCCAGTGAGGCATGTGGCCAAGCCTTTCTCCCCTCTAAGGGAGATGCAGGGAACAGGACTGGTCCTCTCTATTGTTCTGACTCTCGCTGAAACCCACACTGACCCCAGACCTTCTGCAAATCGGTCCTTACCTGGGGTCCAATTCCCCTAGGCTTGCTGGAAGATGGGCCTCAGGACTGTGGCCTCACACTCTGGGACTCCGGCTTTGATGCTGAGGAGAGGGTTGTCAGGGGTGGGCTCCTGGGTCGTGGGGCTAGGAGGTAGCTCTCCAGGATGGGCAGGCTGGGAGGCAGATGAGGCAGCCCTGGCCTTGAGGCCTTCCTTTCCTGCCTAATGCCCACCCCAGGTTCAGGCTTCTATAGGAGGACCCACTACTTTCACAGTACCTGTTTTTCTGATACCTCCAGAATTTCAGATAACACCATAGCTTTTGCATGTAGTCTGCCTGCACAGGGCAATAGTGTGTCTTGGTCTGCATGGCATTTTCCTCCCAGAAATTTGTGACATTCATAGCCAAAGTCTGAGCTCTGGAGGACCGGGGCACTGTCCATTACTGAGTCTCCAGGTTGGGAGAGAGGAAGAGCTTCCCATATGTGTAGAAATGCCTAAAGCCCCTGGTGCTGCTGGCTTCCTGATCTCACAAACCCTAATCTCCTGGAGGGAATGCAAGGCTGCCTGCCCCTACCCAGCAGTGACTTCTCCATTCCAGTCCAAGTGAGGAACTCGGACCAGGAAGGACTCCTCCCTGGCCCTCTTCCATCCCTCCCTGTGTGGGCTGAGCCCCGCTGAGCACCATTCCTCACCCCTACTCACAGCCAAATCCAGTGGGAAGAGACAGGTCCTGCTCTCTGCCCCCAACTCTCCTGGAAAAGGCCTCTCCCATTACTCTTGCCCACTGCCCACTCTCACCTCCTTTCTGGCCCTTGATATGATCCAGGGTCCTCCTGAGCTCCTGCCCATTCTCTGTCAAGTCTTCAGTCTCTGTGTCCCAGGTCTCAGCTCCCAGGACTGCTTCTGCCCACTGTCCCCGGGGCCCTGCCCTGCCTTTCTGCCTGTCACAGAGCAGGAAGAGCTGACCATCCAGATGTCCCTCAGCGAGAAACCCTGACTGCACAGATCCATCCCGGGACAGCACCGTGAGGTTGTAACAAAGACTGTGGGGCTCTGGGGAAGAGGAAATCACAGATGAAACTTCTTCCTGGAAGTAACTTCACATCAATGTTTAACACACAGGTCTGCTGTCCCGACCTTCCTGAGGAGGCAGGAAATGCACACGGGCAAAGGGACAAGAATGAGGATTTCAGACGCAAGGAAAACTGGGAAGGTGGGAGGATAGAGGAGGGGACTGAGGAACAGAAGAAGGGGGAATGGGGATGGCAAACTTGTAGGCCAGGTGCCAGGGCAGGGCAGCCACAGGCCCCCTCAGGGTATAGGGAGGAGGCCAATGGAAGGGGCTGCCCTGCAGGTTCAAGGGAGGAGCATGAAGGCAGTGGTGGAAGGAAGGTCTTGCCAGAGGGGAGAGCAGAAACTGTAAGGGACCCAGGCTCAGAGGGACCCATGACCACCATGGCTGTGGTGCACAGGTAAGGGTGAGATGGAGGCAAGGTCCACTGCCTTTGAGGAAGGCTCAACATGGACAAGGTGGGGGCAAGGGAGACTTGGCTGTGAGGCAGGAGGGGCAGGTAGGCTGTGGTGCCAGAGACGTTTTCTACGAGGTCCATATCCCAGGGAGAAGCAATGGTGTGGGCTTCAGAGTGGCATGGCAATGCCCCAAGTAGGGAGGTGGATGGACCAGTTGGTGTCCCCTGGGGTGGGCTGGTGGCAAGGGTCTTAAAGAGTCAGTGCATCTTTTCAACAAATGGTGCTAGGAAAACCAGATGTTCACATGCCAAAAAAAAAAAAAAAATGAAGTTGGATCCCTAACTTACACCACATATGAAAATTAACTAAGAAAAACATCAAAGACCTAAACTCAAGAACTAAAACTGAAAAACTCTTACAATAAAACATAGGGAATTATCTTCATGCCATAGAATTTGATAGCACTTTCTTGGATATAACACCAAAGATACAAAAACAAAGAAAAAATTGATAAATTGGACTCATCAAAATAAAAAAGTTCATTAAAAACACAATAAACACAGTGAAAAAGCAACCCCCAGAATGAAAGAAAATATTTGCAAATCATATATATCTGATAAGAGATTAATATCCAGAATACATAAAGAACTCCTACAACTCAAACAGGAGACATTCAACTAATACAAAAGTAGGCAAAGGACTTGCATAGCCAATTCCCCAAACAAGATGTACAAATGGCCAACAGACACATGAAAAGATGCTCAGCATCAGCAGTCATTAGGGAAATGCAAATCAAAACCACAATGAACTATTACTTTACACCAATTAGTTTGGCTATTATCAAACACACACACACACACACACACACACACACACACACACAGAAATATCAAGTTTGGCAAACAGGTTGCGAAACTGGAACCTTTGTGTAATGCATTTGGAAATACAAAATAGGGCACCTGTTATGGAAAACAGTGTGTTGATTCCTCCAAAAATTAAAAAATGAATTACCAGCTAGGTGTGGTGGCTCACGCCTGTAATCCCAGCACTTTGGGAGGCTTAGGCAGGCAGATCACGAGGTCAGGAGATTGAGACCATCCCGGTCAACATGGTGAAACCCAGTCTCTATTAAAATACAAAATATTAGCTGGGTGTGGTGGTGGGCACTTGTAATCCCAGCTACTTAGGAGGCTAAGGCAGGGGAATCACTTGAATCCGGGAGGCGGAGCTTGCAGTGAGCTGAGACCGCGCCACTGCACTCCAACTTTGGCGACAGAGGGAGGCGCCGTCTCAAAAAAAAAAAAAAAAAAAAAAGAAGCAGTTGGACACACGGCCTGTGTTGGGTCTGGGTAGAGGAGGACAGATGTGCAGGGCAAGGACTGGAGGATGGGGTGAGCATGGTGTGGGGGTGACCCTGGGGGAACTTTGGTTAGGGTGAGGACAGGAGGGGAGGGTGCTCTGAGTGAGGGTGGGGCTTGGGAAAGATGAGAACTTGCTGAGGGCCCAAGGCAGCTGGGCAAGAGGTAGGAGCAGCACAAGGTCCCAAGGCGGAGAGGGGCGGAGGGACCAGGGAGGGATGGTCCAGCACCCGTGGGCTGGAGTGGGGGGTCCTCAAGAGGGTGGGGCTGAGGATGAAGGAGTAGGGAAGGGGCCACCGTGAGGCAGGGCCCAGAGCAGGCACCTGCACTAGAGGGGAGGGGGCATCTGCCCTGCCCTGTGCCCTGCCTAAGGCCCAACCAACATTAGCACTAGGGCTCCCCTTGGGTGGTCTAGAGGGGAGTGGGACGGAGGGAAGACCCTGGGACAAAAGGCGGCACCAGAGAGTTAGGGTCAGGGAGAGTTAGGAGTGGGAGGCATAGGGGCAGCCCTGGGTTAAGGCTGCTTCTAGGAAAGGCCCATAAGGGAGGCAGGAGGGACCTGCGGTGGCGGGGGCAGGGGATGAGGCAGAGGACATCCTAGAAATGTATCAGAGAACTGCAGATAGGAAGGGGTAACAGGGAGCTGGGAGGGCAACAGGACCCAAGGTGCCCTGAGGGCAGGGGAGGAGGTGGGAGGGAATCTGGTGTCCTTAGATCACCGGAGTTAATAGTAGCAGGGAAGGATGCAAGACAAGAGAGGATCCCCGGCAGCGGGAGGCCAGGGGAGAATGAGCTGGGGATGAGAGAAGTCGCAGGAAGAATCCTCTGCCCGGAGCCTGCAGACTCCAACCCCTCAGCGTGAGGGTCAGGAGCCCCACAGTCCCCACAGCAGCAGGAAGCACTAGCTCCGGGTCCCGAGAAAGGAGGGCCCCAACTCCAGGAGATGCGGCCCAGGAGCTGAGAACACGTCGGCTCCGGGAGAGGACAGGGCTTCAGGGACCTTAGGGCCGCCCCCAGCACCGAGGGAGGTGGCTGCCTCAGCGGCCGCGCTGGAAGGGCCCTCGAATGCCATTCACAGGAGCAGCCCAGGAACCCAGGGGCCTCAGAAAGACGGGTTTGTCCGAAAAGTGAGAGGAGACGGAGGAGAGGAGAGGAGAGAAAGTGCAGGACAAGACCAGAAAATGCAGGGGGCGGGTGATGAGCGATCCCGAGGAGGACTGAAAAGAGACGTGGAAGCAGGGTTGAGGTGTGGCGGGAACGGGCCGCGTCCACTCCCCGCACCCCCGACAGCGCACCTGAGCCCCGCCTCGGTCGCACAGCGCTCGCCGCTACCCACCCGGACCCCCAGAAACGCCCCGCCGCTGCCGCTCCGCCGAGGACCGCCAGGAACCCCACTTACCAGCAGCAGCTCCCTGGGGTGCAAAAAGGGCAGTGCGGATCAGGAACAGCAGGACTAGGCTCATCTCCATGGCCCAGACTTTGCTTTCCTCGCAGTGGCTCAAGCGGCTGCCAACCCAGCGGAGCCGCGAAGGCCCACCAGAAATTTCCTGTCACCTGGCCCCACCCCAGTGACCGCTCACCCAATGAAAACTGGCGCCCGCAGCTTAGGGCCAATCACGAGCTTGGAGGGCGGGGCCACACTCAGAAGGGAACGTTCCAGCGGTCAGGAGACCTGGAGAACTTTGGCTGGCGGGACCTGGAGCCCAGAAAAGGGGGAGCGCGCGGAAGCGCCGCCAAATGCGGGGACTGGCTCCGAGCAGCTGAGAGTACAGCCCCAACCGCATGAGCACGACCTGGGCCCTGCCGCCCTCCCTGTATTGCGACCACCCCATCCCCGCACCCCCACCCCTAGGATAGCGTGCCTCACCAAGACCGTTTCGCCAGCCACCCCATCAAGCTGACTGTCATTCGCTTGTTCTTTCCAGGACACACTTACAGAAGAGACGAGGCCTGGTTATTCTTCCAACACACTCCCCTCAGCCGCGCACAGCGTTACTGGCTATGTGGCCAGTGACCAGATTTGCAGACCTGTTTCCAGACCTCAGCTACCTCTGTTTCTGAAGCACCTGCCCCAGCTGATCCGCTAAGACGACAAATCTCTTAGACGTTTCAGCTTTACAATCTCCTTCTCCTCCCTTTTACTCAAAGCTAGGTCCCCTTTCTTATGGTCACTTCCTGTAAGTGTGTGAGGTCTCCCGGGGCTGCCTCTCTATTCAGCCCCTGGGTGATCAAAAGGCCAAGGAGGCAGCTTGCCAGTGTCCACTCCAACACCAAGCTCTCCCCAGACTCCCTTTTCCAGCCTGCTTTAGGACATCTGTACCTCTGAGACCATAGTAGCTTCCAATGTGACAGGTCTACAAGGACACTCTACACGTCTCGCATGACATCATCCTCTCTTCCTCCCCTGTTTCTCTTTCCGTGGTGCCTTCTGATTTCCCCCTTTTCCTTCTCAAGTACTCAAAGCTCCTCCAACCCTATTTTGATCCCACAGCCACTACTTTAGTCTCGGCTTTCAGCCTAGATCACTGCACAGGATTCAGCCTAGATTACTGTACAGGCTTCCTAAACACTGTGACTGTCCCAGCTATAGTCAGAGTGCTCTAAGACCCCCACAGCACCCCATGTGCTGAATATCACACGTGAGGTCTCTACCATGGAAGCCACAGCTGCCACAACCTCCTGTCTGTCACCACCCCCATTTCTCTGGTGACATCCCTCTTTCCAGTGTTGCAGTAAAAGTGGGCTCCCCAATCTCCTTGCCCTGTCCCACCGGGATGCCACTGCCTAAGCAGTCTCCTGCTTCCAGATTACTGTCACTTCTGCCTCTGAGCCCATTAGACCGTGTCACATCCTTAAATCTTCCCAATTAGGCTGGTCAGAGTGTAGCGGTGTTTACAACTAATTGATCACAACCAATTACAGATTTCTTTTTTCCTTCTCCGCTCGCACTGCTTTACTTGACTAGCCTTTAAAAAAAGAAAATCTTCCCAATTAGATAATAGCGACTGTGGCACGATGTTGTGATTATGCTAAAAGCCACTGACCAGTACATTTTTTTTTTTAACCAGGAACACCTGCACTTTATTGAATGCCATTGTAGAAAAGTGTGTGAGGATAAAGGGCTGATACAGAACTCAGCTCTGGGGCCAGGACGAGGAATGGAAGTTGGAGTATGTGGAATACAGGTCATGGGCAGAGCTCCTGGCCTGGATGATGCCTCCTGATCTATCGACAGACTTGGAAGATCAACACTAGGATGATGATGGTGAGCAGAATGGTCATGATGATGCACACAATCAGGGCTCAGATGTTCAGGTACTTGGCAGTGGAGGCATAGGCCTGGGCCCCAGTCAGGTCTCCAACCATCTTCCTGTCCCTAGACTTCAGGGAGTAGGTGAATGCTATGAATCCCAGGCAGTGGGGGTTCATGAAGAGGATGTTGGACAGGGACCAGACAACATAGTCAGACACAGGAGGTCTCGCTGCAGATATGGATCATGGTGGACATTGGGGGAGCAGGGTTGTGGGGCGCCCCCAGCACAGCCACCTCATGCTCCTCCTTGAGCATCTCATAGCTGGGGTTGGGGGGCGGGGGAGGGCAGCCACTGTTGGCAGGAATGAAGAAGGTTTGGGCAGTGTGGTTCATGGTGTCCAGCAAAGACCAGCTGTGGTCAGGTTGCTGGGATGGTTCTGAGTGGGCCCTGGACTGTACATTTTTAAATGGTAAATTACGTGGCACATAAATTATATCTCGATAATAAAACACCATGCAAAAGCCTCTTTCTACTGAAAGAATCATCTCGTCCCCAACACACACGTCTCTTACTCTTTGGAACATCTAGCCAGTGGTCCTCAAACCTAGCCACTTCACAGAACCACCTGGAGAGTTTTTAATATCCACGGTCCCAGGTCACAGCCAAAACCAATTGAATCAGTAAGGCTAGGTTGGACCTAAGCTTCAATATCTTTTAAAGCTCTCTACGTGCTTCCAATGTGTAGGCAAGTTTTAGAACCACTGTTCTAGCCCATGGTTTGAACCTCCCTGATGGGTACCAACTTTGCCTGCATTCTTGAACTCCATCTACTATTTATTTATTTATTTATTTTTAAGAGGGGGAGATCTCACTCTGCCGCCAGTTGGAGGGCATCAGTGTGATCACAGCTCACTGCAGCTTCAGATGCCTGGGCCCAAGCAATCCAGCCACTTCAGCCTCCTGAGTACCTGGGACTGTAGGTGAGTGTCACCATGCCCAGCTGTCATCTACCATCTTGTACCATCCCCCACTACACGATGAACAGTCCATGATCTGGAACTGTGTTCATTCTATCTTTGTCACTCTTACAAACATTTTTTAAAACTGAACTATACCTATAATTACTAACCATTCCTCTTAAAACTCCTAGCCTACACATTTCTGTGAGTGAAAATTTAAGCATCACAGGGTTTTAACAATTACTTAGATTTCCCATCCACATTCACTGATTATTTATTTTGATCATCATAATCTATTGCGCACAGCAGGGACTGGGGTCCTGTCCCCACCTTAGGGGGATTATTTACACTCCTAAAGATTACAAGAGTAGTGAGGGGCAGAGAGGTGGTCTCAGCTCTCCTGACAGAGGTCTCCCTTCCCTCCACAGTGTCTACCCTCCCTCCAGGACGACCTTCCTCCCTGTGCCAGCTCTAGCAAAGGGTCTCATTCAGCTCACCCCAAAAAATACTTTTAATACTTAAATAACGACAATAATAATAATATACAAGGTTAGTTCCAAGGCATGTAGAGGTGATGGCCAGCAGAGGTGAAGCCAATCCACCCTTTCTGGGCTAGGGGAAGCCCAGATGGTCTTCCGCTCGGGGTGAGGCACTCCCCAGGGTCCAGGCCTGGCTGCCCGTCCCCCACCAAGTCTCCCAGGCCTTCTGTCCAATGCCCTCTCCCTCCACCCCACCTCCAGCCCCTTCTGCTCTGCCCCATCAACTACGTTTTCTTCCTCAGGACTCGCCTTAGACCTCTGAACTCCGGGGCACAGAGGCGACTTCCTCCTCGCAGACTTTAGGCGCCACTGCTGGGTCCGGAAAAGAAAGAGAAAGGACCCAGTGCGGTCGCTTACAGAACCCAGGGCGGGGTTGGGCTGGGCGCCCGCGCGCGTTTTCAAGCCTGCGGCCCGGAGTTCACTGCGAGGACTGAGATCACCCGTCACCCCGCCCTGGTCTACAAGTGTTTGCTGATATAGAAACGGAATAACGGCGCTGTGGGCTGGGGAGGACGGAGTTGCCTTCAGGCTTCTGGTCTCCAGCCGCGGGGCACTCACAGCTGCCGCTGTGAAAATGCAGACCTGTGGGGCAGGAATTCCGAGTCCGGGGTGGAGCGCGATGTGGAATCTGACTCGCTTGAAACAGCACCGCGGTGGATTCGGATCCGGGTGAGTAGGGAAATGCGCCTCAGCCCCTCCCACGGGCCGCCCACGGATTCCAGGATCCGAAAACGCTTCCAGCTGCTCCGCCACCCCAGGAAGGCAGCGCCTGCCTCTGGGCGGTTCTGACGGAAACTGGCTCCTCCGCCTGCAGGAACACTCACAACTAAGGGGCCAGGAGAAAGCCTCTCAGGGTCCCGCCCCTTCAGTGAGGATCCTAAATTTACATCCCGAGTGTGGCCCCATCAAAGACTGGAGCGACGTTCACTGAAATGATACAAGACCAGCAGGGGCGCAGGGCACTGCGGCCCTCAGAATGCGGTGACAGCGCCGCCTCGCGTCCCTTCCCCGACCTGCCCCAGGCGGACGCGGTGACGTGTGTTGGCCTCGAGGCTGGAATACACCGGGGATCAAGTGCAGAGAAGGGAGAAAGTAGGGAAGGATGGCTGGGGGGTGGGGGTGGGGGGAGCGTGTTGAAGAAAAAAGGGAAGAGAGAGGAAGGAAAGAGGAGAAAAAAGGTGAAGAAGAGAATAACATTTAAAATATAGAGTTTTATTATTTCTAACTTTTATTTTTGGTTTTTATCTAGTTTTGGTATGTATGAATATTGTTAACATAGCTTTATCTCTGTCTCTCTCTCTGAATCTGTAAATATACAGTAATATATATACACACGTAAGCCTCTACCTGCCGATGTGTCAGGGTGTGTCTCTTGGGCACAAAAACAAGGTTTTTGTTTTGTTTTGTTTTACATAAGCAAAGTACAAATCTCAAAGAAGATATATTTTAAAAGCCATTTTATTGGGACTTGCTTTGCATACAATCAAATGTATCTAAAATGTATCTATTTGAAATGCATAGCTCGTTGTGTTTTGGCTGTTGTACACACCCACATCTCCACTACCACAATGAAGATGTAGAACATTTCCATCGTCCTCCAAAGAACTGCTATGCAATACAATTTTATAGGGTCATAAAAGAGGTAAGATCAGTTTTAAGTATTGTTATGAGAAGATGTGTGCGTCTCATACTTTTAACCATTTATTAAAAGATGAGGATATACTGAATTATAATGCCAGTAATACCACTTCCATAATGTATATTTTAAGTAGGGAAAAACCTGGAAGATTTCTCACCAAAGTTTTTTTTTTTTTTTTTTTTTGAGACAGAGTCTAGCTCTGTCGCCCAGGCTGGAGTGCAGTGGCGCGATCTCGGCTCACTGCAAGCTCCGCCTCCTGGGTTCACGCCATTCTCCTGGGTTCACGCCATCCTCCTGCCTCAGCCTCCCGAGTAGCTGGGACTACAGACGCCCGCCACCACACTAATTTTTTGTATTTTTTTGTATTTTTTTTTTGGTAGAGACGGGGTTTCACCGTGTTGGCCAGGTTAGTCTCGATCTCCTGACCTCGTGATCTGCCCGCCTCGGCCTCCCAAAGTGCTGGGATTACAGTCGTGAGCCACTGCGCCTGGCCTTTTTTTTTTTTTTTTTTTTTTTTCTGAGACGGAGTTTCGCTCTTGTCGCCCAGGCTGGAGTGCAGTGGTGCGATCTTGGCTCACTGCAACCTCCACCTCCAGGGTTCAAGTGATTCTCCTGCCTCAGCCTCCCTAGTAGCTGGAATTACAGTCACTCGCCACCACACCCATCTAATTTTTTGTGTTTTTAGTAGAGATGGGGTTTCGCCATGTTGGACAGGCTGGTCTCGAACTCCTGACCTCAGGTGATCCACCCGCCTCAGCCTCCCAGAGTGCTGGGATTACAGGCGTGAGCCACTGAGCCCTCACCAAAGTCTTGACAGTGACTCCAGGGACTACAATAACTTGGTGATTTTCACTTTCTCTGAAATGTTGGAATTTTATATTACAGTATTAACTTGGATTTGGCTTGGCCCGGTGGCTTGTACCTGTAATTTCAGCTCTGGAAGGTGAGGCAGAATTGCTTGAGACCAGGAGTTCGAGGCTGCATTGAGCTATGATTGTGTTACTGCACTCCAGCCTGGGTGACGAATGGAGACATTGTTTCAAAAAAAGAAAAATAAATGCAATTAAAAATAAAAATAAACCTGAATTTGTATGGAGGTTAAGGAAGAGTATATCTCAGTTTGAAACATTATGAAGCTAAGCCCCAAACCCAAATAGTTAGAGATTTTTAAATACCAAAGTGTTAATTAAAACTCAACACCAGAAACTCTCTTTTAAGAGTATCCTTCATATTTTCATGGCATTGACTCTTTCTTAGTGTCTTTGACAGAAATGTTTTTAGTGGAGTAGAGATACATGTAATAAAATTTACAGAAGGGCTATAATAAAGAGGGAAACGCAAAATCGAGTCTGACACAGGAGACCCTGTTCCATTTATACTCAAAGCAACTTTGAAAACTGCGCCGTCATGGTGTCTTTGGGTTGAGACAAAGTCGAAGCAAATTTTGTTCCTAGAGTATTGACTTCCCCTTTCCAATGGCTAAAGGCTTTCGGAACTAGTCTGAAAACTCAGGCTCTGACTTTGGATCTAAAGAAGTGTCAAGAATGTGCGGGCAGTGGCGCTGCATGAATCTAGCGGGTCTGGGCGATGCTCTCTCCGGCTCTACCCAGTAGCAATTGCGGTAAGGACAGGACGCAGCGAAATTGTACCAGTGAGTCAGAGGCCAAAGGAGGAATCCTGGCCCAACAGCGCAGAGTGTGCTTTGTTAAGGTGGGGATCAGGTAGCGGAGGGAAGGCAAGGACACTCGGAATAAATGGCAGAGGAAGAAGGCGCGCGAGGGAAGACCCAAAGCCTTCCGACCCCTCCTTCCTTTCCTTCCTGTTGGGGTTGAAGGGCACCAGCCGGTGGGGTGCAGAGAATGGGAACAACTAGAGAGGGCGTGCCCCACACAGGCGTCCCGGCTCCCTTCTCCCAGCTACTACTGATGAGTTCAAACTAGGAGGACACTAAGACGTGTCTTTTGCAAGGTAGACTCCTTATCTCGCACTCTGTCTGGTTTTCTAAATCCATCCTAATGAAACACAAAAACCAAGAGCCAAATTCTGCGTGTGACTTTTCTGACCACTATAAGGTCCTCCCCCTCCCCATTTCTTGCGTGCTCCCCCCTTGCCTCGCCCCCTCCCCTTTGTCTCCACTTCCCCGCTCCTAAGTATCTCCTGCTTTCTTCAGAGGACTTCTCATGAAGTACAGACTCCTCCACCTCCAGGAAAAAGAGACAAAGTCCACTGAGAAGGACCTGAGGGATGCCTGTGACCCCGCCCCTGAGGTCAGCCCCTCCCGCATCGCTGGCTTTGACTCTGTATGTGTGTGTGTGTGTGTGTGTGTGTTTGTGTGTGTGCGCGCGCTTGTGTGTGTGTCTGTGTGAATGTTAATGGAGAGTCAAAGTGCTAAACTCGGCATCTATCATAGGAAACTTCCTCACCTTGGCACTGCATGCAAGAGTCAGCGTATTTATGTGCACCTGTGCCTTTATTTCAGGAGCTGGAACAATTTTATTCATGAGATCCGCAGAGTGCCAACGCCCCCACCCCAGAAAGCTTAAGGGACTCTGCATTAGAGAAGAGGGTGAGATTGGAGGGGCCCCTGACTCCAAATCTCCTGATCCCCCCCCCACAAAGAGATGCTGAAAAAAAGTGCTGGACAATCCATTCCCTCCTGGGACCAGAGAGGAAGCCAGAGGCACCGTGGATGTCAAATTCCAGCAAAGAAACAATTACAGCAAAATCTCCATGTCACATTTTTAAGCTTACACAATGGCTCAAATAGAACCAGCATCAAAAATCCCGAATTCCTGGTTCAGGTGGGATCACTGAAGTCTGCTGTTAGGCTTGGCAGGACCTGCAGGTAGAAAGAATGGCATCTCTATTTAGAGCTGCAGCCCAGTAGCCCCTGCTTCTTGGGCTCTTTGAAAAGACCCTCTCCCTTCAGCAGTGCACAGTGAGGCCATTTCTGGGGAAGAAATGTAGACTCTCCTTGGGGGAGGTTTTTATACTTAGTTACTGACTTTGCATTCGTTGACTTCATCTTTGAACATCTTACAGTTACATAATTTGCTTTGACTCTAAGTGTAGAACAAGGAACTGTTCCTGAAGCAGAAAACTAAGGGTTGGTGACCTGCACTGTCACCCCTCTCCATGGTGCTCTGATGCAATAAAATTGTGAGCCAACAAATCCATGGATAGGTAAACAGTAAACCATTTCAGCAAATGTTTCAGATGCTCCTTCGTGCCTAGCAATGTTCTAGCTTTACCCCAGCCTTAACATTCTAAAGTTTATATTTTCCTTGGTGTTGTTTTAAAATAATTCATGTATATTTATTACCATGGGTTTGTTGCTGTAAACTCCTGGGAATGAACTGTAGAATTAAGTTAAGTAAATAAATGTGTGATTCTCCATTGACTTATTGCTAACACCATCTTAAATATTTGACCCCAAATCCAATCACTTCTCACTCCTCTACTACTTTACCCCAGAGCCAATCCTCTCTAGGATAGTAAATCAGATGGGCCTTCCAGCTGGGCTGCCTGCTGCTTCTCACACCTGCTGTCCATCACCCATGCAACAGGCAGAGCGAGCCTTTCAAATGGGAATTACGGCACATCCTCACCATCACATCCCACGGACACTCCATCCTCTTCCTTTCTTAGTGCAATGAAATCCCAGTCTCCCACCATTTCCTACTAGCCCCTCAACACAGGGCATCTGTGGCCTCATCCCACTACTCTCAATAGAGCTTGCTGGTCTCCATTCACACCAGCCTCTTGTCACTGCTCTGTTCTTGTCTCTGGCTTAGAGCTACTTCCTGCTATGGTCCTTGGACTTGTGATGTGCAAGAAGTTCTCAGGTATGGGAGGGACTAGAATGATGGCTTTGCCCCATCTCACATGTAGGGATCCCACTGCTCTTGGGGGATTTGCTGAGTCACTTCTCCCTGTTTCTGCTGGGGCTGGGGATGGTTAACCCAGTCAAGCCACACACCCTGAGAGGAAACCAGGTAGACAGGCTGACTGACAAGGAGGGCACAGCCTGTCAAGTGGCCAATGACCCCAGTCAGAAGAGGTGAAGGGTGAGAGAGGAGGCTGCTGGGAACCAGAAGCTTGGCAGCCAGGAAGACTGAGAACAATCAGGCTGACAGTAGAGGCTGTTCACTCTAAGCCCCAGGGTGCGGGGGAGGGTCCTTTACACCAGGGAGCTTCAGGTCTCGTGACTGTTTCTGGGCTCTGTACTCTCCTGATCCTCCATGAGGATTTTAAACAGTGAGATAAGGTATCCAGGGCCCCAGGAATCTGAATTACCTTTACCAAAGAGATCATCCTTCCATTTCATTTCTTATAAGATATGAAATATTAAATCAAACTAATACAGGATTAATGTGAAGCTAGCAGGTGTTTTGTGGATGGATTCCCCTGGCTGTTTATACTGGGGGAAGAAACAGGCCTGGCCCCATTCACAGATGAGAACAACAGGGTAGCCATACTCAGAGGACCTCAATACTGGGTGCTCCCAACCCTGCAGGAAAGACCCTCCCTGCAAACAGATGTACAGGAGGGTGACTGCAGGATCCCATGCTGTCTCTTTCTCCTCTCCTGAATCCTGGGTTTACCTTCCTAATTTCAGCTAAGTAGCTATATTAACCAGTTATTTAAGACTCACAGGGCCCCTCTCTACCATGGCACCTAACAGGGTCTTCTCTCCTCAAAAGAACTTCAGGAGGGGTCTACTCAATAAAAAGCAGCATGGAAGGGGCGGTAGGGGCAGCTCATCTCTAACTCCTGAAATAGACAGGATGGAGCCACCGTCTCATTCCTCACTTATCCTATGGTCCTGCCTCAAATACAGTCTCCTGCAGGCTCTGCTGGGTCTTTTTATTATCATTCTCCAGGTGGTGACCGGGTCCCTGATGCTGATGTGGTGCTCACAGCTTCCTGAAATATGACCCTTGGGGCCCAACACCAACAGGAGTTGAGGCCGGGGAGAAGCTTCAAGCTGTAGGGGATCTTTGGATTTGAAAGTAGGGGTTGGTCACGGGCTGTCTGTAATGCTCAGGGTGTCAAGGCTGAGAGTGGCTGAGCTGAATCTGCTCATTAGCATGTTCTCCACTGTTTGAGAGCTGCCTTGTGCAGACCAGCAAGACACAGATTGTTCACAGCTCCCCTTGTCTCTTGGAAGACCCTGACTTCTCTTTCCCCAGCTGTGCAGCTGATGAGCTCTATCTCCTCCCAAGCATAGCAAGGGGAGGATGGTGGGAGTGAGGCCCACTCCTCTGATGCCCCAGAACCCCTTCCACGTAATCTCAATATCCAGGCCTGGTGTATCTCCCTGGACCATCATTTCTTTTCTGGGAATGAAAGGGTTACAATATCTCCCTCCTAGATTTCCCTTGTCACTCACTCACCCTGAATAGACTTCTTACTCTATTAGTTATTGTTCTCATATCATTTCTTTGAAGCTGTGGTAAAATATTATCAGCCATTAATAAAACATGGAGGTTAGGTTCTCTTTTTGGATTCTGAGGATCTGCTGTGCTGGGGCAGGGGCAGGTGGGGAGAGAAGGGCGGGTGGAGGGCCAGGTGCTGAGTGGTGTGTGGCCTCGCTCTGTGCTCAACAAAGCTCCTGCTGTGGTCATTTCCTGTTTATTTGTCTGGATCTCTCCTTGCATTGTGATTGGTGCCTGGTCTTTAGGGGTGGGTGCTGCTCCAGGTCGGAGGCCTCACACAACTCCAGGCTGAGCCTTTCTTCAAGTCCATGGAGGTCAAGGGCAGATACTGGCAGCTCTCCATCCTGCCCTCGCCTCCACTTTATCTGGCATATTTTTATATGTTGATCTGATCCTCCTCATAAGGGATGTATATGAGCATTATTTTGTAGGAGAGCCGCTATGTCCCACAGTGGCCATGCTCTGTCCCTGACACCAGGATCCTGTGTGCTTTGTTGTTGTCGTCCCCTAAAGACCCAGGACAGCCTCTGCACATGGGGCTTCTCAGATGACACAGATTGATCGTTCCCACCTCTGCCTTCTTTCCTGTTCCATTTCCAGAATGCTTCTATTGTTTCCCTTTTATTGTAGTAAGTCAAATTTTTGAATTAAGGCCTGGGCACACTCACTCACGCCTGTAATCTTAGCACTTTGGGAAGGCTAAGGCAAAGGGATTGCTTGAGGCCAGTAGTTAAAGACCAACCTCGGCAACATAACAAGACCCAGTCTCTTCCAAAACAAATTGAATTCGCATTGTGAATAGATATGTTATTGCCATGTCATAAATAAATTCTTGTCCCTTTTTCTGTGGGAGCACCCTGTGGTCTGGGTCCTGGCAGGAAAGATATGGCACAGAAGGAAGACACGTTTTAAAGAGGTTCTGGCAGGGCTAAGAAAGTCACAAGGGGCACTGAAGCTCCCTGGGATGATCTGTAGCAGGAAATGGTTTGCATTTCTGAGCTTGAAAGAGCAAGGAAGGGAGCAGTTTCTAGAACTCAGGCAAATCTGTAGCTTTCACTAGGGGCAGCCCGCCATGCCTATGGCTGTAGATAGAGGCCTGAAGTGATTACAGAATCACAGAGCTGCCCAGAGTAAGTGAGGGAAATGAAAACCCTGAGTTACTCCTCCTCCCACACTCCCATCTCCTGCAGGTGCCTGTTATCATCCACACCCAAGCACAAGCCAGATGGTGAAGGAGCACAGGCCATGTCGTCTGTCTGTCATAGTTGCCTCCCAGTGTAGGGGGCAGGATGGAAGAGAGTGGATGATGGCTCTGTGAGGAGATGGAAGCTGAGAATAATGCACTTGCTTACAGTGTTCACATTCTTCATGGAATTTACTTAAATACACTAGCATTTGCTCTAATCCAAAATTATACCTTTAAAAAGCAACGTTTCGGCCAGGCATGATGACTCACGCCTGTAATCCCAGTACTTTGGGAGGCCGAGGCGGGTGGATCACCTGAGGTCAGGAGTTCGAGACTAGCCTGGCCAAAGTGGTGAAACCCTGTCTCCACTAAAAATGCAAAAATTAGCTGGGCATGATGGTGGGCGCCTGTAACCTCAGCTACTTGAGAGGCTGAGGTAAGAGAATTGCTTCAACCCAGTAGGCAGAGGCTGCAGTGAGCCAAAATCATGCCACTGCACTCCAGCCTGAGTGACAGAGTGAGACTCCGTCTCAAAAAAAAAAAAAAAAAAATCATGTATATATGCTTAGCAGGTAGTAACATTGAAGAGTACCTAACTCTCCTTCCCTATCTCCACATGGGACGTATAACTCATAAATAAATACCTTAAATTATTTGAGTATAAGCCATAAAAGCAGAGTCTGGCTCATATAAGCAAAAGGAAGTTGCTGGGCAGCTGTGGGTGAGGTTCACAGAATCATAGATGCTTCCAAAGTACCAGGACAGCACCAAGGAGCAGGCAGCAAGCCCTGACCAGTCTCACTGGACTCACCTGTGGAGTGGGAGAATTGTCACTGTTTCCTGATATCTTGTCATTGCTGAGCTTTAAATTCTGGAATAGTTTACTTAAATGGCTTAGTTTGGATCTCATAAATTTCTTATTTGCTTGTGATTTAATTTCAGGGATAGAGTCAATATTTGAATTTGACTCTATCCCTAAAAATGAATTCAATTTTGAAGTTGAATCCAAATTCCATTTCAAGGATAGAGTCAATAGGAATAGAGTCAATGTTTTCCCTTAATGGGAGCTCCTTTTCTCCATTTATCTTCTTAAAGCAGGGGGAAGGGGATGAGTCTTTCAAGTTCCCATGGACCCATGGACATCATGAGATCAACCTAATTGCCCTCATTCCATTTTCCTTTACTTTGCAGAAAAGAAACAAATTCCTTTCCACCCAAAATATGACAGCGCCTGTGGTCCAGGGCTGGAGCCCATAGTGGATGCCCAGCAGCCAACTTCCTGGAATTGAGACCTCCCCAGCAGGCTTGGGGGTGAAAAGAGAAACTAGACTCCAAAAGGGACACCAGTGCTCTGTTGGGGAGAGAGGAGCACACCACTGCATCCCACCCTGAAGAATGGGAGTGAGAAGAGAGGACAGGTGAACCCACCATGGCTCCAGTGAGATGGGAGCGGGGAACGCCCAAGAAGGAGGACAGCCATGGGGTGGCCCCAGCCAAAGCCACCAGACATCATTACATGTCTGGGGCCCTCTCAGGCCGACATGAGTTTTACTGCTCCACACACTCTTTTGTTAAGAGCTAGCTGTCAGTAGATCAGTGAGAGAGCAACTTTGATACAGAGGAAACCATGCCTGAAATGGGTCATCCCAGAAGAATTTAGTAGTAGGTTCTATGCTTCCCTCCAGGGCCTCATGGGCGTGGGCAACTTTTTTTTTTTTCCAGCCACTCACCCTAGGTAATGAAGAAAGCTCTCTGAACTGTGTCCTTGCTAGGCACACAGGCCCCTACCACATGTACATGGCATGGGAGTCATGGCTAAGGCAGGGTGAGACTCCTATTTGAGGCCAGGAAAAGCTAATGACCCTACATTTGGTTCAGTCCTTGTGGGGTCCTGACTAGGGTGTGGGCCACTGTGTTCCCACAGATGCTCTGTTAGCCCTTAGGCTGTGAGATACACAGGCAAATGTTATATTGAAGCCTTTGTTTCTCTTACACGGAGGCAACACTACTGCAGCAGAGCAAACCTTATTGTATCAGTGCACCAACCCCAAGTTCATGTTCATTACAGCAGGAAAAACTAACATGTGGTGAATTCTGCCTCCACAAGGGACAAGGACCTGATAAGACTACAATGACCAGGATGGCCAATATCCCTGTCTTCTTGCAACTCAAACTTTGCCTGGTTACCACCTACTTGCCCCAACTCCTTGGACTCCAGCCCTCCGAGGACAGCCAGACATCTGAAGGAAGTGCCAGGCACAGATGCCAGGTTGCATAAGTGCTGGCCCCTGAGCAACTGGAGAAGCTGTTAGGTCCCAGCTGGCCTAGAGATCCCTGGCTCAGGGAGTATAACTGGATGCCTTGAACAAAGACATGGGGTCACTGGA
Organism: Homo sapiens; assembly: GCF_000001405.40. NCBI lineage: Eukaryota > Metazoa > Chordata > Mammalia > Primates > Hominidae > Homo > Homo sapiens. The sequence goes on from NT_167246.2 coordinate 1,025,568, forward strand.
AAGAGAGGACCGGCTGTCCCTCCCCACTAAGAAATAATTAACTGTTAGATGAGGGGGAATTCCTTTTCAAGGGCTCTGTGGACTGTGCTGCTCTGGAGGGGGTAGGGAGAGGGAGGAGCCCTGAGGTCTGGGCTGGGGTGTGGTTGGGAAGGAGCTGAGAGCTGAGAGCTGTAACTACACAAGGAGCTGCAGGGGTGAGGTTGGTGCAGGGTGGGATTTAGAGGATTTCCCCCAGACTCCTGTGCTGATCCCCTTCATCTCCTCCACCCCCACCCTTGGTGTCTGTCAACATGCGGGGGTGCCCTCATCTTCCCACTGCCCCTGGAGCTGTTCTACTCTTCCACGCTTGCCTTGGGGTTTTCAGAGCAGCATCTTTGTGAGTCCTGGAGTGCTAGGGACCAGGAGGGGAGAGGAGGCAATAGCCTCCTTTAATTTGGCAACAGCTTTTCGTTATCATCTCCACTTTCCAAGGCAGGAAAAGTGAAGGCAACAGCTCTGAGAGATCCTGGAAGAGGAAAAACCATGGCGGGTGAGGCAGGGAGCTGTCTGAGTTTCCTAGCAGACATCAGGAGCCCGCCCTTCCAGGCCTGGGCTTTGCTTCAGTGCCTGGCCCTGCATAGGCCCCTGCCCCTGTCCCGTTCTGCTGCCCCCACCTCCCTCTCAGCCTGGCCCCAGACAGAATCCAGACCAACTCCTGTCTGCTGTGAAAAATGTTCCTGCCAGTTTAGGCAGATCTTGCTTTAGAGCACTGGTGCCCAGCCTTCCACAGGTCTTGTGTCTGTTTTTCTTGGCACTATGTTTCTTCTCATGTATTCTTCTGAATTGGCAAGGCAGGAATTACATCACTGGTTTGCAGATGAGGAAACTGACTCATATGGTTTCATTCAGCACTCATTCACTGTGAAAGTGTCTGTCAGGGCCAATTGTGGGCCAGATGTGCCCAGGGTTCTATAGCTAGCTGGTGGAAAGGCCTGAAGGGTTCATATTCAGGTCCACTTGACTTGAAAACTCATATTGACCTTACTTATGTACTAATTCCCACCTTACAATCCATGCCACAAACTTTATTGTCTTAAGAAGTTGCCACAGCAGCCTTCAGCAGCCACCTTGTCATCAGTCAGCAGTCATCAACATTGAGGCAAGACCCTACTCCAGCAAAAACATTAGTATTAGCTGAAGCCTCAGATGACTGTTAGCATTTTTTAGCAGTAGTGTAATTTTTAATTAAGGTATGTACATATCTATTTTATACATAATGCTATTGTATACTTAATAGGCTAAAGTATAAATATAACTTTTATGTACACTACAAAAACAAAAAAATTGTGTGACTTGTTTTGTTTGCATGATCTGAAACCAAATCTGCAATCTCTCTGAGATATGTCTGTAATTTCCCTTTCCCTCTTCTTGCTGGCCCAGAATGACCTTGTTTCTTGTCCCTGTCTAGCCCTGCCTGTTACAGGGGTTTGCCTTCTCTGGTAGGTCTGGACACTTTGTATCCCCTGTAACCTTGCCTCCTGGCATATGACACTAGTACTAGCCTCAAGCTCTGTTGGACTAGCGAGCCTCACTCCACACCTCCTGAACTAGAACCAAAGCTCTGTGCACACACCATTCATGTGAGTCTGTAGAGATCTCAGCTTCCTGCAGGGTGTTCTGAAAGGGTGTTCTGTTGTGACTGGAGGACATAGCCACAGGTCTCTGGGCAGAGGTGGCTCAGAAAAGAGTGGGTGGCCCCAGTTTGGGTCATCTGGGAAGGGGAAGATTTTCAGATAAAAACCCATGCCTTAGAAGACAAAACTACCCAAGAGCTGGCAGCAGCTAACCAGCTTGCTATCTGGGATACCACTTTGCAGTGGGAGGGAAGATAGCCTCTACCATGGTGTAGGGGTCCAGGGACCAGGCAGGGAGGTCTTCCTAGTGGTCAGTGCTTCTCACAGTTGGGAGATGAATCACCTTTCGATGAGGCCAAAGACCTCATGTTCCTCACTAGCTGACTTGTTCCCACTCAGTGGAAAAAGAACCCAGAAGCTTTGCAAAATTTTAGGAGAGAAGGACTTTCCCTCTTTTCTCTTAGTGCCAGGGTTATGCATGACTCATACTTGAATTGCAATGTGTACACAGCTTAAAGTCTTAATTATTAGAACATAAGAGGCCCAAACCACTGTTGTTATAGATATGTAAAACTATGCAGTACAAAATTAAACAACCCCCAACCAATTAACAGTGGAGATAAATTATCAATATTTGTAAATTTAAAACAAGATCGACAGCCCTTTAGAAAAACAACAAAAAATGAGACTTTTGCAAGACAATCTAAATGATACGCTAATAACAAACCTTCATGAAAATGACATTTCGACCATCTGAGTTTCTGCTTTAAGTTACAAATTCCAAAAGGTACTAATCCCCAATAATTTACAGTAGGGAGCCCTAAGCCACAAAGAAAGGTGTCAGGGCACACCTGAGACCTGAAGTGAGAACATACCCTCCCTCAGGGTCACGAGTGAATCCTCTAAGACCCCTCCTCCCTCAGACACTCCATCCAGTCATCAGAAGGTCCACACAGCACTAAGACCCAACCACCTCACTGTCTTCACCTCCATGGAGAGAGCCCAGGTGACAGCCACCCCTGCTCCTCCTCCTTCATCTCCCACAGCCTCAGCACCATCGTCTGCCTCGAGTCCACCAGGACTGAGCTCCTCATGCCCTTTCCCTGTTTGTGTCAGTCACACTGGGTCCCCCATATACCCAGCACTTGCATCCCCACAAGGCTCCGCACGCTCTATTCTGTCCCCCCACCATGTCCCCTACCTAACTCCAGAAATCTTCCCTCTGTACTCCCTGGAATCCTCAGTCCATGATCAGCAAAACCTCCTCATTCTCTCTCAGGATGCTCCCTCACCTCGAAGCTCTAGCAGGAACCAGGTCTTCCTGAGGATGTGACCCACTCTGAAGTTCCCCTACATGGGGGAGTTTCCCAGCAACTTGTACCCCTGGGTTCAGAGGTGAGGTGGGGTCCTTGCTCTTCACTGTGGTTCTCAGACCTTTCTGCCTCCCTCCTCCCTAAAACCCCTAAGCTGTCAACAGACTAAGGCCCCGCTCCCCTCATTGTAGCCATTCCCTGTGGGCCCCAAGCCATTCCTGTCAATCCTAACTCTTGTAGCTCCTAGATCACTGTCACCCTCTCCAGCAGTGCTGTCTCCTTGATTCTTTCTGACTTCAACATATGCAGATGTGCTGGGCTGAGTACTAGTCCCCAAAGAGATCCAGTCTTAGTCCTTGGAGTCGGTGAACAGGTTGCATTGCATGGCAAAAGGGACATTACTCATGTAATGAAGATAAAAGACCTTAAAGTAGGGAGATAATCCTGGACTCTCTGTGTGGGCCCGATCAAATCACATGAGCCATTAAAAGGAGAGAATCTGCTCTAGATGGAGTCACATGCTGCAGAGAAGGAAGGCAGAGGAGACACAGCAAAGGGGAGATCAGTGGTTCCAAGCAGGAGGATTGGATGTGCTTTAGGCACCAGAGAGAAGTCTCTAGGATCTAAGGGTGCTCCCAAAAAGGAAGTGGGAAGCTCAGTTCTATCTGCAGGAAGTGAATTCAGACAAGAACCTGAATAAGCTTGGATGTGGACTCTTCCCCAGATTCTCCAGGAAGGAGCACAGACCTGCCCATACCTTGATCTTAGCCCCGTGAGACTGGGTGGACTTGCAACCCACGCAACTGTGACATGATAATTAGGTGCTGTTTAAAGCTGCTTGGTTTGTGGTAATTTTTATGGCAGCAATAGACACCTATACAGCAGAGAAGATGCCCTCACTCCCTGGCCTCTCAGATCCTGGAACTCCTTTTCTTCATTACCATCTCCTCTCTCTGCCGGAATCTCAGGACCTTGTCCTCCCCTAGGCCTCATCATGGCAAAGAACCCCAGCCCTTCCACACTCTCAATCTCACACTTCCCACTCTCTGGCCATCTTTCCACTCATCCCCTTGCAGGGTAGCCACAGGCTCTGAAGACACTGATGCTATAATTTGATCATATGCTATAATGTAACATCAGTGAACCACTCATTGCATGTGTGCCTGCTTTCCAGGCATGGAGTCCATTCTGTAGTACATCTATTCCAATAATTTTTCCACCCCCTTGAAATTCCCAATCCAGTGATGCTGCTATCTATTCCTTCTCCCTTAGTGTTTGTTGTCCTCTCCTCCCTCCTCATCCATTTTGGATTCTGTAGTAAATAATTTCCATCCCTCCCTTGCCTCTCCCTTTCGTTGTCACACTTGCCTGGCAAAACTACACAGCTAGTGGATTCCACCTCAGCCTACACTGCACCTGCCCCCATAAGCTGCAGGAGGCTGGAGAGCAGCACACAGCATGCTGACTGTTCTCTCTACATTCACGACCCAAACCTCATGGGGAGCCCCCACCATAGCCAGCAATCACCCTCTCCCTGCATGGCTCACTCTCAGCCTCCTCCTGGCCTGGGTGACTCTTACATACCTTCTCTCTGTCCTCACACATCCAATCTTCCTTCCCCATTCTTACTTCCGCTGATGATCTTGCTTCCTACTTCACTGAGAAAACTGAACACATTTAGAAGACAACTTCACAGATTCCACCACCGTCTGCTCATGCATTTGCAGCTGCACCACATGTCAGGCATTTTACTACATGGGGGATTGCTGTGTGTTAACCATCCTGCTCCCAGCCAGAGCCAGTTCCTCTGCTGGTGCCCTGAACATCATCCCTTCTCATCTACTTAAAGTGTTAGCTCATCAATTAATACCTTTTTTTTCCCTCTATTGTCATCCCTTTTCCTTTTATTCCAGTGGATCATTGTGGCACTCATGAGGATGCACATCCCAGGCCCTCAGGTAGAGGAAGAATAATTGATGATGTCCCAGCTGTCGCAGCCTGAAATCTATTGTCACGTTTGATCTGAGACCACACCTGCCCCAGCTTTTTCCAACCAATGATTGACCAAAGCAGGAAAACTAAGGCAAGAATATTCCTACTCTGAAGGCTGGCTGAGGCTCCAGGACTCCCTGCCATCCCTACTGAGCTTCCCTTAGCCTACACAGGGTCTAGGATGCTTCCAGCTGACCTTCCTGCCCTCTCTCCTTCACTGGGACTCAGAGTTGCATTGTGATCTGATGGCTTTTCCAGCATTTCTGTCTCTATCCTGATTTTCTCTCACAACTATTTCCCCTAATAAATCCTTACACATTTAATACTGTATTGGGGTCTAAGTTCAGGACCGCAGCTATCACAAGTGGTATCAAGGGCGATCCATGAAAATGACCAAAACTGGAAATTTGAAATAAGCTTTCCCACTGCCTGTCAGGCCAAGAGGATGCCATCTAGGTTAGCGGGGGACAAAGAAAGTCCATAGAGAAGTTGCGTCTGAGTGCCGTGGGTCTCACCAGTGCTAACCTGAGAAGATGCTCTGGTTAGGGGAAGCTATGGCAGATGTGGTGATAGAATGCCCTGCACAATAATGATGGAGTTGGGGGTAAACCCACAAAGACAGTGGAGTTGGCTGGTTACTTCCCAGCTGTGTTGATGCTCTATAAAAGGATAATGAGAATCTGCAGGTTGTTAACAGCTGTCACTGGCTATGTGTGAGAGTCTCTGCAGTGTCTCATGGAGAGGCCTTTATCTCCTGGATCAAAAGAGCAGATAGCATGGAATGGTAGCTGAACATCATTATGGTGGGCACAGTGCTCCAGAGACGTTTGATACTCAGCCAACACAGGCCTTTTATAGGAAAGTCAGGGCCCTGGTGGGGGAACCTCAGATTCTGCAAACTAGAACAGAGTTATCTGATGGGTGCCCTCCTCCAGGACCCCCTGGGCATGCAGAGGAGGCTCACCCTTCTCTAGTAATCGTTCCCACTTCCTATGCTGAAAGATGCTACAGAAGCCTCACTCCTACGATGCAGCAGGAATCCCACTCAGGAGCTTTGCAGGAACTAGCCAGCATGTCCCCATAGGGGCCTGGGGTGCACTTCTGGGATTGGAATTTGAGGGCATTTGATCAATAAACTAGAATTTCAGTCTGGATGAATAAAAATCCTTTGGCTTGGAGGCACTTTCTCAGGACATGGGTTTATCAAAGAACCCAGGACATGGGGTAAACCCACTACTGGGGTGAGTCCATATAGACTGGAAAAAATGATGCCCAACTCTCAACAAGGTAGATATGACCTAGTTATCCTGGAACATGTAGAGGATGCAATAACAAGGCTGAGGGAAGTGGGCGTGATGAAGGCCCACCAGGACCATGCTCCACAAGAGGACCCAGAGGGCACATCTTCCACCAGAGCCTCAGGAACATGCTGTGGAGAGGGACCTGCATCACTAAGAAGTGTCGGGGTGTTATCCTCTGCAGGCTGGGGGTAATGATAGTAAAGGTCCCAGAGTTGTGCTTATTCATATCTCTGGGGAGAATGTGGGCCTGAAGAGACTGAGAACAAGTGGTGGCAGTGACCTGCAAAAGCCGGAGGGCATGGTTACCATGGCAACCTCAGAGGAGCAGCCAAGGGGACTCAAGCTGCAGGGAGTGTGGGGAAAGTTAGTAGAGAGGACACCAGGGTTACAAGAGGCAGCCAACAAGGGCACTGCTTGATATATATGATAAGAAAGCAAGAATTGAGGAGCAGGAGACTGAGGGTGTTCGACCAAATACAAAGCCATGATCCCCTTCTCAATGCCTAGACCTCAATCAAGATTCAGACTCAGATCTCAGTGACAGAGGAGGAGTCCATATCCCTAGAGAAAGGACCCTGGGACACCATGGAGGTATATGGCTGGGACAATTCCCTCAGTCTTTCAGCAAGGGAACCTATAGCCATTTACTCAGGAGACTGTACATTGGGGAAGGGAAATAGGCAGAACTAGGGGGGATCATTTTCACTGCATGTAAGCTGATATTGATGCCCAGATGCCCACAGCACAATCATCTTCTCCATCACAGTGGGGCTTACGGAGGCCAGGGAGTAAACCTGGACACATTATGGCCCGCAATGGGACCACTGGATGCATAGACCCAACCCTGATTATCTTCCAATTCCCTGAGTGCATAATTGACACTGATGCTCTGGTAAGTGGAGTCACCCCCACACTGGGTCCCCAGTCTGTGGTATAAGGGATCTCTTGATGCCAAAGGCCAAAGGGAAACCTCTGAAACTGCCCCCATCCTGGCCAAATCAAAAATCATAGTGTGTCCCAGCATGGGTCTTGTGAAGGACACTGCAAGTATTGTGGGGGTCACACCACCATTACAAAGCTGAAGGAGGCGGGGTGGTGTTGAGGCTGCCTATTGTCTCCGTGTAATCCAGCAATCTGTCCCTGAGGAAGCCTAGTGAGGCCTAAAGAATGAATGAGATTACTCCAGATATGGCCAAGTAGGAGTTATAAGTGCAGCTTTTGTGCTGTCTGGATATCACTGGTAGAGCAGATTAACAAAGCCTTGGGCACACAGTGTGCAGCTGTGGATTTGGTGAGTGCATTTCTTTCCATTCCAATTACAAAGGGGATATGGAGTGATTCACATTCATGTGGGATCCACAACACATTGAATTATAGTTTGCCTCAGGACTTTTGTAACTCCCCTGTCCTCTATAGTATAGTCTTATGACTATACTAGACATACTGGATATCCTAAAGGATATTAAATCAGCTCATTTCATTTACAACTTCATGTTGACTGGGGCGAATGAGCAGCAGGTAGAAAGTGCACTGGCATCGTTGGCAAAACATTTGCACTTCAGAAGGTGAAGATAAACCTTACAGAGCTTCAGGAAAGGTCACTGTAGTGAAGTTTTATGAGTCCAGTGTTTAGGGGAATGCCAGGGGTGTCCCCTCCTAGGTAAATTACAAAGTGTTGCATTTTGCATCCTTACTGCAAAAAAAGAAAGCACTCTTGGAGTTCTGACGACAGCACATTCCACATGTAGAAATGTTGCTTTGGCCCACACTCTAGGTGACATAGGAGGAGGCCAGCTTCAAGTGAGGCCTACACAGGAAAGCACCCTGCAGCAGATACAGGCTGCGGTGCAGCCACCATCCCTCAGACCTCTTGGTACTGGAAGGGGCAGGGGTGGGGAAAGATGCAGGATGGAGCTGAACCAAGCAGCAGTGGGAGAGTCATGGTGGAGGGCCTGGGATCTGGAGTAAGATCATGTCATCCACAGCAGAGACATGGCTCCCCATTAGAAGCAACTTTTAGTGTTCCTGGTCCTGATTCGATAGAATGCTTAACCACAGGACACCAAGCAACGATGTGATTCCAAGTACCTGTGTGAATTGGCTTCTGTGTGACCCAGAAAGTCATAGATTGGACAGGCCCAACAGCATTCATCATGAGGTGAAAATGGTCCACCTGGGTTGTGCTTGAATCCCATGTTGACACCCCCAGAAAACACCCAAGTCTGAAGCAGCACTGAACAACCAAACAGACAAATGGAAGTTAGCCAGCCTTCACTATGGGTCAATGCAGGCCTGGTAGGATGGGCACATGAATGGAGCAAGCACAGTGGCAGGCATGAGGCTACATATGGGGCCAGAAGTACTGACTCCCCATTATCAAGACAGATCCAGCTGCTGCCACCTCTGAATGTCCAACTCATCAGCATTTGAGGCCCACCATGTGCCCTAGTGGGGCACTATTTCTTTAGGTGACTAACTAGCCACTATGTAACAAGTTGACTACATTTAGCTACTTCCATCCTAGAAGGGCCTGAGGTTCATCTTCACAGGGGTAGGCTCATATTCCATGGGTGAGTTTTCCTGTCCTGCTCTCGGACACTCAGCCAGCACCACTCTCTGGGTGCTGTTGACATTCCTGATCCACAGGCTAGGTGGTGCTCCCAACCCAGTATCTGCCTGAAGGACCCACTTGGCAGGGAAAGTTCCAGTGTTTCCGTGGCTATGGGTTTCACTGATCTGATCACCATCTGCACCACCCAGGGGCTGCCAGCCACAAGGAATGCTGGAAATGTCTTCTACAGGCAAAACTCAGTGTCATCCTGGAGGAAGCACTCTGAGGGGTGGGGGCCGTTTTTCAGGACATGGTGCATTGTTTGAATCAGAGACATCTCTACGGTGCTGTGTTCTCAATAGGAAGAATATGTGGGTCTAGAAACCGAAAGTTGGAAGCAGGTTTGTCTCCATGTCCAGTCTCTTAGATTCACCCACTGGGGTATTTTGCACGTTTTATCTCCCAACTTTGGGCTGTTCAGGGCAGGAGGTCCTTAAAAGGAGACACATGACAGCCCATTGAACTACACATTATGGTTGTCACCAGAGAAGTTTGGACAGTATGTGCCCAGAGACCAGCTGGTGAGAAAAGGAGTCTCTTCCTCTCCAGGTGCAGGTAATAGATCCTGATCTCCAGGAGGAGGCATGGCTACTTTCACACAATGAGGGCAGAAGTGTGTGTGTGAGAACCAGAGATCTACTTGGGGGCCTTCTGGTTTGCCTTGTCCCTTTGTAAATGTGAGCAGAATCATCCAGCAATCCAGCCTGAGAGGATTTGATTTCCAAGGGCCCAGACCTCTCAGGACAGGAGGTTTGAGCCACACTCCTGGGTAATCACCCAAGGCCCCACTCCTGTGCTCTGACATCCTCAGTGTCATTGGTGCAGAGACCCTGCTTCCCATGGGCTGTTCCCAGCCAGTGATGGGTCACACCAGTGACACTGAGGCAGGACATTCCTGGGAGACCAGGGACTCCTCTGACGGACAGCAGTGGCTCAAAGACTCCTCCATGGCTTTGCTCAACTCTCCTGAGATTGCCTGTGGTCTAGGACACATCCAGTAAACCTTCTGTCCTTCTGTCCATCACTGGGGGTCACATTTGCATCTTGGTCTGTTGCCTTTCCCAGGGTAACCTGCCTCCGTTGCTATATCTCTGACAGGTGTGTCCCCTAATAAAATCCTGTAACTTTAATCCCATGATGGCACTTGGAATGCAAAATCATTTTCATCTGCACACCAGTGACCTCTTACTTACTCCAATTTGTAAAATCCTTTTGTTTGTTCAACTTCTACCTGCATTGGCTCCATTTTGCTAGTATTTGTATTATGCTTTTGAGATAGTCGATGTTTGTTGCTTTAAGTCACTAAATTTGGGGGTAGTTTGTTATACAGCAATGGATAACTAATGAAGCCCTCTTACATTTCTGTTATTCTATAGAGGTTAAATACATCCGTTTTATTTCCTCCCATTTTGATAATATTAGCCATATATTGGGTTCCTAGTTTCTCTACGCCTGTTTTTTTCTTTATTTTCGTTTCTTTTCTCCTTTATTCCTTCCCTTTCTTCTCACTTCTATCTCTCCCTCCCTCTCTTTCTTTTCTATTTCCATTTGCCCTCCCTCCCTCCTTCTCTTCCCCTTCCTTCTTTGCTTCCTTCACTCCTCTCTCCTTCTTTCTCTCCTTTCCTCCATTTTTTTCTTTTTTATTATGACATATTCTGACATATAAAATAACCCTATGTGTTTGTACTATAAGGAAACATTTTCTGAATCTATATGTTAAAAGTATAAAGCCATGGTATATAGGATACAAGTTAACAACAGGAAGTTATTAACAGAGTCTGAATAAGAATGCCTGCTATAGGCTGGGCATGGTGACTCATGCCTGTAATCCCAGCACTTTGGGAGGCCTAGACGGGCGGATCACGAGGTCAGGGGATAGAGACCATCCTGGCTAACACGGTGAAACCCTGTCTTTACTAAAAATACAAAAAAAAAATTAGCCGGTGTGGTGGCGGGCACCTGTAGCCCCAGCTACTCAAGAGGCTGAGGCGGGAGAATGGCGTGAACCCAGGAGGTGGAGCTTGCAGTGAACCGAGATTGTGCCACTGCACTCCAGCCTGGGCGACAGAGCAAGACTCCGTCAAAAAAAAAAAAAATCTGCTATAATTCTGCAGCCAAGGCAGTTGCTATTAACTCTTAATTCCTTCAACTCAGTGTTTTCAGAACACATCAACATCACATATTACACATTTATTGTAAAAGCTTAAGTTGGCACAATTACTTTGGAAATCATATTATCATTATTTAGTATGGTTAAAGGCCATACAACATATCATCCAACCATCCCACTCCTAATCATACACTCTGGCGGCTTTCTCGCCTATGTGCCCAGGAGACATGCACACTAATGTTTATGGCAAAAACTGGAATCAGCCTCCTATACATCAATAGCAAAGTAGTGAAATTGTGGTATAACCATAAAATGTAAACCTTCAGCAGTAAAAATGAGTGAATGACAGCCTCCCACAAAACAGATAACTCCTATACATAATGTGCATCATGAGAAAAGAAATGTAGTAGGAATTTCTGTACAGGAAGCTTAAAAACCAGTGAAACTAATATTTGGTTTGAGATTATATATACTTATTGTACAAATATTTAAAGAAATACAAAGTAATAATAAAAACAAGACTCAGGATGGGGTCTCATTCTGGGGGATGTGATTGGGCAGCAGCCCAGGGTGGCTTTGCGGGTTCTGTGTCTTATGCCAGTGCTGGGAACCCAGGTAACTACTAGATTATAACTCCTTAAACAGTATTTTTCAAACTAAAATATACCTGTTTCTTAAAAAATGAAAGAAAAAAATATCAAAGTTCATTGCAAGGATCCTTAACAAGAACTACTTACATTGGAAGAAAGCCACAGAGAATTGTAAGGAGCCACATGACAGAGAGGCTCCTTACAGGATGCCATGACAATACCCTTGGCTAAAGGGCCATATGATCCTTGGCTCACAGGCATCTCTCTAGATTTTCAGGTATACAAGATTCAATCTGATGTGCAAGGTAATTCCATTTTGCAAAGGATTTGATTTGTTACATATTCCACACATACAACTGAATTAAACTTTTACAGAATTGGAAATGCACATCATTGATCAAAATAGATGAAACAATAAAAGAGTATAAAGGAACAACCAGTGATGGAATAGCAAATATGAATGGAAAACACAACAGGATTGCTCAAAAAAACTTGAAAGCACAAAATTGCAGTGCTATTTAGAATCATAGTGGTGTCCAAATCACTTCTATCGTATCTGATTCAATACCAGAACAAAAGATGTTAAGTTTATTATAGAATGCTCACCAAATAGCCAGTTTTTGAAAAATCTTATGCCTCAGTTGGAGCTAACCATTTTGGGCTACTGCATCCAACCAAAGCTATTGACATCTTGCTAAGCTAGATGTGTTAACTGAGGTATGAGATTCACATTTTTGTAAATTAAAACCAATTAGGCAAATTTTTTAAAGTGAAATCAAGTTTATGAGAGAAGTAAGGAAACAAAAGAATGGCTACTCAATAGACACAACAGCCCTTTTTTTTAAGTGTAGGCAAATGTTTTTTGAAGATGATATTTCAATAAGAAAATTGGCACTTGGGGCATACTTCAACTAAATGTGAGACACCTTAGTTGAAACAAAGACTTATTTTCAAGTCATTATTTTTACGGCACAGAAGTCTTTGGAATATTTGCTCTAGTTACTCTGGGTTCTCAACTGTTGACTCATTGAAGAGAATATTGTTATTAAAGGTATTTGCAAGAAAAACTCAGACATACTATTGTATCCTCTTTCTCTGTCTCAAACAGTTTTCCCCACAACACCCAAGGCTCTGTGATGTCTCAAACTTTTAATCATTAATTTAAAAAGAGAAGCTTATCACAGAATTAGAAGAAACTATTTTAAAATTCATATGGAACCAAAAAAGAGCTCATATAGCCCGGACAATCCTACACAAAAAGAACAAAGCAGGCGGCCTCAGACTACCTGATTTCAAACTATACTACAGGCTACAGTAACCAAAACAGCATGGTAATAGACTAATGGAAGAGAGTAGAGAACTCAGAAATAAAACCGCATATCTAAAACCATCTGATCTTCAACAAACCTGATGAAAACAAGCAACAGGGAAATGATTCCATATTTAATAAATGATGTTGGGAAAACGGGCTAGCCATTTGCAGAAAACTGAAACTGGACCCCTTCCTTACATCTTACACAAAAATTAACTCTAGATGGATTAAAGACCTAAATGTAAAACCCAAAACTATAAAAACCCAAGAAGAAAATCTAGGCAATACCATTTGCCTGGGCATGGGCAAAGATTTTATGATGAAATCGCCAAAAGCATCTGCCACAAAAGCAAAAACTGACAAATGGGATCTAATTAAACTAAAGAGCTTCTGCACAGGAAAAGACACTGTGATCAGAGTGAACAGACAACCTACAGAATGAAAGAAAATTTTTGTAATCTATCCATCTGACAAAGATCTAATATCCACAATCTACAAGGAAATTAAGCAAATTTACAAGAAAATAACAAACAACCCCATTAAAAAGTGGGCAAATGACATGAACAGACACTTCTCAAAAGAAGACATACATGTGGCCAACAAACATATGAAAAAAAGCTCATCATCACTGGTCATTAGAGAAATGCAAATCAAAACCACAATGAGATACCATCTCATGCCAGTCAGAATGGTGATTATTAAAAAGTCAAGAAACAACAGATACTGGCAAGGTTGCAGGGAAATAGGAATGCTTTAACTGTTGGTGGGAATGTAAATTAGTTCAACCATTGTGGAAGACAATATGACGATTCCTCAAAGATCTAGAACTAGAAATACCATTTGACCCAGCAATCCCATTACTGGGTATATACCCAAAGAAATATAAATCATTCTATTATAAAGTTACATCCATGTGTATGTTCATTGCAGCACCACTCACAATAGCAAAGACATGGAATCAACCTAAATGCGCATCAACAATAGACTGGATAAAGAAAACATATGACATGTACACCATGGAATACTATGCAGCCTTAAAAAGGAAGGAGATCATGTTTTGCAGGGACATGGAAAAAGCTGGAAGCCATTATCCTCAACAAACTAATGCAGAAACAGAAAAACAAACACTGCATGTTCTCACTGATAATTGGGAGCTGAGCAATGAGAATCCATGGGCACTGGGAGGGGAACACTGTGTCCTTTTGGGGGAGGGCAGAGGTGGGGTGCGCATTAGGAAAAATAGCTCATTCATGCTAGGCTTAATACCTAGGTGCTGGGTTGATAAGTGTAGCAAAACACCATGGCACACGTTTACCTATGTAACAAATCTGCACATCCTGCATATGTACCCTGAAACTTAAAATAAAAATTAAAAAGAAGCTTAAAGCATTAAAGAAAAATAATCACATGAAAGAAGCATTTGATTTACAAAATCCTGAAATAATAATTTTAATTTTGCTTTCAACATGTATGCAAATCCCTTGATACTCCTCCCTTCCAATGGTGCAGCTTAATTCCTTCCCTGTGAGTTCGGCTTGGACTTAATGATGCACTTCTGATATGGCCTCACCCTGTGTCCCCACCCAAACTCATCTTGAATTGTAATCCCCACGTGCTAGGGGAAAGACATGGTGGGAAGTGATTAGATCATGGGGATGGTTCCCTCATGCTGTTCTCATGATAGTGAGTGAGTTCTATGAGATCTGATGGTTTTGCAAGAGTCTTCCCTGCCACCCCCGCCCCCGACAACCTTGCATTTCTCTCTCCCACCACCATGTGAAGAATGACATGCTTCCTTCCCCTTCTGCCATGATTGTAAATTTCCTGAGGCCGCCTCTTCAGTCATGCAGAACTGTGAGTCAATTAAACCTCTTTCCTTTATAAATTACCCAGTCTCAGGTATTTCTTTATAGCAGTGTGAGAACAGACAAATACAACTTCTAACTGATAGAGTAGTGCTGATATAACAGTTTTTGACTCTGGGTGTAGAACATAAAACTCACTGCAGCTTCTCTCTCTCTGTCTCTGGGATCATGAGCTCTGGGGGAAGCCAACTGCTGTGCCATAAGCAGCCCTGCAGGAAGGTCCATGTGGCTAAAAACTGAGGCCTCCTGGGACCGGACAACAAGGAACCATGTGAGTGAGCCATGTTTCTTGTAAATCCCAAGCCCTAGTGAAGCTCTCAGATGATGCAGCCCTGGACTGGACTGTAACCTTGTGAGAGGCTCTGAGCCAGAAGCACTCAGGGAAACCTTGCTCCTGGATTCCTGACCATTGGAAACTGCGGTAGATGATGTTTGTTGTTTTGCGCTGCTAAGTTTTATGTAATTTGTTATGCAATAGTAAATAACTAATACATTTTCATAAGAGAGGATGATTTATTGCACTTCAATTTTCATTTGCTCTAAATTTATGACCATGATTATTACTATTTTTGAGACAGCATCTTGCTCTGTCACAGAGGCTAGAGTGCAGTGGCATGTTCACCATTCACTGCTGTGTTGACTTCCTGTGCTCAAATATCCTCTGACCTCAGCCTCCTGAGTAGCTGGCTGGGACTACAGGCATGAACCACCATGCCTGGATAATACTCTAATGTTTTTGTAGAGATGGAGGTTTCACCATGTTGCCCAGGCTGATCTCAAACTCTTGGAGTCAATGGATCTGCCTTCCTCTGCCCGCCACAGTGCTAGGATTGTAGGTGCCAGCCACCACACCTGGCATGAATTAATTATAAGCTATTAAACCTGTCACTTGATTTTAAGAGGTAAGGTGAATCTCCATGGCTGAAGAGGATGTATTTTATTATCATTCACAATGATCGCTTTACTTGAACTTCAATTTCCAACTGTGTCACAATTAAACACAAAAGGAAAATCCAACCCTTGCTAGGCTGATTCTATAATAGCCCCAACAACCAGCTCCTGGTCATCCACCTTCCCCCAATTATTCAACCAACTCTACTGTAGGTGCTGCTGTGAAGGGATTTAGCAGATATAATCAAGGTCCTCAATCAGTTGACTTGAGGCTGGGTTTAGCCTGCTTGGACACTCCTAATCAGGTGAGCCCATGAAAGGACTGGGTTCTTCCTGAGCATAGAGATTCACAGTGTGAGAGGGATTCAGTGTGAGGGGTTTCCTCCACTGTGGGCTTTGAAATTGAAGGGGCTGACTAGAAAAGAATGCTGTTTGGCTCCAGGCATTGAGCACAGCCCTCCCTCCTCTCTACCTTGACAGCTAGCAGGGAACAGGAAACTCAGTCTTAACGACTGTCAGAAACTGAATTCTGCCGCCTCTATATATGCTTGAAGGAGGATTCAAAATGAAAACACAGCTTTGGGAAGCCCTGAATAGAGACCCCGTCTACATCATGCCTGGATTTCTGCCTAAAGAACTGTAAACAGATCAGTGGATGTTGTTTGGGCAGGTGTGGTAGCACACACCTGCAATCCTAACATTTGAGGGGCTTACACAGGAGGATCACTTACACTCAGGAATTTGAGACCAGCCTGGGTAATGCAATGAGACCCTCATCTCTACAATTTTTTTTTAATTAGCTGGGCGTGGTGGCATTTGCCTGTAGTTCTAGTTACTCTGAAGACTGAGCCAGGAGGATCCTTTGAGCCCAGGATTTCAAGGCTGCAGTGAGCCATGACTGTGTGACTGCACTTCAAAATGGATGAGAGAAAGAGACCATTTCTCTAAAAATAAATGAATTAATTAAATAAATGGGTATTGTTTAAAGCCAATATTTGTGATAATTTGTTATGCAGTCATAAAATTCGTACAGTCTCAACAGACAAATGGAATGAATTTATGAATTGATATGCACACTAGTTACATAAAATAAAAACTTTCTCAATCTTTTCCAGTATTGTTTATTTTATAATTTTCTGTGATGAAATTAAATTTTAATACACTCATATTTCATTTATTCAGTCAACAAAAATTAATTTGGGGAATAGGAACAGCTCCAGTCTACAGCTCCCAGGGTGAGCAATGCAGAAGACGAATGATTTCTGCATTTCCAACTGAGGTACCAGGTTCATCTCACTGGGGACTGTCAGACAGTGGGTGCAGGACAGTGGGTGCAGTGCACCAAGTGTGAGCCAAAGCAGGGCGAGGCCACGCCTCACCCAGGAAGCGCAAGGGGTCAGGGAATTCCCTTTCCTAGCCAAGGAAAGGGGTGACAGATGGCACCTGGAAAATTAGGTCACTCCCACCCTAATACTGCACTTTTCCTATGGTCTTAGCAAACGGCACACCGAGAGATTATATCCCATGCCTGGCTCGCAGGGTCCTACACCCACAGAGCCTCGCTCATTGCCAGCACAGCAGTCTGAGATCAAACTGCAAGGCGGCAGCAGGGCTGGGGGAGGGGTGCCCGCCATTGCTGAGGCTTGAGTAGGTAAACAAAGCGGCCAGGAAGCTCGAGCTGGGTGGAGCCCACACAGCTCAAGGAGGCCTGCCTGCCTCTGTAGACTCCACCTCTGGGGGCAGGGCATAGCCAAACAAAAGGCAGCAGAAACCTCTGCAGACTTAAATGTCCCTGTCTGACAGCTTTGAAGACAGTAGTGGTTCTCCCGCATGCAGCTTGAGATCTGAGAACAGACAGACTGCCTCCTCAAGTGGGTCCCTGACTCCCAAGTAGCCTGACTGGGAGGCACCCCCCAGTAGGGGCAGACTGACACGTCACACGGCCGAGTACTCCTCTGAGACAAAATCTCCAGAGGAAAGATCAGGCAGCAACATTTGCTGTTCACCAATATGCATTGTTCTGCAGCCTCCGCTGCTGATACCCAGGCAAACAGGGTCTGTAGTGGACCTCCAGCAAACTCCAACAGACCTGCAGCTGAGGGTCCTGACTGTCAGAAGGAAAACTAACAAACAGAAAGGACATCCACACCAAAACCCCATCTGTACGTCACCATCATCAAAGACCAAAGGTAGATAAATCCACAAAGACGGGGAAAAAACAGAGCAGAAAAACTGAAAATTCTAAAAATCAGAGTGCCTCTCCTCCTCCAAAGGAATGCAGCTACTCACTAGCAATGGAACAAAGCTGGAAGGAGAATGACTCTGATGAGTTGAGAGAAGAAGGCTTCAGACGATCAAACTTCTCCGAGCTAAAGGAGGAAGTTCGAACCCATGACAAAGAAGTTAAAAACCTTGAAAAAAGATGAGATGAATGGCTAACTAGAATAACCAATGCAGAGAAGTCCTTAAAGGACCTGATGGAGCTGAAAACTACGGCACGAGAACTAAGTGATGAATGCACAAGCTTCAGTAGCTGATTCGATCAACTGGAAGAAAGGTTATCAGTGATGGAAGATCAAATGAATGAAATGAAGTGAGAAGAGAAGTTTAGAGAAAAAAGAATAAAAAGAAATGAACAAAGCCTCCAAGAAATATGGGACTATGTGAAAAGACCAAATCTGCATCTGATTGGTGTACCTGCAAGTGACGGAGAGAATGGAACCAAGTTGGAAAACACTCTGCAGGATATTATCCAGGAGAACTTCCCCAATCTAGCAAGGCAGGCCAACATTCAAATTCAGGAAATAGAGAGAACACAACAAAGATACTCCTCAAGAAGAGCAACTCCAAGACACATAATTGTCAGATTCACCAAAGTTGAAATTAAGGAAAAAATGTTAAGGAAAGACAGAGAGAAAGGTCGGGCTACGCACAAAGGGAAACCCATCAGACTAACAGCTGATCTCTCGGCAGAAACTCTACAAGGCAGAAGAGAGTAGGGGCCAATATTCAACTTTCTTAAAGAAAAGAATTTTCAGCCCAGAATTTCAAATCCAGCCAAACTAAGCTTTGTAAGTGAAGGAGAAATAAAATCCTTGACAGACAAGCAAATCCTGAGAGATTTTGTCACCACCAGGCCTTCCTTACAAGAGATCCTGAAGGAAGCACTAAACATGGAAAGGAACAACTGGTACCAGCCACTGCAAAAACATGCCAAATAGTAAAGACCATTGAGGCTAGGAAGAAACTGCATCAACTAATGAGCAAAATAACCAGCTAACATCATAATGACAGGATCAAATTCACACATAACAATATTAACCTTAAATGTAAATGGGCTAAATGCTCCAATTAAAAGACACAGACTGGCAAATTGGATAAAGAGTCAAGACCCATCAGTGTGCTGTATTCAGGAAACCCATCTCACGTGCAGAGACACACATAGGCTCAAAATAAAGGGATGGAGGAAGATCTACCAAGCAAATGGAAAACAAAAAAAGGCAGGGGTTGCAATCCTACTCTCTGATAAAACAGACTTTAAACCAACAAAGATCAAAAGAGACAAAGAAGGCCAATACATAATGGTAAAGGGATCAATTCAATGAGAAGAGCTAACTATCCTAAATATATATGCACCCAATACAGGAGCACCCAGATTCATAAAGCAAGTCCGTAGAGACATATAAAGAGACTTAGACTCCCACACAATAGTAATGGGAAACTTTAACACCCCACTGTCAACATCGGACAGATCAATGAGACAGAAAGTTAACAAAGATATCCAGGAATTGAACTCAGCTCTGCACCAAGCAGACCTAATAGACATCTACAGAACTCTCCACCCCAAATCAACAGAATATACATTCTTCTCAGCACCACACCGCACTTATTCCAAAACTGACCACATAGTTGGAAGTAAAGCACTCCTCAGCAAATGTAAAAGAACAGAAATTATAACAAACTGTCTCTCAGACCACAGTGCAATCAAACTAGAACTCAGGATTAAGAAACTCACTCAAAACTGCTCAACCACATGGAAACTGAACAACCTGCTCCTGAATGACTACTGGGTACATAATGAAAGGAAGGCAGAAATAAAGAGGTTCTTTGAAACCAACGAGAACAAAGACACAACATACCAGAATCTCTGGGATGCATTCAAAGCAGTGTGTAAAGGGAAATTTATAGCACTAAATGCCCACAACAGAAAGTAGGAAAGATCTAAAATCGACACCCTAACATCACAATTAAAAGAACTAGAGAAGCAAGAGCAATCACATTCAAAAGCTAGCAGAAGGCAAGAAATAACCAAGATCAGGGCAGAACTGAAGGAGATAGAGACACAAAAAACCCTTCAAAAAATCAATGAATCCAGGAGCTGATTTTTTGAAAAGACCAACAAAATTGATAGACCGCTAGCAAGACTAATAGAGAAGAATCAAATAGATGCAATAAAAATGATAAAGGGGATATCACCACCAATCCCACAGAAATACAAACTACCATCAGAGAATACTATAAACACCTCTATGCAAATAAACTAGAAAATCTAGAAGAAATGGATAAATTCCTCGACGCATACACCCTCCCAAGACTAAACCAGGAAGAAGTTGAATCTCTGAATATACCAATAACAGGCTCTGAAATTGAGGCAATAATTAATAGCTTACCAACCAAAAATAGTCCAGGACCAGATGGATTCACAGCCGAATTCTACCAGAGGTACAAGGAGGAGCTGGTACCATTCCTTCTGAAACTATTCCAATCAATAGAAAAAGAGAGAATCCTCCCTAACTCATTTTATGAGGCCAGCATCATCCTGATAGCAAAGCCGGGCAGAGACACAACAAAAAAAGAGAATTTTCGACCAATATCCCTGATGAACATAGATGCAAAAATCCTCAATAAAATACTGGCAAACCGAATCCAGCAGCACATCAAAAAGCTTATCCACCATGATCAAGTGGGCTTCATCCCTGGGATGCAAGGCTGGTTCAACATACGAAAATCAATAAACATAATCCAGCATTTAAAGAGAACCAACGACAAAAACCACATGATTATCTCAATAGATGCAAAAAAGGCCTTTGACAAAATTCAACAACCTTCATGCTAAAAACTCTCAATAAATTAAGTATTGATGGGACGTATCTCAAAATAATAAGAGCTATCTATGACAAACCCACAGCCAATATCATACTGAATGGGCAAAAACTGGAAGCATTCCCTTTGAAAACTGGCACAAGACAGGGATGCCCTCTCTCATCACTCCTATTCAACATAGTGTTGGAAGTTCTGGCCAGGGCAATTAGGCAGGAGAAGGAAATAAAGGGTATTCAATTAGGAAAAGAGGAAGTAAAATTGTCCCTGTTTGCAGATGACACGACTGTATGTCTAGAAAACCCCATCATCTCAGCCCAAAATCTCCTTAAGCTGATAAGCAACTTCAGCAAAGTCTCAGGATACAAAATCAATGTGCAAAAATCACAAGCATTCTTACACACCAATAACAGACAGACAGCCAAATCATGAGTGAACTCCCATTCAAAATTGCTACAAAGGGAATAAAATACCTAGGAATCCAACTTACAAGGGATGTGAAGGACCTCTTCAAGGAGAACTACAAACCTGCTCAATGAAATAAAAGAGGATATAAACAAATGGAAGAACATTCCACGTTCATGGATAGGAAGAATCCATATCATGAAAATGGCCACACTGCCCAAGGTAATTTATAGATTCAATGCCATCCCCATCAAGCTACCAATGACTTTCTTCACAGAATTGGAAAAAACTACTTTAAAGTTCATATGGAACCAAAAAAGAGACCACATTGCCAAGAGAATCCTAAGCCAAAAGAACAAAGCTGGAGGCATGACGCTACCTGACTTCAAACTATACTACAAGGCTGCAGTAACCAAAACAGTATGGTACTGGTACCAAAACAGAGATACAGACCAATGGAACAGAACAGAGGCCTCAGAAGTAACACCACACATCTACAATCATCTGATCTTTGACAAACCTGACAGAAACAAGCAATAGGGAAAGGTGCTGGGAAACTTAATAAATGGTGCTGGGAAAACTGGCTAGCCACATGTAGAAAGCTGAAACTGGATCCCTTCCTTACAACTTATACAGAAATTAATTCCAGATGGATTAAAGACTTCAATGTTAGACCTAAAACCATAAAACCCAAAAGAAAACCTAGGCAATACCACTTAGGAAATCAGCATGGGCAAGGATTTCGTGACTAAAACACCAAAAGCAATGGCAACAAAAGCCAAATTAGACAAATGGGATCTAATTAAACTAAAAAGCTTCTGCACAGCAAAAGAAACTACCATCAGAGTGAACAGGCAACCTACAGAATGGGAGAAAATTTTTGCAGTCTACCCATCAAACAACCCCATAAAAAGTGGGCAAAGGATATGAACAGGCACTTCTCAAAAGAAGACATTTATGCAGCCAACAGACACATGAAAAAATGCTCATCATCACTGGCCATCAGAGAAATGCAAATCAAAACCACAATGAGATACCATCTCACACCAGTTAGAATGGCGATCATTAAAAAGTCAGGAAACAACAGGTGCTGGAGAGGATGTGGAGAAACAGGAACACTTTTACACTGTTGGTGGGACTGTAAACTAGTTCAACCATTGTGGAAGACAGTGTGGCAATTCCTGAAGGATCTAGAACTAGAAATACCATTTGACCCAGCCATCCCATTACTGGGTATATGCCCAACGGATTATAAATCACGCTACTATAAAGACACATGCACATGTATGTTTATTGTGGCACTATTCACAATAGCAAAGAATTGGAACCAACCCAAATGTCCATCAATGATAGACTAGATTAAGAAAATGTGGCACATATACACCATGGAATACTATGCAGCCATAAAAAGGATGAGTTCATGTCCTTTGTAGTGACATGGATGAAGCAGGAAACCATCATTCTGAGCAAACTATCGCGAAGACAGAAAATCAAACAGCGCATGTTCTCACTCATAGGTGAATTGAACAATGAGAACACTTGGACACAGGGTGGGGAACATCACACACTGGGGCCTGTCGTCAGGTGGCGGGATGGGGGAAGGATAGCATTAGGAGAAATACCTAATGTAAATGACTAGTTAAAGAGGGCAGCAAACCAACAGGGCACATGCATACATATGTGACAAACCTGCACGTTATGCACATGTACCATAGAACTTAAAGTATAATTTTAAAAAAATGTAAGAGAAAAGAATACCAAAGTTAATTGCAAGGATCCTTAATAAGAACTACTTACATTGGAAGCAAACCACAGAGAATTGTAAGGAGTCATGTGACAGAGAGGACCAGGATGCCATGAAAATGGACTTGGCTAAAAATAGGTCATTTAACCCTTGGCTGACTGGCATCTCTCTAGATTTTCAGTTATACAATGTTCAATCTGCTGTGCAAGGTAATTCCATCTTGCAAAGGATTTGATGTTACATTCTACCACACATACAACTGAATTAAACTTTTACGGAATTGGAAATGCAAATAATTGATCAAAATAAATCAAACAAGAAAAGAATAGGAAGGAATAACCAGTGATGGAATATCAAATATGAATGGAAAACAGAATAGGACTGCTAAAAAGAAAAAAAGCTTCAGAAGCACATAATAGCCGTG
Source organism: Homo sapiens (assembly GCF_000001405.40). Classification (NCBI taxonomy): domain Eukaryota; kingdom Metazoa; phylum Chordata; class Mammalia; order Primates; family Hominidae; genus Homo; species Homo sapiens. The sequence goes on from NT_167246.2 coordinate 1,048,839, forward strand.
TTATTTAGAATCATAGTGGTGTGCAAATGACTTCTATCACATCTCATTCAATACCAGAGCAAAAGATGTTAAGTTTATTATGTAATGCCCACCAAATAGCTAGCTTTTGAAAAAAACTTGTTTCTCAATTTGAGCTAACCATTTCAGGCTACTGCATCAAACCAAAGTTATTGGCATCATGCTAAGCTAGATGTGTTGACTGAAGTATGAGATTCACACTTTTGTAAATGAAAAGCAATTTGATTAGGCAATGTTTTCCTAAGTGAAAGCAAGTTATTAGAGAAGTAAAGAAACAAAAGAATGGCTACTCCATATAGCGGAGTTTTTGTTTTTTTTTTTAAGTGTAGGCAAATGTTTAGTGAAGATGATATTTCAATAAGAAAATTGGTGCTTGGGACGTGCTTCCACTAAATTTGAGATATCTTAGACAAAACAAAGTCTTATTTTCAAGACATTATTTTTATCAGACTGAAGTCTTGGAACTATTTGATCTAGTTACTCTATGTTCTCAACTGTGTTAACTAATTGAAAACAACATTGTTATTAAAGGTATTCACAAGAAAAATTCAGAGTTACTGTTGCATATCCTTTCTCTGTTTCAAACTGTTTTCTCCTAAGCACCCAAGGCTCTGTGATGTCTGAAACAGTTAATCATTAATTTTAAAAGATAAGCTTATCGTGGAATTAGAAAAAAAAACTATTTTAAAATTCATATGGATCCAATAAGAGCTCATATAGCAAAGAGAATACTAAGCAAAAAGAACAAAGCTGGAGGCAGCACACTACCCCACTTAAAAGTATACTGTGAGGCTACAGTAAACAAAACAGCATGATACTGGTACAAAAACAGGCACATAGACCAATGGAACAGAATAGAGAATTCACAAAAAAAGTCCGCACATCTACAACCATTTGATCTTCAACAAACCTGACAAAAACAAGCAACGGGGAAAGGATTCCCTATTTAATAAATGGTGATGGGAGAACTGGCTAGCCATATGCAGAAAATTGAAACTAGACCCCTTCCTTACACCTTACACAAAAATTAACTCAAGATAGATTAAAGACTTAAATGTAAAACACAAAATTATAAAAACCCTGAAAGAAAATCTAGGCAATACCATTCAGGACACAGGCATGGGCAAAGATTTTATGATGAAATCGCCAAAAGCATCTGCCACAAAAGCAAAAATTGGCATATGGGATCTAATTAAACAAAAGAGCATCTGCACAGAAAAAGAAACTATCAGAGTGAACAGACACCCTACAGAATGGGAGAAAATTTTTGCAATCTATCTATCTTACAAAGGTCTAATATTCAGAATCTATAAAGAACTTAAGCAAATTTACATGAAAAAAACTTCATTAAAAAGTGAACAAAGGACATGAAGAGACATTTCACAAAATAAGACGTACATGTGGCCAAAAAAACATGAAAAAAAGCTCAACATCACTGATTACAGAAATGCAAATCAAAACCACAAATGAGATACCATCTAATGCCAGTCAGAATGGCAATTATTTAAAACTACATAAACACCAGATGCTGGCGAGGTTGTGGAGAAATAGGAAGGCTTTTACACTGTTGCTGGAAATGTAAATTGGTTGAACCATTGTGGAAGACAGTTTGGTGATTCCTCAAAGATTTAGAACCAGAAATACCATTTGACCCAGCAATCCCATTACAGGGTATACATCCAAAGGAAAATAAATCACTCTATTATAAAGATACATGCATGTGTATGCTTATTGCAGCACTATCCACAATAGCAAAGACATGGAATCAGCCCAAATGCCCATCAATGATGTACTGCATTAAGAAAATATGGTACATATACACCATGGAATATTATGCAGCCACAAAAAGGAATGAGATTCAGTCTTTTGCAGGGATATGGATGAAGCTGGAAGCCATCCTCAGCAAACTAACACAGGAACAGAAAGCCAAACACCACATGTTCTCACTTATAATTGGGAGATGAGCAATGAGAACACATGGACACAAGGAGAGGAACATCACACACTGGTGCCTGCTGGGGGAGGGCAGTGGTGGGAGGAGTATTAGGAAAAAATAGCTAATGCATGCCAGGGTTAATACATAGGTGATGGTTTGATAGGTGCAGCAAACCACCATGGCACACATTTACCTATGTAACAAACCTGCGCATCCTGCACACATAACCTGGAACTTAAAATTAAATTAAATTAAAAGACAAGCTAAAAGGGTTAACGAAAAATAATTAGATAAAAAAATTTTGATTTTCAAAATCCTGAAACAAGAGTTTTAAATTTGCTTTTAATATATATTCAAATCCTTTAATACTGTTCCCTTCCAGAGATGCTGCTTAATTTCCTCTCTTGAGTGTGGCTGGGACTTAATGATGCATTTCTGATATGGTCTGGCTCTGAGTTCCCACCAAATTCTCATCTTGAATTGTCATGCAAATTGTAATCCCTATGTATCGGGGGAGGGACCTCCTGGGAGGTGAGTGGATCACGGGTATGGTACCCCCATGCTGCTCTTATGATGCTGAGGGAATTCTCATGAGATCTGATGGTTTTATGAGGTATTTTTCCCCACTTCGATCTGCAATTCTCTCTCCTGCCACCATGTGAAGAAGGACGTGTTTGCCTCCACTTCTGCCATGATTGTAAGTTTCATGGGGCAGCCTTCTCAGCAATGCAGAACTATGAGTCAATTAAACCTCTTTCCTTTATAAATTACCCAGTCTCAGGTATTTCTTTATAGCAATGTGAGAACGGACTAATACAACTTCTAACTGGTAATGCTGACATAAGAGTTTGTGACTCTGGGTGTAGAACATAAAACTTACTGCAGCCTCCCCCTTCTCTCTCAATGTCTCTGGAATCATGAGCTCTGGGGGAAGCCACCTGCTGTGCCATAAGCAGCCCTGAAGGAAGGTCCATGTGGCTGAGAACTGGGGCCTTCTGGGAACAGAAAACAAAGAACTAGGGCTTTTCCAACAGCCATGTGACCCATCCATGTTTCATGTGAATCCTCAGTCCCAGTGAAGCACTCAGATGATGCAGGCCTAGGCTGACAACTGGACTGCAACCTTGTGAGAGGCCCTGAGCAAGAAGCACTCAGGGAAACCTCTCCTGGATTCCTGACCATTGGAACCTGCGGGAGATGATGAATATTTGCCATTTTGAGCTGCTAAGTTTTACATAATTTGTTATGCAATAGTAAATAACTAACACATTTTCACAAAAGAGGATGTAGTATTACACATTAATTTGCATTTGCTCTAAATTTATCATTATTATTAATATTATTGTTATTGAGACAGGGTCTCGCTCTGTCGCCCAGGCTGGAGTGCAGTGGCATGATCACCATGCACTGCAGTGTCGACTTCCTGGGCTCAAGGGACCCTCTTATCTCAGCGTCCTGAGTAACTGGGACTACAGGCATGAAGCACCACGCCTGGCTAATTTTCTAAATTTTTTTGTAGAGATGGGGGTTTCTCCATGTTGCCCAGGCTGATCTTCAACATCTGGAGTCAACAAATCTGCCTTCCTCTGCCTTCCACGGTGCTAGAATCACAGGTGTGAGCCACCACACCTGGCCTAAATTAATTATAAGACATTACACATGTAACTTAGTTTTAAAAGGTAAGGAGAATGTCCATGGCTGAAGAGGATGCATTTTATTACCATTCACAATGATCACTTTACTTGAACTTCAATTTCCAACTGTGTCCAAATTAAACACAAAAGGAAGATCCAACCCTTGCTGGGCTGATTCTTTGATGGCCCCCAACAGCCACCTCCCGGTCATTCACTTTCCCCCAGTTATTCAAGCAACTCTAGTGTAGATGCTGCTGTGAAGGGATTTAGCAGATATAACTAAGGGCCTCAATTAGTTGACTTTAGGCTGGGTTTATCCTGCTTTGACTGTCCTAATAAGGTGAGTCCTTGAAAGGTCTGTGTTCTTTCTGAGCATAGAGATTTGCAGTGTGAGAGGGATTCAGCATGAGGGGTTTCCTCTACCGTGGGCTTTGAAAATGAAGAGGCTGTGTAGGAAAGAACACTGTTAGGCACCAGGAATTGAGCACAGCCCTGCCTATTCTCTGTATTGACAGCCAGCAAGGAACAGAAACCTCAGTCTTACAACTGCCAGAAACTGCATTCTGCCACCTCTGTATAAGCCTGAAGGAGGATTCAAAATGAAAACACAGCTTTTGGAAGCCCAGAACAGGGATTCTATCCACATCTTGCCCAGATTTCTGACCAAGGAAGTATAAGCAGATAAATGGGTGTTGTTTTGCCAGTCGTGGTAGTGCACGAATGAATTGATGAATTGATATGCACACTAATTACATAAAATAAAATATTTCTTAACTTTTTCAGTATTTTACATTTTATAATTTTCTGTGATGCAATTTAATAGACTCATATTTCATTCATTCAGTCAAGAAAAATTAATTTAATCCCTACAATGAACCAGGTGTGCCCTCATATGCTTACGTGCCTGACATTCCAGAAGCTTCACAAGACCAAGGTGGAGCCAGTGGAATGTTTTAGGTGGAGAAATGACACACTCTGACTCACAGGAGCAGGACCACTGTGCAGAGAACAGTCACGTAGCAGGTAATGGGACAGTGCTAGTGTCACAAATAAGGAGTGACAAGGTGGTGGGGACTAAGGGGAGAGGAGGGCCTGAGGGATGAGAGGAATGGAGGGAAGGGCTGGAGATGCAGGAGGTGAGGAAATGGAGCAGAGGGAAAGAATTCGAAAGCAGCAGAACTCAGGTTTAAACACATTGTTTTATATATTTTAATACATCAATCTACAGAGCCTTGCAGGGTGATCTTTGCAGTTGGCCTTTAATACCTTATGTGGGTCTGCCTAAAAACTAATTTTTTTATGTTAATCAGGTTTAAAAAATACTAAGTGTTCATATAAAATATACACAACACTTAGAAGTGGATACTTCCTAAAAACAGGCAGTGCATGAGCACTGGTGAGGGGCATTGTGACTGCATTGAGTGCTTGCCACTGTGAGATGAATAAAGTCCGTACTGGCTCCTGGTTACAACATATAGTAACACAGTGGCTACCTTGTATTAGGAGATGTCCTGGACTCACACAGAAACTCAGGGCTATGGAATGAAGGTAAATTTAAAATACTACAAGCGGGAGTCACAGATACATTGTCTGGGAAAGTGAAACTTAGGAGCTTTGTGATTCCTGTTGTAATGCTTTTAGACACATTTATATGTCAAGGGACCAAAGTCACATTTTTGGCCGATTAGATTCCTGATCATTAGGAGTTACCAAGATTCTGCTACCCACTGTAGTTAATAAACAAAAAGCAAACTGGTCTCTATTCTATCTCATGCACTCAGGCACAACTTTTCCAGATTTAAAAAACAAACAAACAACAACAACAAAAAACCCTGTCTCTACACCTCCATTCCCAGGGCAAGCTCACTCTCTGGCAACAAGCTCCCTGGGGTGATTTTTCTTCTAGAAGAGTCCACGGGGACAGGTAAGGAGTAGGAGGCAGGGAGTCCAGTTCTGGGACGGGGATTCCGTGATGCAAAGTGAAGAGAGAGGGACGGGGCCCATTCCGAGGGTTTCTCCCTGGTTTCTCAGACAGCTCCTGGGCCAAGACTCAGGGAAACATTGAGACAGAGCGCTTGGCACAGAAGTAGCGGGGTCAGGGCGAAGTCCCAGGGCCTCAGGCGTGGCTCTCAGGATCTCAGGCCCCAAAGGCGGTGTATGGATTGGGGAGGCCCAGCGCTGGGCATTCCCCATCTTTGCAGGGTTTCTCTTCTCCCTCTCCCAACCTGTGTCGGGTCCTTCTTCCTGGGTACTCACCGGGCTGCCCCAGTTCTCACTCCCATTGAGTGTCGGGTTTCTAGAGAAGCCAATCAATGTAGCCGCGGTCCCGGTTCTAAAGTTCCCACGCACCCACCGGGACTCCGATTCTTCCCAGTCGCCGAGGATGGTGTCATGGCGCCCCGAACCCTGCTTCTGCTGCTCTCGGGGGCCCTGGTCCTGACCCAGACCTGGGCAGGTGAGTGCGGGGTCGGGAGGGAAACGGCGTCTGTGGGGAGTAGCTAGGGGCCTGCCCGGCGGGGGCGCAGGAACCCGGTTGCGGTGCCGGGAGGAGGGTCGGGAGGGTCTCAGCCCCCTCCTTGCTCCCAGGCTTCCACTCCTTGAGGTATTTCCACACCACCATGTCCCGGCCCGGCCGCGCGGATCCCCGCTTCCTCTCCGTGGGCGACGTGGACGACACGCAGTGCGTGCGGCTCGACAGCGACGCCACGAGTCCCAGGATGGAGCCGCGGGCGCCGTGGATGGAGCAGGAGGGGCCGGAATATTGGGAAGAGGAGACAGGGACCGCCAAGGCCAAAGCACAGTTTTACCGAGTGAACCTGCGGACCCTGAGCGGCTACTACAACCAGAGTGAGGCCTGTGAGTGACACCGGCCGGGGGCGCAGGTCACTACCCCTCCACATCCCCCACGGACCGCCCGGGTCTCCCCGAGTCTCTGGGTCCGAGATCCACGCCGAGGCAGCGGGACCTGGAGACCCTTGACCCGGGAGAGGCCCAGGAGCCGTTACCCGGTTTCATTTTCAGCCAAAATCCCCGCAGGTTGGTCCTGGCGAGGGCGGGGCTCGGTGGGCGGGGCTGGCCGCGGGGGCGGGGCCAGGGTCTCACACCCATCTAGAGGATGTCTGTCTGCGACGTGGGGTCGGACGGGCGCCTACTCCGCGGGTATCACCAGCTTGCTTACGATGGCAAGGATTACATCGTCCTGAACGAGGACCTGTGCTCCTTGACAGCCGCAGACACGGCGGCTCAGATCACCCAGCTCAAGTGGGAGGCGGCCCGGGGGGCGGAGGTTCATCCTCACAGGGATAGGCACCTATTAGATGTGGTGTGGTTTTCCTCTCTACTCTTAGACCCTCAGCCAGTATCACTATTGGCATTCCTGAGCCACTGGCTCAGAATTTCAGTACATTATCTGCCCGCGGGACACACCTCAGAGGAAAGGGGATGAAGCGTGGTCCATGACCATGGCACCCCCTGGTCTTATCACCACCTGCACCTCCCAGGGGCTGCCAGCCACACAGAGTCATGGACAGGTCTCTACAGACACAACTTAGTGCCAGCTTGGATGAAACCCTCTGAGGAATGGGTGCCATCTTTCAGGATGTGGTGCATGTATTGAATCAAAGATGTCTCTATAGTGCTGTGTTTACAGAAGGAAGAATACGTGGGTCCAAAAACCAAGAAGTAGAAGCAGGTGTGGCTCCATATCTAAACCCTTATATTCACCTTCAGGGTGATTTTGCACTTCTCATCTCCAATATCTGGGCTCTGTAGGGGAGGAGGTCCTGGTTTCCCAAAGGGGGCACCCTGGCAAGGAGACATTTAAATGAGAGTCCATGGAAATACACATTATGGCTGCCCCCAGGGATGTTTGAATAGTATGTGTCCAGATACAAGCAGGTGAGAAGAGGAGGAGGCAGGGCTGCTATCACACAAGGAGGGCAGGAGATGTGTGTGTGGAAATAAGAGATCCACTTGGAGACCTTATGGTTCCCCTTGTCCTGTTGTAAGTGTGAGCAGAATCATCCAGCAACCCAGCCTGAGAGGGTTTCATATTCAAGAGCCCAGAACCCTCAGGAAGGAAGGATTGAGTGATACTCACAGGTAATGTCCCAAGGCTGTGCTCCTGTGCTCTGACATCCTCAGCAGGATTGGTGCAAAGCCCTGCTTCCCATGGGCTGTTCCCAGCCAGTGACTGGTCACAGCAGGCATTAAGGCAAGCCATTCCTGGGAGACACGGGACTCCTCTGATGGCTAACTGTAGCTGGAAGACTCCTCCACGGCCTTGCTCAACTCTCCTTAGATTGCCTGTGCTCTAGGATGCGTCAAACAAACTTTCTCTCCTTCTGTCCAGCACTTGGGGTCACACTTGCATCGTGGTCTGCCGCCTTTTCTCAGGGATTTCTGGCTCACTTCCCATATTCCCTTACGGGTGTGTCCCCTTATAAGATGTCGCAGACTTTAAGCTCATCTTGGCATCTGCTCCTTGAAGGACTTGGACTAAAAATTATTTCCATCTGCATATCAATAACTCTTATTCCAACCTGTAAAATCCTTCTCTTTATCCAACTTCTGCCACCCCCACAGAATCTATTTTACTTGTGTGTGTAGTATCTCTTTGAGTTAACAGATATTTGTTCTATTAAGCTACTAAATTTTGAGGTAGTTTGTGACACAGCACTTGATAACTATTAAGGCTTTCTTAAGTTTCCATTATTCCATGGATATTATCTACATATCTTTTAATCCCTTGCATTTTAATAACATTAGCTATACTTGCTGTTTCCAACTCTTTCCTCCTATTTTTGAACATTTTAAATTTTGTCTTTCTCTGTCCTTCCTTCCTTCTTTCCTCCTTTCCTCCCTCAGAGCTTTCTCCCTCCCTCCATTTTTTTCATAAACTCCAAGTGTTTAGGCCAAAAGGAAGCATTATTTGAACTTTATGCTAAAAGTATAATGCCGTAATTTATAATATAAAAGTAAAGAAAAGGAAGTTGTTAATGGAATATGAAAAAATGCCTAGGGTGATTCTATAGCCAAGACAGTACCTTTTAACATTTAATTTCTGCCTCCAACTGAATGTTTTCAGAACACATGAGCAACACAAGCTCTTTCCCATTCTTGGTACAAGCACTTGAGAAATCAAATTAGCCTTATCTAGTATGATTAATGTCCATACATCATATAATCCCACCATCTGCCTCCTGATCATACCCCCTGGGGACATTCTTGGCTATGTGTCCAGGAGACATGTACACCAATGTTTATGGCAAAAACTGGAAACAATCACATATACATCAATGGGAATTAACAAAATAGTCGTATAATAATAAAAAGTAAAACTTCAGCAGCAACAGTGAATGAACAGCACCCTCCCACATCAGAGATAACTCTCCTACACATAACATGCATCAGCATCACAGAAGAATGCACATTGTGTGAGTTCTCTGTACGGGGAAGTTAAAAAAAGCAGGTCAAACTGTGATTTGGATATATATATATATACTTATTGTAAAAATCTTTAGAGACAATGAAAAGGAATAGTAAATACAAGACTCAAGATAGAAGTTCCTTTTGGGGAATAGAATTGGACAACAGCCGAGGGTGGCTTCATAGGTTTTGTTTTTTATGCCAGGAGGGGATGTCCAGGTAGTTAAGTTACTTGATCATAAATCTTTCTTTCCTTCTTTCTTTCTTTCTTTCTTTCTTTCTTTCTTTCTTTCTTTCTTTCTTTCTTTCTTTCTTTCTTTCTCTCTCTCTCTCTCTCTCTCTCTCTCTCTCTCTTTCTTTCTTTCTTTCTTTCTTTCTTTCTTTCTCTTTCTTTATTTATTTTCGAGATGGAGTCTCCCTCTTGTTGCCCAGGCTGGAGTGCAGTGGCGTGATCTCAGTTCACTGCAACCTCCGCCTCCCAGGTTCAAGCAATTCTCCTACCTCAGCCTCCTGAGTAGCTGGAATTATAGGCATCCACCACGACACCCAGGTAATTTTTGTATTTTTAGTAGAGACGGGGTTTCACCATATTGTCCAGGTTGGTCTCAAACTCCTGACCTCAGGTGATCCGCCAACTTCGGCCTTCCAAAGTGCTGGGATTACAGACATGAGCCACCATTCCCGGCCCACAAATCTTTAAAGTGTCATTTTTCAAAATGCACCTTGTGCGCCATTCCTGACTGATTATTTGGAAATGAAAGAGAAAAGAAAATACCAAAGTTCATCTCAAGGATCCTTAGCAATAACTACACACGTTAAAACAAAGCCACAGCCAATTGTAAAGAGTCATGTGACAGAGAGGACCAGGATCTCATGAAAAATAGCCTTGGCTAGAAAGAGGTCATTTGACCCTGGGCTAATTGGCAACTCTCTACATTGTCTGGCATACAGTGTTCAATCTGATGTGCAAGGCAATTGTATCTTGCAAAGAATTTGAGAATTTGATATGTTGCTCACATTTTACCACACATACAAGTGGATTAAACTTTTACACAGTAAAAAAAAAAAGCATTGTTGAGCAAAATAAATTAAATGAAAAGACATAAAGGAATAACTAGTGATGAAATAGCAATAAGAATGGAAAACATGAAAGAGATGCTTGTACAGCAATGATAGCAGCACAAAAGAACAGTGTTTTTCAGAATCATACGGGAGTCCAAATCACTTCTACCACATCTAATTAAAAAACACAGTGAAAGATGTTAAACTTTCATAGGATGCCCACTGAATAGCCAGTTATTGAAAAATCTTGTTCCTAGATTGGAGTAAACAATTTCTGCCTACCCTAGCCAAACAAATTATTGTCATGATGCTAAGCTAGTGTATAGACAGAGGTGTGAGATTCACATTTTTCTAACTGCAAAGCACCCTGATTAGGCAAATATTTTTGTAGATGCTTGAGTAAGAAAATTGGCATTTTGGGCATTCTTAAACCGAATTAGAAACTTCTGAAGAGAAACAAACGTAGTTATGATTGTAAAGGCATTATTGTATGGCACCAAAGTCTTGGGACACTTTAATTTAGCTACTGTATTTTCTCAACTCTGTTGCAACTTATCAAAGAGAATATTAATATTAAAGGCATTTACAAAAAAAATCTGAGATATTGTTGTATCTTCTTTCTCTGTCTCAAATATTTAATCAACTTTACAGAAGAGAATTTTAAAGTATTAAAAAAAGTCAGATACAAGAAGTATTTGATTTACAAAACCCTGAAACAATAATGTTAATTTTGCTTTTAACATGTTTATAAATTCTTTGATACTCCTCCTTTCCAGAAGTGCAGCTTCATTCCCTCCCTGTTCGTGTGGCCTGGACTTAATGACTCACTTCTAACTGATAGAGTAATGCTGACATAATAGTTTGTGATTCTGGGTGTAGAACATAAGACTCACTGAAGTTTCTACTTTGGTTCTTTCTTTCTCTGGAATCATGAGCCCTGGGGGAAGCTGGCTGTTGTGTCATAAGGAGGCCTGTGGTCCATGTGACTAGGAAGTGAGTCCTCCTGGGACCAGACAATAAGAAGCTAAAGCCTCTTCCAAAAGCCATGTGAGAGATTCTTGTGTCTTGTGAATCCCCGGCCCCATTTGAGCCCTCAGATGATTCAGCCCTGGAAGACAACTAGACTGCAACGTTGTGAGAGGCCCTGAGCCAGAAGCATTCAGAGAAACTTCTCCTGGATTCCTGACCATGGATAACTGTGGGAGATGATAAATATTTGTTGATTTGAGCTGCTAAGTTGTAGGTGACTTGTTATGCAGCAGTAGATAACTAATACAGCTTCACAAGAGAGGATGAATCACTGAACTTTTTCATTTGCTCTAAATTCATTATAAGATATTAAACATGTCATTTGCTTTTAATATTTAATAAAAATTTCCATGGCTATATAAGATATATTTTATTATCATTAACAATGATCTATTTTTTGATCTTCAACTTGTATGTTCTATTTAAACATGAAAGGAAGATCCAGGCTAGCTAGGCTGATTCTATGATGACACCCCAATAACCACCCTTGGTTTCTCAGGTTACCCCAGTTACTCAGTTGACACTAAAGCAGGTGCTGCTGTGAAGAGGTTTTGCAGATATATTTAAAGTCCCCAGTCAGTTGACTTTAAGATGAGGATTATCCTGCTTAGACGGTCCTAATCAGGTAAGCTCTGAAAAGGACTGGGTTTTTCCTGAGAATAGAGACTCACAGTGTGAGAGGGATTCAGCGTGAGGGGCTTCCTCCACTTTGGGCTTTGAAAATGGAGGGATCATGGGGAAAGAACACTGGTGGCCAATAGGAATTAGAAGCCCTCCCCACTGTCTACTCTGATAGCCCGAAGGAAACAGGGACCTTAATCCTACAATTGCCAGAAACCGAATTCTGCCAACAAACTCTGCATAAGCTTGGGGGAGAACCCCAATCTTAAGATGAGGATACAGCTTTGCGAAACTCTGAACAAAGAGTCTATCACATTAGGCCTGGATTTCTGATGAAGGAAATGTAGACAAATAAATGGGTGCTGTTTTCAGCCACTAAGTTTGTGGTAATTGGTTATGTACTGCCAGGAAATAAATAAACAGATTCAAAGGATAAGTATATGACATTTTCTCCACCGGAATGAATTCATGAACTGATATGCATAGTAGTTGCATAAAACCAAATATTTCCTAACTTGCTTTGCATTTTCCATTTCATGATTTTTGTGTGATACAATTTTGAACACAATTATATTTCATTCATTCATTCAACAAAAATTAACTTAGTGCCTACTATGTGGCAGATATACTTTTATATTCTGTAGATACAACTTTGATCAAAACAACCCAAAGCCCCTGTGCTTGTGCCTTCCATTCTAGAGGCTTCTTGAGAGTAAGATGGAGCCATTAGAGGCTTTTAAGTGAAGAAATGACACAATCTGACTCACATTAGCAGGATTGCTGACCTTTGTGGGGAGAACAGTCATGGGCAGCAGGCGAGGGACAGAGCTAGGGACACAATTCAGTAGTGACAGAGTAGTAGAGACTAAGGGGAGAGGAGGGCCTGAAGGATGACAGGGACAGAGAGAAGGGCTGGAGAAGCAGGAGGTGAGGTAAAGGAACAGAGAGAAAGAATTCTAAAGCAATGGAATTCTCAGACTTAAATACAGTGTTTTATAGATTTTTAATGCATTTATCCGCAAAGCCTGGCACAGTGTTACTTGCACCTTGGTCTTTAATGCATTCTGTGGGGCTGTCTAAAAGCTAATTGCCTCTCTAAGATAAAAAGGTTAAAAAAGGCCGGGCGCGGTGGCTCACGCCTGTAATCCCAGCACTTTGGGAGGCCGAGGCGCGTGGATCACAAGGTCAGGAGATCGAGACCATCCTAGCTAACATGGTGAAACCCCGTCTCTAATAAAAAATTACAAAAAAATTAGCCGGGCGTGGTGGCGGTCGCCTGTAGTCCCAGCTACTTGGGAGGCTGAGGCAGGAGAACGGCGTGAACCCGGGAGGCGGTGCTTGCAGTGAGCGAGATTGCACCACTGCACTCCAGCCTGGGCGACAGAGCGAGACTCCGTCTCAAAAAAAAAAAAAAAGGTTAAAAAAGAATACCAAATGTCTCAATAAAATATACACATAGCTTAGATGTGAATAATTCATAATAATAGGCAAGTGCATGGGCCGGCCATTATAGCTCATGCCTGTAATACCAGCATTTTGGGAGGCTGAGGCGGGAGGATTGCTTGAGCCCAGGAGTTCAAGACCAGCCAGAGCAATTTAGGGAGACCTCATCTCTACAAATATTATTTTTAGAAAAATTAGCCAGGAGTGGTGGCACAAGCCTGTGGTGCCAGCTACTTGGGAGGCTGAGGGAGGAGCATTGATCACATGAGCCAAGGAGGTCGAGGCTTCAGTGAGTCATGAGCGTGCCACTGCACTTTAGCCAGGGTAACAGAGTGACGCCCTGTCTGTAAATAAATAAAAAATAAAAAAATTAATAATAAAGGGAGTGCATGAGCACTGGCGAAGGGCACTTTGGCTGCATTAAGCACTTGCAATTCTGAGGTAATTAAATTCTGTACAGGCTCCTGGTTGCAATATACGGTAATACATTGTGCTTTGTATTGAGATGTCCTGGACTCGCACACACAAACTCAGAGCTATGAAATAAAGATACTGTAAAAATACAACAGACCAGAGTCACAGATACACAGTCTGGGAAAGTAAAACTTCACTTTGTGAGTCTAATTGCAATGCGTTTAGACATATTTATATATAATGGGGCCAAAAATCATCTCTTTTACAAATTAGATTCGTGACCATTCAGGGGCTACCAAGATTGTGCTACCCACTGTAGCACAATCGGAGACCCACGCCGAGGCTGCGGGACTCGTGGAGACCCTCGACACAAGAACCCCAGGTGCCTATACCCGATTCCATTTTCAGTTCAGGCCCAAATCCCCGGGGGATTGATCGGGGCAGAGGAGGAGCTCAGTGGCTGAGGCTGACCGCGGGCTTGGGGACAGGGTCTCCCACCTCCAGTGGATACACAGCTGCGACCTGGACCCGGACCGGAGCCTCTTCGCGCGGGGATGAACATACCCTACGATGGCGCCAGTTACCTCGTCCTAAACCAGGAACTGCTCTCTTGGACCGCAGCGGAAAAGGCGGCTCAGATGTTCTGGAGGAGGAACATGCAGAGCTGCTCAAAACCTACCTGCCGGGAAGGTGGGCGGAGTGGCTCAGCAAAGGCCTTAAGAATGAGAAGGAGAGGCTGCAATGCGCAGGTACCAGAGGCCACGGGTCGCCTCCCTGATCTCCTGCAGATATCCCTGAGCCACCTTCCAAAAGAAGGGGAGGAAAATGGGACCAACGCTAAAATATCCCTCTCCCTCTTGTCCTGAGGCAGAAGAGTCCTCCTGGGTTTCTAAATCCTATACCAGAGAGTGACTGAGGGCCCGCCCTGCACTCTGGGACAATTAACGGATGAAGTCTCTGCGGGAAAGGAGGGGAAGACAATCCCTGGAATACTGATACGCGGTCCCCTTTGACCCCCCAGCAGCCTTGGGCACCAGGAATTTTCCTCTCAGGCCTTGTTCTCTGCCTCATACTCAATGTGTGTGGGGGTCTGATTCCAGCTCTTCTGAGTCCCTCGGCCTCCACTCAGGTCAGGACCAGAAATCTCTGTTTCCGCCTCAGACACTAGAACTTTCCAAGGAATAAGAGATTATCCCAGGTGCCTGTGTCCAGAATGTTGTCTGGGTTCTGTGCTCCCTTCCCCACCCCAGATGTCCCATCCATTCTCAGGATGGTCACATGGGTGCTGTGTCTCATGAGGAATGCAAAGTGCCTGAATTTTCTACCTCTTGCCCTCAGATCCCCTGAAGGCACAGGTAACCCTCCACCCCATCTCCAACTATGAGGCCACGCTGAGGTGCTGGGCCCTGGGCTTCTACCCTCTGGAGATCACACTGACCCAGGAGCGGGATGGGGAGGACCAAATTCAGGATGCAGAGTTTGTGGAGACCAGACTTGCAGGGTACAGAACCTTCCAGAAGTGGGCAGCTGCAGTGGTGTCTTCTGGAGAGAAGCAGAGGTACACATGCCATGTGCAGCACGAGGGGTTGCCTGAGCCCCTCACACTAAGATGGGGTAAGGAGACGAATGAGGGGTCATGTCTCTTCTCAGGCAAAGCAGAAGTCCTTCTGGAGCCTTTAAGCAGGGTCAGGGCTGAGGCCTGGGGGTCAGGGCCCCTCACGTTCACCTCCTTTCTTAGAGCTGTCTTCCCAGCCCATCATCCCCGTTGTGGGCATCATTGCTGGCCTGGTTCTTCTAGTTGCTGTAATCACTGTAGCTGTGGTCGCTGCTGTGATGTGGAGGAATAAGATCCCAGGTAGGAAAGGGGTGAGCTCTGAGTTTCCTTCTTCCATTGGTGGATTTCAAGCCCCAGGTAGGAGTAGGCTCATATCTTGCCTAGTTGTGAGGCACCATCTCCACACACATTTACCCTGTTCAGAGGCCCTGTCTATCAACGCTTACTCTTTTGTAAAGCACTTGTGAAAATGAAGGACAAATTTATCACCTTGATTGTGGTCATGGGAACCTGACTCCCAGCAGTCACAGGTCAGGGGAAGGTCCCTGCTGAGGACAGACCTCAGGAGGACAATTGGTCCAGCCTCAACACATCCTCTTCCCTTGGGTTTTCTGATCCTGACCTGGGTCTGTAGTCACAGTTCTGGAAACTCCTCTAGGATCTCATGCCCTGCCTCCTCCCTGGCCTCTCACAGTTTGTTTTCTTTCCACAGATGGAAAAGGAGGCAGTTATGCTCAGGCTTCATGTAAGTGTGGTAGGGGTGGGAAGAGTGATCCCTGAGATCCTTGGGATAGTGTAGACAGGAGCCCATGGGGGAGCTCAGCCACCCCAAAATTCCTCCTTTAGTCACATCACCTGTGGGCTCTGACCAGATTTTGTTTTTGTTCCACCCCAAACAGGAACAGTACCCAGGGCTCTGATGTGTCTCTCAAGGCTTGTAAAAGTGACACCTTAGAGGGCCTGAAGTGAAAGAGGAGTTGGGCAGAGGGGACACAACTAAGCTCTGGAGATTCTTTGATTTGGAATTTTTCAAGGTGTGGTGGGCTGTTCAGTGTCACAACTTACTGTGACTGACCTGGATTAGTTTATGACTATGTTTTTTCTAAGATTGCCTTGTGAGGGACTGAGATGCAAGATTTGTTCATGCCTCCTCTTTGTGACATTAAGAGCCTCTGGCTTCTCTTTCTGCCAAAGGGTCTGAATGTGTCTATGTCTACAGTAACAGGTAAGAAATGGGAGACCAGCCCATCCTCATGTCCACCATGACCCCTGATATTGTTTGGATCTGTGTCCCCACCCAAATCTCATGTTCAATTGTAATCCCTAATTTTGGAGGTGGTGTCTGGTGGCAGGTGATCGGCTCATGAGGATGGATCCTTCATGAACGGTTTAGAACCATCTCTTTGGTGCTATTCTTGTGATAATTCTCATAAGATCTGGTGTTTAAAAATCTGTGTCACCTCCCTGCTCTCTCTCCCTCCTGCTCCAGGCATGTAAGTAATGTCTGCTTCCCCTTAGCCTTCCAGCATAATCGAAAGTTCCCTGAGGCCCTCTCATAAGATGAGCAGATGCCAGAATCATACTTTCTGTATAGCCTGCAGAACCATGACCCAATTTAAACCTCTTTTCTGTTTTTGTTTTGTTTTTGTTTTTTGAAGGAAAATTTATATTATTTTAATTATTTTTACATACAGAAAACTCAACAGCATACATTTCACCCAATTTAGTGGCATGTTCTTTACCCTTTGCCTTTTTGAGCTTGGCAATGCAAACCACATACTTGAGACCCAGGACACTGTCTCCCCAGTGATGGCGGATCTCATCGTATCTGTCATTGTAATTGGTCCTGAGAACTCCCACCAGCTTAGCCAAAGCACCTTTGTCTTCCGAGTTAACCTGTGTGAAGGTGACAGTGGTGCAGGTCTTCCTATGGACTAGATGTCCCAGTCTTGCCTTCCCTTTGATAATGCAGTAAGGGACCCCATTTTATGACACAGGACAGGCAAGAAGACAACCAGCTTGATGGGATCTACATCATGTGCTATCACCACCAGCTGAGCTTTCTTGTTCTCCACCAAGGTGGTGATGGTGTTAACTCCTGCTCGAAGGACAGGTGGACTCTTAGTGGGGAATGTCCCCTTTGCCAGCAGCTTTCTTCTTGGCCCGGGCCAACAGCCTCTGCTTCTTCTCTTGGTTTGTCTCTGGTCTGTATTGTGGGCCAGCTTAAGCAGCAGAGTAGCTGTTTGGCTGTCTGGTGCCTGGGTGAACTGGTTAATCTCAGGAGGCACTTTCAGCCACTTATAGAGGATGGTTCTCTGCTGCTGCAACCTGATATAGCAGGGCCATTTCACAAAGTGGGTGAGGTCTCTTTTGGGCTGGATATCCTGTCCAGTGCCAAAATTCTTAGGCCTTTTCTCAAACAAGGGATTTACCACTTTCTTGGCCTCCTGCTTCTTCACGACAGCAGGGGCTGGAGCCACCTTCTTCTCCTTGGCCTTCTTTCCTTTTGGCATCTTGGATGGTGGGAGGAGAAAGAAAGAAACCTATTTTCTTTATAAATTACCCAGTCTCAGGTATTTCTTTATAAAAGTGTGAGAATGAACTAATTCAGAAAATCGGTACCAGGAGTTGGGTATTACTATAAAAATTCTTGAAAATGTGGAAACAGCTTTGGAACTGGGTAACAGGCAGAGGTTGGAAGAGTTTGGAGAGTTCAGAAGACAAGAAAATGGGGGAAAATTTGCAACTTCCTAGAGATTTGTTAAGCTGTTGTGACCAAAATGCTGATAGTGATATGGACAATAGAGTCCAGGCTGATAAGGTCTCACATGGAGATGAGGAACTTATTGGGACCTAGAGGAAAGGTCACTTTTGTTATGCATTGGCAAAGAACTTGGAGGCATTGTTCCCCCTCCCTAGGGATCTGTAGAACTTTGAACTTGAGAGTGATGTATAAGGGTATCTGGTGGAAGAAATTTCTAAGCAGCAAAGCATTCCAGATTTGGCCTGCCTGCTTGTAATAGCCTATGCACATATGTGTGAGCAAAGACATGACCTGAAACTGGAACTGATATTTAAAGGGGAAATTTAATATCCAGGACAATTCCTAGTGGAGCTGCAGGAACAGGACCCCTGCCAAGACTACTAAATCATAGAGCCACTGGCAATATGCAAGCTCAGCCTGGAAAAGCCATAAGCATTCAATGTTCACCCATGAGAGCAGCTATATGGATTATGTTCACCAAAGCCACGGATATGAGGCTGAAGATGGCATTGTGAGTCCATTGCTTGCACCAGCCAGTGTGCTCAGGGTTCAAGATATAGAGTCAAAGGAGATTATTTTAGAGCTTTAAGTTTTAATGTCTGCCATGATGAGTTTCAACCTTGTGAGGACACTGCATTCATTTCTTTTGGTCCATTTATTTCTTTTGGAATGGAAATGTATAGGAAATGTCTCTACCACTGTTGTATTAATATTTTAGAAGTAAATAACTTTTTTTAATTTTACAGGTGCACAGCTATAAGAACTTACCTTGAGTCTCAGATGAGACTTTGGAATTTAGAGTTGATGCTGGATCAACCCAACACATTTTGGACAATTGGGAGAAGATTATTGTCTTTTGCAATGTGAGAAGAATGTGAGCTTTGGCTGGCTAGGGACAGGATGCAATGATATAAATATTTATCCCCAGATACCTCATGTTAAAATCTGATCCCCAATGTTGGACTTAGGGCCTAATGGGTGGCGTTTGGGTCTTGGGGGCCAATCTTTTATGAACAGAGAGATACTGCCCTCTCTCGGGAGTCAATGAATTGTTGCCCTATTAGTTTCCAAAAGAGCTAGTTGTTAAAAGAGTCTCGCACCTTCCTACTCCCTCTGTTCCTCTCTTACCACGTGACTTCTGCACATACCAGCTCCCCTTTGCCTTCTGCCATGAGTGGAAGCAGCCTGAGGCCCTCGCTAAATGCTCAAACATTTCCAGACATCAGAATCCTGAGCCAAATGAACCTTGTTTATATAAATTAGTCAGTCTCAGACATTTCTTTATAGCAACACAAAACGGAATAAGACAACCCTCTCATCATAGGTATGTGTCTGTGGCAGCCAGCCCCCATTCTCAAGGTATCCAGGATCCACTCAGCCAAGAGTCCTTTCCTCAGTATTCTAAAGACACTCTAATCACTCAAGAGATTCTAAGGTTTATAGGAGAAACCAGGGACAAAACTAAATGTTTTTGTGATAACTCATATTACCCCCTTTTCTTTGACCACATATTTTTCATACGAAAAGGATTATAACAGTAAAGAAGCATTGGCATATTATCCAAGTCTCATTCGGTCATTCAAAATTAGGCCAGTTTATCATCCTCTTGTATGAATATGTCTCCCAGAATGACATCACTCAGCTTTGCAGACACCATTCAATCTTATCAGGTTCCAAAAACAAGAATGGTCTCAGGGACATACAGCTTCACCCTTTTAGGCATCCAGTATAGTTGACCTAAGAGACAACATCTCTTGCTCACACCACTTTTGAGGAGATAAGCTAATATTGAATTTTCCTCATTACATAACCCTTTGATTTATTCACCTACCCTCAGCCACTATTCCTCCTTCTGTCCCTTTATATCAGTCTTTTCCAGTTCTAGAAGTGACATTAGGTTTGGCTGCTGTGCTGGCCTAGACTGCATGCAGCAATAGTATTCTACCATGTCTTCTCTTAATCTACTCTTGATCATAGACAGTAGGTTACATAGGTTAGGAACTAGTGCAGGCTATCTGACCACCAGTCTACGTAGCTCTACTTACAGTTAATCCCGACTTTGCCAGATGAAATGAAGGCACAGCGCAATCCTTGATTTGCTTGGGAATTCTTACATAAAGGTATAAAAATATAGTTATGGTTTTTTCCTTAGGGATAATTCCTGTTTCTGGCAGTTCGATTTGCATCCCTGTTCCTGGTACCACTGCACCCTGTGTAAAAAAAGAAATAAGAAATGAAGTGTAGTCATTATTCCAGCATCCTCCCCTTAAGAAGAATTGTATGTACAGTCATAACAGCATCACCCTGATCCATCAGGAAAAAGAGAGGAAGCTACCTAGTGGAGTCAGTTTCGCAGCTCCACCCATGTTGACAGTAAGCACATTCATGAAGATATAAAAGCCAGTCCTTCATGTTTATATTGCCCAACAATTATATTGGCAGTTTTTAGACAATTAGACAACCAATGTTTCAACTGACTATTTCTTTTTCTTTTTTTTTTTGAGATGGAGTCTCACTCTGTCGCCCAGGCTGGAGTGCAGTAGTATGATCTCGGCTCATGCAACCTCTGCCTCCCAGGTTCAAGCAATTCTACTGTCTCAGCCTCCCGAGTAGCTGGTAATACAGGCGCCCACCACCACACGCAGCTAATTTTTGTATTTTCAGTAGAGACAGGGTTTCACCATATTGGCCAGGATAGTCTCAAACTCCTAAACTCAGGTGATCCGCCCGCCTCGGCCACCAAAAGTGCTGGGATTACAGGCATGAGCCACCGCGCCTGGTCAGCCATTTCAATATTCTATCAAAGTTTCCCCTGAATAGTACATTTCCCTGTGCACTGTTGGCTTTTTAAGGCTGTAAAGTGTGTTTTCTTGTGTAAAGAAATGTGACTCAACAGTCCAAATTGGTGTAATCTCCATTTTTCTGGTTCTTGTATAGCCTTTGAAGCATTGACATCTACCCCTGGTTGATCATAGCCCAATCCAGAGTCAGTGACTTCCCTGTCAAGATCCATTGGCAGCTCCTTTGGGGTTGCTGGCATTAGTCTGGCTTGCCAGCTATGAATGATCAAAGCTTCCCACTACAGAATCTGTCACAGAGCTGCCTCTGTCTGTTTTCTTGACCAAAAGTCAAAACAGACAGTATGAGAAATGAGATAAATTACCAAAATTGTGAACACAAGAGAGAGTATCACTAATGACCCTTTAGAAGTTAAAAAACATTATAAGTTAATACTCTGAAAAACCTGAAGCCAATCAGTTAGACCACTTAGATAAAATGGACAGATTTATACAAAGATAGAAATTGCTGAAACTGACTCAAAAATAAATAGAAAATCTGAAGAGAACTGTACACTAAGACAGTAATTTTAAAACCTTCTCACAAAGAAATGCCAAAGCCCAGATATCTTCACTGGTGAATTCTATCAAATATTTCAAAAGCTCTTTCAGACAAGAAGAGAGGAGGCAAGACTTTCTAGCTCATTTACAGAACTGACATTACCCTAATATCAAAGTCAGAGCAAGACTGACAAGAAAAGAATACCATAGACCAGTGTCACCAATAAACATAAATGAAAACATCCTTAACAAACATTGGCAGACAATAGAAAGCCACGTAAAAAAGGATTACATTCCATGACCAGTGGGATTCATCCCAGGAATATATGGCTGGATTAACAATTAGAAATCAATTAATGGAATGCACTGTAGTAAGGGAATAAAAGACATAATTATCTCAAAAGATACAGAAGAAACAGTTGACAAAAATGTTAACACCACTCATGTTCATAAGTTTCAACAAAATAGGAATGGAGGGGACCTTCCTCACCCTGATAAAGGGCATCTATAAAAAACCCACAACTAAAATCATGCTTGCTGAAGAAATACTGAATGCTTTTCTCCTAAGATGGAGATCAATGCAAGGATGTCCCATCCAACACTTCTACTTAACATTGTACTGGAGATTGCAGCTGGTGCAATAAGGCAAATAATTAAAAGTTAAAGGCATCCAGATAAAAAGGAAAACATAAAACTCTATTCACAGATAACATGACCTTGTCTGTAGAATTCACAAGCAGATAAAAGCCTGCTAGCACTAAAAAATGAATCCAGAAGCTCCCATAGGATATAAAATCAAATTAAAAATTATTAACATATTTCTCTATACAAGCAATTAAAATCTAAACTTTCCTATCACAGTAGTTACAAAAAGAGAGAAATAGGAATAAATTTAGGAAGACAGCAGAGTTTGTTGAAAACTACAAAACATTACTGAGAGAAATTAAAGGTCTAAATTCATGGAGAGATGCGGTTGGAAAGCTCAATAATATTGTTAAGATGACAATTCTCCACCAAGAGATCTATAGGTTCAGTACAATCTCTATCAAAACCCCAGCAGGCATTTTATGGAAAATTGACAATTTAATCCTAAAAATGTATGTGAAAATGCAGAGGATGCAGAAAAGCCAACGCAAATTTGAAAAAAAATGGAATGTCATATAAAACTACAATAATCCAGACAGTGTGAAAGCGAGAGACACAGAGATTAATGAACAGAAGTGAGAATCTAGAAAGACATTCTTACATTTTTTTGTCAATTGATCTTCAATGAAGTTGCATAGGTAATATGATGTGACACTTATCGCCATATAAAATATAAGCTCAAACAAATTAGAGACCTAAACAGCTAAAATTTATAAGTTAAAACCATAAAATTTCTAAAAGAAAATATAGGAGAAAATTTTTGTGACATTGAGTAGTTAGGCAAAAGATTCTTACATAAAATACAAAAAACATGATCTACAGATGAAAAAAAAGTGAGAGACAAATTGGGCTTAGTTAAAATTTAAAACTTAAGTGCTCCAAAAGACAATATTGAGAAAATGAGAAGACAAGCCGTAGATTGAGAGAAAATATTTCACAATTTATCACAAATTACATCTGTGATGAAGAACATGTATCCAGAATATGTGAAAAGTTCTTAAACTCAATGTAAGAAGATGAGCAACTCAACTAAAAATGAGCAAAACATGCTCAACTGACTTTTACAAAAGCACAAAAGCAATTCAATGAAGGAAGGAGAGCTTTCCCATCAAATGGTGATGGAACAACTGGACAACCACAGTGGAAAAAAAATAACCTGAGCCAAAACCTCATGCTTCATACAAAAATAACTCAAAATGAGTCACAAGCTTTCATGTAAAGCACAGAGTTAAAATGGCAAACATTGAGCCAGGTGTGGTATCACAGGCCTGTACTCTCAGCTACTCAGGAAGCTGAGGTGGGAGGATCCCTTGAGCCCAGGAGTTCAAGGCCAGCCTAGGCAAGAATTTTTTTTCTAAAATAAATAATAAATTTAAATTTTTAAATTACAAACCTTTTAAGAAAAAGTCATCAGAGCTAAGACTGGACAAAGAGTTCTTAGACATAACACCAAAAGTATGATCCATAAAAGTTAATAAATTGGATCTTATCAACACTAAAAACTGTTGTTCTGTGAGAGACCTATGAAGAGCATAAAAAGACAAGCTACAGAATGAGAGAAGATATTTGCAGGCAACATATTCTGTAAAGACTGTATTCAGAATATATGAAGAAATTTTAAAACTCAACAATAAAAATGAAATCCAAATACAAAACAGGCAATGAGCAAGACATGAACAGACATTTCACTGAAGAGGATAAATACTGGGCTAATAAGCAGATGAATAGGTGCTCAACATCATTATCCAGTAGGAAAATACAAATTAAAACCACAGTGATGAGAATGGCTGAAATACAAAATAAAGGTAGCAACAGATGCTGGCAAGGACGCAGAGGAACTGGGACACTCTTATATTGCTGGTAGGGATGTATTTTAAAATGGTACAGCCGCTCTGGAAATGAGTATTGCAGTTTTCTTCAAACCGAACATGCAATTTACCTTATGACTAGCAATTGCCCTCCTAGGCACTTATTTCAAACGAGGGAATACTTTATGTTCACGAAAATCCTGTGCACAAATACTCTTGCAGCTTTATTCATGATACCCCCAAACAGGAATTAATACAACTGTCTTTCCGTAGGTGAGTGAGATCTGCTGGTTGAAATAATAACTGAGTCACACAAGTGCCCTTTCTCAAGGCTACCATCCTGCTTCTCTGTGCAGTAAGTGTTTTATGCATATTTCCCATTTTCTCACAAAGAATATTAAACACGTATACTCAAGGATCAAACTTTAACCCACATAAATTTTTTACTGCTCCATCAAAGACACTCTTAAACGGGACTGCAGTTTGGAGCCACTGCCTGGTTCTGCTAAGGTGCTGGGTGTGTTACCGACCTTGGCATTTGCAGCACTATGGAAAAGTCAACACAATGAAACAGGCAGATGGCATCTTGGTATTACTGTGAAAACAAGTCTGCCTCCAGGACTCTCTGAAGGCTGCTCAGGGGACACACTTTCAAAATGGCAAAGATCAATTATGGTTCCTAGTGGGACACAACCCCTAGCCTATTCCTATTCAGCACTGTCTTGCTCTCTATTTTCCCTCATTCTTCCAACTTATAACTGTATAAATTTTCAAATGTGCAAAGAAGCTGAAAGAATGGTGCAGTAAAATTCAAGCTACCACTCTGCCGTATTTGGTTAATATCTCTTTATATACATAAAAGGAGAGTGTGAAATGATGGACCATGGAGACCCAGAAGGGTAAGGGGGTTGGCAGTTGGTGTATAATAGAGGGGTTTCTTGATAGGTACAATGTGCTTGTCTCCAGTGCTGGATGCTCTGAAGGCCCTGACTTTACCACAACCAATATAGCAATGTAGCAAAATTGCACTTGTGCCTCATGAATATATATGAATCTAAGAAATAAAAAATAAAATAACATAACATGTTTCTTTATAGATACAGGTAGACATGTTTGTATAGCATGTGTGTGAATGTGTGTGTGTGCCTGTGTGTGTGTGTCCACCTGTGTGTGTGTTTCCGTGTAGAGAGGCAGCACAAATTAAGAGATTAAGATTTTGTGACTGAGCTATTCCAAAGTAACTTAAACATAAAACACACATGGATAAATGTGTCTGTGACAACAAACCTGAATACAAACATGAAATAATATGTCTATAAACACATCTCTAGATAGATAGCTTATGAATGAATTCCCTACCCCAGCTCCCTTACTGGTTGCCCTGTGAACACAGGGAGTCAGGGAACAGGACCCAGCTAGGGTCCCTCATCCTTCTCTTGCATCCAGGCAGGTCCTGCATCCACTCTGGCTGCACAGAAGGCTCCCATCCCTGCCTTGGTCTGTTTCACAGGTGCTCCCCTAACTCTCTCTGCCACCACTGCTTTATCTGGATGGAGCTGAGGCTGCCCTGACCAAGAACAGCACCACCCATCTGTGTCCCCAAGACCAGGAAGTTAGGAGGAACCACACAACAAGGTCAGGAACTATCCCACCTCCCCAATCAGTCTGAACTGATGGCGGGAGATGCTGATGCTTGCTTTACTCATCCTCAATCCCAGCTCACTTATTCTTCATTAATTCAATCCAATCTCCCCAGCAGTCACTTCACCCCAGAAGCTGACTGACCTCTACTCTTCGTAATCAGGAAACCACAAAGCACTCTCCGTCCCCTCCCTGATATCACCCTTCAGCTCTACATCATCATATGTGGGCTCTAACTCTGCAGGGAAGATGTTGCCCCACAGGGTCAGCCCCTGAACACTGGCTGCAAATGTCCCCCCATCCCTTCCCAGCCCTTTCGGTGTTGCTGTGAATCTGTCCCTCACTGAGAACTGGCGGGGAGATGTGGGGGAGGAGGGAAGGTTTCTTTATGCTGTGTCAAAGCATGGAGACAGACCTCTCCTTCTCTCCTGAACCTCACACTATCCCTTCCCAGACACTTGAAATAAAACGCAGACCAGAAATGTCTATTTAAGAGTTAAATATCTATAGTATAAAATATGAAGACAGAGTAGAATGGGGTAATGCAGGAGAGCATGACAGAGATGACAGGACCTCAAGGTGCCAGGAAAGCTGGTGCTGGGCCAGGACCAAGGAGCCATCAGCAGGACACTCACTCATAATGCTCACCTATAATAATACAATTACTGCATATGTAATATATCAAAATATAATAAAATAACAAAATAACAAAAATAATATGGCACAGCTGCAAATACCCCATATATACTAACCCTTTTCATTCATCCAACCACAAGAAATAAATGCTCGTAGTTTCCCCATGTCATAGATGAGGAAAATGAGGCAAAAGAGAGAACATGCTGGTGAGGCCTAGGCAAGGAGTTGAATCCAGATCGCCTGGCTGCAGAGTCTAGTTGCCCTCAGTGGAGCCAGCGAACCCAGGAGCTGACACCAGAGACTGAGATCTCAGCTGTGCACTGCCCTGGTGGTCTCCTGTCCCAACCAGGTGTTGACCCAGGCCTTGCAGGCTCACGCGCTCTGGAAAAAAGAGAGAAACCAATAAATGCTCCCCTGGGTGCAGAGTGCTGCTTTTTATTCCCTGAGGAGTTCTCCCTCCTCAGTCACTCCCAAATCAGATTTACCCTTTCTCTGACGGAAGATGACGTCCCCACTTTTTTCTCCCTCCCATCGCACTTTTCCAGCCCCTGCCAGTCCCCTCCCGTGACTCCATCAACATCAGCACCTGCCCTGTGTCCACCATCCATTGTGCAGTGAGTGAAAGGACCCAGGACTAAGGAACAAGACCCAGGAGGAAACTCAGTGCCCTTTCCTCCTCCTCTCAAGCCTGACCAGCCCTGACACAGTGAGAGGCCTCCCCAAAGAGAGGCCCTGGCCCTGTCTCCATGTCCTTCCAGGTCTGGGCCAAGTCACACACAGTCCTTCTCTTCCTGAGACCCCAGGCCCTCTTCACCTGCAGAGGCACCTGCATACCAGGGCAGGCCCTGCACACTGTGGGTTCTGCCCTCCACCAGCAGCTCACTGTTCCTCCCCTCCCAGCTCTGAGCAGACAGCTCCTAACAAGAGATCCTATCAGGAAGCCCTGGGGCTCACAGGCCCGGCATGGAAATATGTGGCTGCCATGGAGTCTGCACCTGACCTGATGCTGGGGACCCCCTTGCTCAAGGAGGCCCAGCCTGCCCTCCCCATAACCTGCATTTGGGCTGTGCTTGCTCCTGCCTGTCCACTCAACCCTGGAAATGCAGCTCCACCCCAGGGCTGCTGCTTGGTGAGGCTGCAAGCCCTTCCTGTCCCATTCCTAACAGGGATTCCACCCAGGCCACTGCCATCGCAGCTCACAGGGGATCTTCTTCGCCTGTGGAGTAGGGGGTTTCTTCAGACCCCTCATCCTGAGGCTGCCTCTACGCACCCTCTGCACCTGGGGATTGCCACTGCCACAGGCACTGTCTCCCACATGGACCCTCTGAGAAACGAAGCCCCAAATTTGACTTCCTGTTCTATTCAACATCCTTTACAACATCAGTATTGGGGGAAATCCTATTAAGATTATCCAGCTGAAATTATGTTGATGGACACCAATACTTAAAGCAGGAATTTTGAGAAACTAACATGTAATTTTCATGCCTTTTTCTGGCCAATGTCCCAGTGACCTACGAGAAAAC
Source organism: Homo sapiens (assembly GCF_000001405.40). NCBI lineage: Eukaryota > Metazoa > Chordata > Mammalia > Primates > Hominidae > Homo > Homo sapiens. The sequence goes on from NT_167246.2 coordinate 1,076,333, forward strand.
CTTTCCTGCCTACAGGGAACCAGAACTGACAATCCCTCTATAGGAGACACCGCAGGTGAGAGCAGGAGCAACCACAGACCTGCACTGCCCGTGCTGTGGTTGCCTCCTGGACGGGGCCCTCTTGCTGCAGGGCAGGGGATGAACCGTCCCATCTGCCCAGGCCTGAGTGGCCAACTAACTGTGCAATTAGGTTCAAGGATGAGTCACCACCACCTCACTGGCCAGACACACGGAAGTGGAGAAATGGCAGAAAGACTCGGGTTTCCTGGACACCCCAGACTCTCACTGTCCCCTGCACTGCCTCTGTCTTTGCAGAAACTCAAAACTTTCTGCTTGCTCTTTTCCTCTCCCCTCAAACAACCTGACTGTGGGGGAAATGATTCTGACTGTCTCTTATTGTAAACTTACCAGGCAGCGACTACACTAAGAACAAAAACATTGGCTCAGGAAAGGCAAGGTGAGGCCACAGAGCACAGAACAAAGCCCAAAAAACAGCCCACTGGGTACTATGACCCTCGGGGGCTGGAAAAAGTAACACCTGGACATGGGATGAAAACAGGGACCACAGCTGCCCTGACAGAGGGCTGGTCCCCACTCCCCAAATAGCCCAGGGACATCTGCTTATCAACTGGTCCATATTATCTGCAAGGAAACACAGGGAGACAGGGGCCATATGGTGGGAACCCAGAAAAAGCACGGTCTCGAGGGACCCAGAGGACGTGACACCCCTGAGACAGCTCCCAGATGAGGCATATGGGGAGCTGCAAAGTGGACAGAGGATGGCCATGTGCACTCAGGACTCTCCCTGTTACAAGGGGACCTCAAAGGGGCTGTACACATGGGGGCCCTCATTCTGGGCCTCGTGGGTCTTTTTCTTGATGTCCTCCTGATGGCTGGAGAAACAGGGGAGGGGGATGCAGAGAGGAAGGGACTAGAGGCACCACCTCTCCTTGGATTCCTCTCCAGTTTCTAGCCCTCCCTAGATCACATCTGCCTTTACTATTTGCTCCCTCTGAGATAGCGATCATCCAGGCCCTCAGCAATCAGCACGCAATTCCCAACTCACCCACCTGGATGCGACCTGGTAAGCCTGAGAGACAGAGACCGGGATGGGGACAAAGCAGGCACCACGGCCCTCCCTGCTGCCCACTCCTCACCTGCAGCAGGAGGAGGCCACAGCTGGATGTTCGAGGGCCTTGGCCCAGCCCTGGCTTGGGCAGGACTTAAGGGTGTAAAAAATAACCTACATGTGATGGTTCATTTTCAATTCTATGTGCCTTAGTATAGGTTTAAGCAGGCCACATGGTCATAAAGAGATAAAGAAGGAAAATGTACTAAGCCACCATCCCCCCTACTTCTTGCTTTCCCTTTCATGCACTGGCCAGGCACCTATCGGTTGGGGCCCCCTCAACGACCCCTTCCCCACCTCACCAAAAAATGTAGTTTAGGCTAGCTTGCAACATAGATAATTGTACCCTTTCTTATCAACTAAGTGCAGCCATTAGGGACATAAGTCAAATGTTTAAAGAGTCCTGAGACAATCACAATGCATTATGGGCTGCAACAAAATGCAGCAAAAAAAAAAAAAAAACCCTAAGGAACATACTTGAAGTCTTAAACTACCAATAGGTGACATCCGGGAAGATCGTAAGTCCTTGGTACTCAGCTAATGAGCAACTGGGGGAGGGAGTTGCGCACTAGGGAATAAATTGTTGAAACTCTCCCTGGTGTGCCTGCATTCCAGACACCCAATATTGCAAAACCGTCACTAACACTCTCACTTTTGCTGTTCTCTGGGTCTCAGAGTCCATTCTTTGGGTTTGGATGGGTGCGTTTGTTTCTCATAATCTAGTTGCCTATATGGGGATCTCTGTGCTTGTGTGAAGTGAGTGAGACTCTGCCTGAAAGGAGAAACACGTACCAATTGATTCATGTGGCCCATTCTATCTGGATGTCCTGGCTCCTCGCAGAAGCCATAGACAAACTTGAAACTGTTATTCAGGACACAATGAAAGTGACATGGGGGTACGGGAGGGTGGGGTGGAAAGCGGGCACCACAGCAACCAGGCAACCTCATGTGTCTTGTGGAAGGCACTGAAAGTACTGTGGGGGTCACATCACCATGAGAGAGCTGAAGGATGTGGGGTGGTGTTGGGGCTGTCTATCGTCTCTACGTAATCCAGCAAACTGTCCCTGAGGGAGCCTGATGATGCCTAAAGAATGAATGAGATTACTCTAGGTATGGCCAAGTAGGAGTTATAATTGCAGCTTTTATGTTGTCTGGATATCACTGGTAGAGCAGATTAATAAATCCTTGGGCCCACAGTGTGCAGCTGCAGACTTGGTGAGTGCATTCCTTTCCACTCCAATTAGAAAGGGGATATGGAATGATTCACATTCATGTGGGATCCACAACACATTTATTTATCATTTGCCTCAGGGCTATTGTAACTCCTCTGCCCGCTATAGTATATAGTCTTAAGACTACACTAGACATACTGGATATCCTATAGGATATTAAATCAGCTCATTTCATTGACAATTTCATGTTTACTGGGGTGGATGAGCAGCAGGTAGAAACTGCACTGGAGTCCTTGGCAAAACAAGCACACTCCAGAAGGTGAAGGTAAACCTTACAGAGCTTCAAGAGTGGCCACTGAAGTGAAGTTTTATGGGTGAACAAGTGCCAAGTGTTTAGGGGAATGCAGGTGTGTCCCCTCCAAGGTAAAAGACAAACTGTTTCATCTTGCATCCTCACCAGAAGGAAGGAAGCACACTGCCTGATGAGCCTCTTTGAGTTCTGATGACACCACATTCCACATTTAGGTGTGTTGCTTTGGCCCACACTCTAGGTGACATAGGAGGAGGCCACCTTCATGTGGGGCCCACACAGGAAAGGACCTTGTAGCAGATCCAGGCCATGGTACAAGCAGCCAGCATCCCTCAGACCCCTTGGGGCTGGTGGTGCCAGTGGTGGGGAAAGATGCAGGATGGAGCTGAACCAAGCACCAGTGGGAGAGTCACAATGAAGGGCCTGGGATTCTGGAGTAAGATCATGTCATCCACAGCAGAGACATATGCCCCCTGTTAGAAGCAACATTTAGTGTTACTTGTCCTGATTTGATAGAATGCTTGACCATGGGACACCAAACAACAATGTGGTTCCAAGTGGCTGTGTGACCCACAAAGTCATAAATTGCACAGGCCCAACAGCATTCATCAACAGGTGAAAATGGTCCACCTGGGTTGAGCTTGAATCCCTTGCTGACACCCACAGAAAACACCCAAGTCTGAAGTGGCACTGAACTACCAAACAGACAAATGGCAGTTAGCCAGCCTTCACCATGGGTCAGCCCAGGCCTGGTAGGATGGGTGCATGAATGGAGCAACCACAGTGGCAGGCATGAGGCTATGTATGAGGCCAGCAGCACTGACTCTCCCAGCCCTACCAAGGTAGATCCAGCTACTGCCACTCCTGAATGTCAACTCGTCAGCATTTGGAGCCCATGATGTGCCCTAGTGGGGCGCTATTTCTTTAGGCGACCAGCCACTAAGTAACAAGTGACTACATTTAGCTACTTCCATCCTGGAAGGGCCAGAGGTTCATCTTCACAGAAATAGGCCCATATTCCATGGGTGGGTTTTCCTGTCTTGCTCTGACACTCAGCCAGCACCACTCTCCGGGTGCTGTTGACATTCCTGATCTGCAGGCTAGGCGGTGCTCCTAGCCCATTCTCTGCCTGAAGGACCCATTTGGCCTGGAAAGTTTTAAAGTTTCCATGGCTGTGGGTTCCACTAATCCTATCACCATCTGCACCACCCAGGAGCTACCAGCCACAAGGAATGCTGGACAGGTCTTCTATAGGCACAACTCAGTGCCAGCCTGGAGGAAGCACTCTGAAAGTGCCATCTTTCAGAACATGGTACATTGTTTGAATCAGAGATGTCTCTATGGTGCTGTGTTCTCAATGGAAGAACATGTAGGTCCAGAAATCAAAAGGTGGAAGCAGGTATGGCTCCATGTCCAATCTCTTAGATTCACCCACTAAGGTATTTTGCCTTTTTTATCTCCCAACAATGGGCTGTGCGGGTTAGGAGGTCCTGGTTTCCAAAGGAGGGTACCCTTAAAAGTAGACAAAAGAGAGCCCATTGAACTACACATTACTTTAGTCACCAGAGAAGTTTGGAGAGCATGTTCCCAGAGACCACATCGTGAGAAGAGGAGTGTCCTTCTCTCCAGGCCCAGGTAATAGGCCCTCATCCCCAGGAGGAGGCATGGCTGCTTTCACACAATGAGGGCAGAAGTGTGTGTGGAAACCAGACATCCACCTGGGAACCTTCTGGGTCCCCTTGCCCCATTGTAAGTGTGAGCAGAATCATCCAGCAATTTAGCCTGAGAGGATTTGATTTCCAAGAACCCAGACCCATCTGGGCAGCAGGTTTGAGTCACACTCCTGGGTAATCTCCCAAGGCCCTGCTCCTGTGCTCTGACATCCTCAGTAGCATTGGTATGGAGGCCCTGCTTCCCATGGGCTGTTCCCAGTCAGTGATGGCTCACACCAGTGACACTAAGGCAGGACATTCCTGGGAGACAGGGGACTCCTCTGACGGCCAATGGTGGCTCCGGGTCTTCTCCATGGCCTTGCTCAACTCTCCTTAGATTGCCTGTGGTCTAGGAAACATCCAGTAAACCTTCTCTCCTTCTGTCCATCACTGGGGGTCACACTTGCATCTCGGCCTGTTGCCTTTCCCAGGGTAACCTGACTCCCTCACAATATCGTCTGACAGGTATGTCCCCTAATAAAATGCTGTAACTTTAACCCCATGATGGCACTTGCTTTTTGGAGGATTTGGACTACAAAATCATTTTCATCTACACACCAGTGTCCTCTTATTCCAATTTGTAAAATCCTTTTGTTTATTCAACTTCTTCTACTTGCGTTGGCTCCATTTTGCTGGTATTTGTATTATGTTTTTGAGTTCGTCAATGTTTGTTGATTTAATCACTAAATTTGGGGGTAGTTTGTTATGCAGCAATGGATAACTAATGAAGCCCTCTTACATTTCCATTATTCTATACAGGTTACGTACATCTGCTTTATTTCCTTCCATTTTCATAATATTGGCCATACGTAGGGTTTCTAGTTTCTCAACGTGTATTCTTTTCTTTATTTTAGTTTCTTTTCTTTTTTGTTCCTTCCCTTTCTCCTTCCTTCTGTCCCTCCCTCCCTCTCTTTCTTCTCTATTTCCATTCAACCTCTCGCCTTCCCTCCTTTTTACTCTGCTTTCCTTCCCTTTTCTTCCCCTTCCCCTTCCTTCTTTTCTTCTTTCACTCCTTCTTCTCTTCCTCCTTTCCCTCCCTTCCTCCATTTTTTCCTTTTTATTATGAAAATTTCCTAACATATAAAATAACCCTATGTGATTGTGCTATAAGTAAGCATTTTCTGAATCTGTATGTCAAAAGTACAATGCCACGGTATATGAGAAACAAGTAAACAACAGAAAGTTATTGACAGAATCTAAATAAAAATGCCTGCTATAATTCTGCAGCCAAGACAGCGGCTTTCAACTCAATTCCTTCAACTCAGTGTTTTCAGAACACATCATCAACATCAAGTATTATGCACTTATTTCAAAAGTTTAAGCCAGGCGTGGTGGTTCACGCCTGTAATCCCAGCACTTTGGGAGGCTGAGGTGGGTGGACCACCTGAGGTCAG